>NC_000005.10:169397687-169700717 GCF_000001405.40 Homo sapiens | reverse complement strand
CTCCTATAATTTTTGTTTAATATTATATAAACTCATTTTTTAAAATTATACACACATTTGGAAATGTAGTGGCTACTTCTGGAGACAAAGATATAAAGGAACTTTTAACATTTCACTTTATACCTTTTCAGGCCATTTGAATATTTTACAATGAACACAAATTCCTTTGGTAATATAAAAAAAAAAAGCTTAAAAATATAAGAGAATGACAATATTCTCCCAGAAAGAGTGCAACTGTTCTGCATGTATAAAATATAAATGATGGCCACAATAAATTATTAAGTGATAAAAACAAGTTGTAGAATACTATATAAAGTATATTAAGTAAAGGAATATAAAATATGACCCCATTTGTGGGGAGAAGGGGTATGTGTTTATATTTACATGCTTGTGTCTATTTTGTTAATGCATAGAAGTTTTTGGATATACAGACATCATTTTTAGTTGTTACCTTCAGGGACAGAAATGGAGAGAGGCAGTAAAAAAGGAAGGAGTTGACTCTTTAGAAGGAAAATGAATTAGACAAGCTGAATTGGCCCCTATGTCCCCAGGGGAAGGTCAGAGCAGCTGTGTCTCACCTGGCATGATGATCTCTGGGAATCCCAGCTTCCTGGCCACCACGGTGGTCCTGTCCACCAGGTGTGGATAGTCCTTGCGAATCTGAATGATGTCACCCACCAGCATCTTCATGGTCACCCAGAGGCCTGCAAAGGAACAGCTCACCGTGAAGAGCCCACTTTTGCAAGTGACCCCTCAGTCGGCCCTCCCGCCACCTCTCCCCTCTGTCTTTCTGGAGATCACTGGGAACAGAGTCATACAGCCACAGATGCAGCCACCCAGCCCACAGGGCCTCTGGAACAGGCGATCTCTGGGTCTGAATCCCGCTAATGATTTCTAGCGGTGTCAGCCTCTGGCAAATTATCCCACTTCTCTAAGCCCAAAGTGAGGATGACAACACCTATCTCTCAGGCCTGGATTAAGAAAGAAATCAAACAAGGTAACTTATTAAAGTGCCCCCGGAACACCGGAGATATTCAGGATGTATCAATTCCTCTCTGCTTTTGGGCACCAGGACATGCCTCCAATTTTCTTCAGAAAATGTGACTTATCCCTGTAGATCATATGTTCCCATTCTTCCCAGTGGTCTGTCTGGAAGGAAAGCTAAGTATCCCAGGGTTCAGGATTTTGATTCATTTGCTGAAGAGTTAGGGGCTCCCAAGCTGGAGCAGGCTCAGCCCACTGGCATATTGGCACTTTACCTTGCCCTCCACTGTCCCCCTTGGAGGCTATGACTTTGCCCAGCAGGCTGTGTAGGAAGTCATTCTCAGCTGTAACCCTGGAAAGGAAAAGAGAGCATGAAATGTCCACATCGTGTCCTCCTTGCGTTTCAAGGGGTCCCATGAATCTCCCCAGCCCCTCCACACGCCTCAGGTGAAAAGTGAGTTTGCATATGTCAGCCCAGGGTATATACATGCCATCAAGAGGTACCTCACTTTTTATCACAAAGCAATGTGGCTCTGAAATTTGGGAATATCAATGCTACAGGTAGAGGCCATTTCTTATTCTCCAGGAAGATGCTTATAAAGGTAGGATTCCAAAGCTTTCAACATGCATATCTGCTTAGCAAGAGTTGCTCCTGCTAAGTCGTTATCACACGCCTTCAGCAAAGTCACTAGCCTCATTACCTGGACCATCCTTAGGGCTATTAAGTACTGATGATGCTCTCAAACTGGAGCCCTGCTTTCTGGAAGACTCCTTTTGGAACAGGAGAGGAGAGGACATTGACCTCCCTTATTGCCCTCCTCCTAAGTCATGGATACGTCTATCCATGAGAACCAGGTTAGGATTCCCTGCCACACGCTCCTGAAATGCTGCTGCTTCACAGCTTCGTGGTTTCTGCTGCACTTGTAATTAATGCATTAATCTTTTGTTGATTATCTGTTTAATTCCCCATCTATACTATGAGCTCCATGAAGACAGGGCCCATCTTGTTCACTACTTCATCCTCCACACCTAGCACAGTGCCAGCCTCTGCCAGGCCACCAATAAATGTCTGTGGCATAAATAACATCTGATGAATGAATGGCTGAAGAGCTGTTTGGTTTTGAGTGCCTGGGCACTGAGCCAGTGATTCTCACCCTGAGCTTCCCTTGGGAGGCTCCACCTGCCTATCACTAACTCAGGGAACTGGTACCCTCTGAGCTCCAGCAGCCCTTGATGACAAAGGGTGTGGTTGAAGAGAATGGAAAGAAATGGGAAATGTCTTACGGGTGAAAAGGAATGAAGTGCTGCTTTTCTTCATCACTCTCTGCTTTCCCCTTGATGATGTCTGTTATATCCATAACTAGAAAGAAGACAGAATGAATTAATGGTTTAACTTCTTCCTGTTCCCATAAGGGATGACAGTGGGATGAGCTTATGGGACAGGAGGTAGAGCCTGGGATGCCTGGGGGTCAGGAAGGCCTAAAATGGCAAGCAAGCCAGTGCTGCACAACACTCAGACAGCAGAGGTTCCTCGCGTGCAGCACCAGGGCAAATACCTCCAGGCAAAGCAGACTGGGAGGTCAGAGGGCCAGGGAGGCATCCAAGAGCACCATGGCTTAGCAGAGGCCAAAAGGAAAGGGTCAGAGCCGTGGCTGTGGAATTCAGCAATTAGGTTTGGATTTGACATGCATGTATTGAATGTCTACCATGCCTACAAAACCAGACAGCAGTGATTGGGTCTCTGTAGGATCTGAGAATCTCATGAAATATCCACCCTCTTTTCATAAGCATACTCATATGTACAGATACATAACTGAAGAATCCTCAAATCCTGTGATTCCAGAGGTATCCTGGATCCTCTGAAACCTTTCCTTAAATCAGCCACTAAAGGTCCCAAAACCAAGGTAAAGAACTCCTACACTAGAATGGGGATTATAGAAGTGGGAGTGTAGGAGAGGGCTGAGAAAAGCTACTCCAATCAAGCTCATACCCTAGTTACAGAAAATACGTCAAACACTCCAGGCACTGGGCAGGGGCCATTAAAATTGCTTGGGTAATAATCAACCACTGACTGCATCTAGATAGAGAGGGGAGTCAGAGAGCAGACAGGAGGAGAAACCGAGCATCCATTCTCTCTAACTGACTCTCCTCATCCATCCTCAGGGCTGTGATTAGGGCAGGGCAATTTCCCTTTGGCTCCAAAGTTATTCATAGGACCTGGTAGATCAGATAATCATCTCTCCCTGCCCAGAGTAAAGACTATGGAGATGAGGACGTGACCTATATTAAAGCTCCTGGGGCTTCTGCTGAAACTAATGGGAAAGAGGTACATTCTTTCCACTGGTTGCTAAGTTGGTAGGATGCAAGCTTGGAACAGCTGGCTGATAATTTGCCAACTAGTTGGACAGCCATCTTCTTAGTAAGCCAGCATGAAGACATAGGGGCTGAGCAAGAAAGAGACAAATTCTTCATAGTAAGCCAGCATGAGGACATGGGAGCAAGAAAGAGACAAACTGATTTGAGTTCCTGGATCCAGCTATGCCTGAAGCGATCTATTCATAAGCTCTTCAGTTACACCAATAAAGTACCTTTTCTTTTCCTTCTTCTACCAGTTTAGATCAGATTTCTGTCATCTGACACCAAAAGAGAGGGCAGGCTACAGCTGAGGACAAAGACACACTTTGCAGTAAGGTTGAAGGATCCTTACTGCCTTAACAGAAACACCATGATGTCAGAAATGCCCCCACAAGTAGAATCAGAGCATTTTAGAGCAGTAGAGGATTTCATGAATTAACCAGGTATGAGTCCTTCATTTTGCACATAATAAAACTAAGGCTCTGGGGAAAATGCTTGCCCAATATCACTGGCTGGCTAGCTAGCCGCAGTGCCAGGTTAAAAAAAAAAAAAAAACAGTGAGCTCAGTAAAACATCCTCCACTCCACCGCTTTGCAAGCAGTGCCAGGGGACTAGTTGGAGAGTAAGCAGGTCTGCGATTACAGATCAGAGCATCTTGAAGTGAGAAACCTGAAACACTGAGGTTAGCTATGGTACATAGGGGTTATGCACGGTATACTCTTAAAATTTTATATTTTAATAAAAAGAAAACTGGCATATCAAATTGCCATTTTCACAGGAATTTAAATCGCCTTTGATGAAAAACATACATTATGTAAAGCAGGTTGATTAAAAGAAACTATATTTGGTAAATAACAGTACAAGTGGTAGTCAAACATAACTAAAACCATAAAAGTGGGGCAAGAATGACGAAGCCTTAGAAACCCCAGGAGAGCTAAAGCTTAAGAGGAATGCAGAGCTGATGTTGCTGTACAGCAGCCTCATGCAGGGCTCTGCCTCAGGTCACGCCAATTCTCCAAATGTCCGTTTCCATCTGGAATTTAGATGTGTGGTAGGTGACTCATTCTGTGTAACTGCATTTCCTGTCCTAGATGTACTTTTTAAATGATTTGCTCCTCATAATTAGATCCTGCCTGTATTGTTTTTCCTTTTTCACAGAGCTGGGGAGCAAAGGTGTCAACTGCTCAGACGGCCCCGGTCTCCCGATGCTCTACTCCAGACAAGAGGAGCCCATGATTCACTGTGTTCATCATAAATCTGGACTTAGTCACCAATTATTTTGATTTAGTCACCAGAAATGTAGTTATTAAGGGCTGTCTGGCATAAATTTTGCAGGGGTGGGGGCAGCAGGAGGCGGTTGGGAAACAAATCATCATTACAATTCAGCCACATAAAATGTGCGCTCCCATAAAAATCAATGATGCAGAGTGTGCCCCTTACCTGCCACCCCAAAGGGCCTCCTCAGTCCCTGCGTGCACTTCTTTGCACCAGTATCCTTAAGATCCATCTTGCCGACCCGGACTATTTGACAAATCAAGTAAATTTTATCCCTGTTGAGGTCTTTGTTTCCAAGATCCTGGGGGGAAAGAAACAAAAAATTGACCATCATGTGCTGAATGGGGGAAAAAAGGTAGACAAGAAAACCCAGTAATAGTAATTTCTGAGGGATGTATATAATACTTGCTATACATGGACCAATCATACAATAAGTCCTGGAAAAGATAGAAACAAGGCTCTCACATCCATTTCACAGATAAGCAAGGTAAGGTTTGCAAAGGAAAATGAGTGATAAAACTCTAGTGTTTAATCCCAATTCTTCCCTCTCAAAATGATAGGGCAAGAGAAGGGTAGAGGTGGAATATCAGCTGTACAGACAGGATTCCCCATATGCCGAGGTGATAGATCCAAAAGTAGCATTTGCTACAGATGACTCGGATGACACCATCGGTCACATCATTGCTCAGAACCTCTGAGAGAGAAGACAAAAGGAAGAGAAAAAAATCATAACAGCTACCATTTCCTGCACATCTAAAGTGTGGCCATCAGTTGGGTTGAGGTAGTGCTAACAACCCCAATATCTCAGTGCTTACAACACAGCAGAAGTTTACTTCTGGTGCAGTCTACAGGGCCAATGCAGAGGGGTGGGGGCTCTGATTACTTACTTACTCTGGGCCCTTGGCTGGCAGCTCTGTCTCAGCACGGGTGCGCTCACTGTCTCTGCCACAGGGGAAAGGAATGTGGCAAATCACTTCTGGCTTTTAAATCATCTACCCAAGAGAGATGCACATCACTTTTTGCTTGCATGTCATTTGCCAAAGAAAGGCATATGGCCGCACCTGACTTCAAGGGGTCAGGAAACTGCAGTCAACTATCTGTTTGTTTATTTATTTATTTTATTTATTTTGAGACAGGGCTTCACTCTGTCACACAGGCTAGAGGGCAGTAGCATGATCACAGCTCACTGCAGCCTCAGTCTCCCAGGCTCAAATAATCCTCCCACCTCAGCCTCTTGAGTAGCTGGGACTACAGGCATGAGCCACCATGCCTACCTAATTTTTTTTTTAAGAGATGGGGTCTCACTATGTTGTCCAGGCTGATTTCAAACTCCTGGGCTCAAGCAATCCTCCCACATCAGCCTCCGAAAGTGCTGGGATTACAGACATGAGCCACCAGACCCAGCTCAACTGAGTCTAGAAAAGCCAAAACTGGTGAAACGCACTCTCATCCACTGTGCTAAGTGATTCCTGCATCACCATATTCAATCTCTCACATCTCTGAAGTACATACAATTATTGCATCCCCATTTGACAGATGGGGAAACTGAGACACAAAGAAGATAAGAGGCTTCCCCAAGGTCATGACCATAGCCCATGAGACTCTGGGCTTTGAGCCCAGTCCCTGACACCAAAGACCACAAACATAGCTACTACAGTACAGCTCCCTTGCCATCAGAAAGGCATGCAGGAGGAAACTCCTGACTTCATGCTCGAATCTAAAAGCTTCAGTGATCTTGAGGCCCCCTGCCAGTAAGGATCAGCTAAGGAAGAAACAACAAGACATGCTGTTGGCATCAGAGTAGAGTACCCTGGGCCAGGTCTCAAAAGGGAACAGTTTATTCTCCTTCGAGTTAATTCTCATATGGGCATATGCACTGGGAATAAGCTGTCGGCTCACATCAGATCCAGGACCAAGGCACAGCTGCCATCCCCTGCCTCTCACTATGCTGGTATAGGAGGAAGGGAGTGGGGCTGTGCAGAGTCTCTGGGAACAGGGCAAGGCCCCAGTGTGGTCCACACCTTCCTGCCTGGGGACCATGACGGTTAAATTTTGTATGCCAACCTGGCTAGGTTGTGGTGCCTAGCTGTTTGGTCAAACACCGGTCTGGATATTGCTATGAAGGTATTTTGTAGACCTGATTAATATCTACAACCAGCTGACTAAGTAAAGGAGATGACGTTCTATAATGTCCGTGGGCCTCATCCAACCAGCTGAAGGTCTTAAGAGCAAAAACAGGTTTGCCAGACAAGGAGGAATTCTGCCTCAAGACTGTAGTATAGAAATCCTGCCTGAGTTTCCAGCCTGCCAGCCTGCCTTTAGGATCGCAAACTTATATTCCATGGGTTCTGTTTCCCCAGAGAGCACTGACTGGTACAAGGGCTGTTCATCCCACCAGCTGCAGGAATGGACATCTGCTTTTCAGGCTAAGAAAGACCCCCCACCCCATCATCTGCATCCCTTGCCTTCTTCTGCAGGCATTTGAATTTGAGATCCCAATTATTTCACGTCCAGATGGTTGGAACAGCCTTGTCTCTGGCCTGCCTGACTCCTTCCTCCAAACCATCCTGAAATCTCTTATGAATTCATCTTTAGACATCGCATCTATTATTTCATTTATTTCCCCCCAACAACATTAATAGCTCCCTATTTCCTACCCTATTAGTTCTACTCTTTCCCAGTTGACATGAAAGGACCTAGACATAATATATCCAGCTGTCCTAGCCCACTGATTCCCCATGACTCTCTGAATATAAGTAGGTTATTTTTGTCACAAAGATTTCTTTATTGCTCCATAAACACACAATGCTCACTTCCAACTCTGGATCTTTCTTCCTAACCACCCTGCTCCCACACTTCCCCTCCAATGCTTGCCTCTTCCTCCTCTACATATCCACATCCTTTCCATCTTTAAAACTTGAATCCTCCTTCCTTCATAATGACCTCCATCCCTAATACCTTCTCTCCTCAAATTAGGATTCTCCATATTTTTGAAATACTTAGATTGGTGCCTTTCAGAGCGACAGAGGCCCTGGTACCTGAAAGCTTCCTAGACTTGAAGGGGCTGAATTGCTCCCCCACCCCCACACACACACCCCAAATTCATATATTGAATACCTAATCTTCAGTGTCTCACAACATGACTGCATTTGGAAACAGGGTCTTTAAATAAGTAATTAAGTTAAAAAGAGGTTGTTTGGTCAGTATGACTGGTGTCCTTATAAGAAGATATCAGGGCACAGACAAACACAGAGAGAAGACCACGGTGAAGACTCAGGGAGAAGACAGTCATCTGCAAACCAAGGCAAGAGGCCTCAGAAGAAACCAACCCTGCCAACACCTTAATCTCAGACTTCTAGACTCCAGAATTGTGAGAAAATACATTTCTCTTGTTTGCATGAACCAATCTGTGATAGTTATGGCAGGCCTAGCAAACTAATATACTACATAAACCTAGAAGATTCCCAGGTAAGCCCCCATTCCACCTTCTTCTCTTAACAATTTTTTACTTGCTCAAAGGAAGATGTCAGACCTCTTAGAGCTGTCTCATCGGACAGCGCCCCCCCGCCACCCCACCCCCACACACACACCTCCACACTAAAGAATCTTAAAGTGTAAAAAATAGCCAAATGCTATATTCACATTATATTCTCTGGAGGGTGTGTCAACTGGCAATCCTCATACAGAATTGTGCTCCAATCTATGGTGTCTCCCAGTCATTTCTGCTTCGGCCTTACAAAACTCGAAAGTATTGGGGAAGCAGGGCAATGGAACTTAACAAGCATCACCTGATTTAGGAACTCATTAGTGCTTCTTTTATTGTTCACTCTTGTTTCCTGTGTGTTAGCAACCACCCCAAAACTGGGCTAAATCTTAGGGAACCTCGTAGTATATGCTGCTTTCTTCTTACATAGCCTTGTGGGGTAAACCCTTACAAAACAGAGGGAAAGGGCCAGGAGCAGTGGCTCACGCCTGTAATCCCAGCACTTTGGGAGGCTGAGGTGGGTGGATCACGAGGTCAGGAGATCAAGACCATCCTGGCCAACATGGTGAAACCCCGTCTATACTAAAATACAAAAAATTAGTGGGGCGTGGTAGCATGTACCTGTAGTCTCAGCTACTTGGGAGGCTGAAGCAGGGGAATTGCTTGAACCCAGGAGGTGGAGGTTGCAGTGAGCTGAGATTGCACCACAGCACTCCAGCCTGGCGACAGAGCAAGACTCCATCTCAAAAAAAAAAATAAATAAAAATAAATAAATAAATAAATAAATAAAACAAAACATAGGGAAAGTCAACAGTCAGCTGGACCCACATGCCAGGCTCAGAGAGGCTCAGAGAGGCTCAAAGATCTGGAAGCCTTCCCCCAACATAGGAGACCAGGAAGAGCTAACATCCAGAGAGGGAGGAAATAAGGCCAGCAAGACACATGCTTGCCAAGTCTTATCTCATCTCTAATTTAAACGTCACCTCAACACCCAGTTGAAAGTAACTTCCAGTCACATACCATCACATCACCCTGTTTTAATTATCTGCATTGCTTGGATTGCTTTCTGACATTGCTCTTGTTTATTTGTGCATGCATTTTATTATCTGAATTTAACCCCACTGCACCATGAAAGCACTCACTGCTGTATGGCCAGTGCTTAGCACAGAGCACATGCATAGTAGGCACTCATTGGCTAGCTCTTGGATCGATATAAGAAGTGAGAGCACCATCACCTTCCTTGCCCCCTGATATGGTCTGGATCACTGTCCCCACCCAAATCTCATGTTAAAATGTAATCCCCAGGCTGGAGGTGGGGCCTGATGGGAGGTGATTGGATCATGGGGGTGCTTTCTTATGGTTTAACACCAGGAGAAATGACACCAAAGGTGCTATCATCATGATAGCGAGTTCTCCTAAGACCTGGTTGTTTAAAAGTGTGTAGCACCTCCCCCGTGTCTCTTGTTCCTGCTCTGGTCACATAGGACAAGCCTGCTTTCCCTTTGCCTTCTGCCATGATGGCAACTTTCCTGAGGCCCCCCCAGAAGTCGAGAAGATGCCAACATCACCCTTCTCGTACAGCCTGAAGAACCATGAGCCAATTAAAGCTCTTTTCTTTACAAATTACCCAGTTTCAGGGATTTCTTTATAGCCATGCAAGAATGAACTAATACACCCCCAGATCAAGACTGATCATCTTAACAGAGGGAAGCATCCACCTGTTGAGCCTGTCAACCAAGGCTCTCAACTCCACTTGTTCTGAGGAGCGGAGGTGTGGCCCAGGCAGAATTCCATGAAGGCAGGATTACATTCTCATTAATGCTGTGTGACACAAATTTACTGATGCTCTTTCCCCCATGTTTACATCATGAATTGGTTCTCTGCAAAATGAACCACTGATTGATTCCCCGTTCTTCTCCCTCTCATGCAACATCTGTCTTGTGGTTTAATCAGGAAGGCCTGTGGGACTCTCCTATTTATCCAGAAAATAAATAGGCTCCTCCTTGTAACTAATAACAGATAAACAGGATGGAGGCACATCTATATATGCCAAGAAAACTTTGCCTAAGCAATTAGGACCTATGATCCCATTCCATGCCTCTGGCCCATTTTTTAAAGAAAATAACAAAATTAATCAGCTATTCCTCAATGTAATCACAACATAACATAAGACATTGCAATTAATGGGCTGTAACCAAAAAATTATTGTAGAGCAAGGTAGGTTAATCTAGCATGTCGGTCACTCCTGGATCCAACTCATCTGTTTGGTCAATGCCCAAATCCCTCCCTGGCTCCTTCTCTGTAATTTCCCTAGCTAATACAGGCAATGTAGTGAAAAATCTCATAAACAGTGTTCTCCCCAAAGAAGCTTACAGACAATGCTAAGATATTTAGGTGTCTTAAGATCACACTTGCTGGGTGAGGTGGCTCACACCTGTAATTCCAGCTACTCAGGAGGCTGAGGCAGGAGAATCACTTGAGATTCTCCTTGAGAGCCGAGATGGTGCCACTGCACCCCAGCCTGGGCAACAGAGTGAGACTCCATCTCAAAAAAAAAAAAAAAAAAATCACACTCTTCACACCCTTATGGAAACAGGATGAGAAAGGGGTCTCTACTAAAAATTATAACCTTTACTTATCTCCTTCTTTCCCTTGTTTCCCCTATTCAGAGCTAAAAAGCCAGCTTCGCTCTCAGAAATAAATCATCCAAATAACAATCGATTTCAACATTTCTACGTACATGTCTTGCTCAGTGAGTATTGGTATTTAGAAGGATGATCCTAAGGACCCACCAGATCGTTAGTCATCTATGACTTAATTATATTCAGAATGTCCAATTTACCAAGGCAGTCAATATTCTAGAAAGGTCCTATTTTTTTCTGATATATTTTAGAAAGATTTTTCAGAAAGCCCTGAACAAAGAAAGGAACTCAGGTTAATCATGAATGAACCGGAAAATCAAAATTGCTGTTGTGCCCAGTTCACCTGGGCATTATTGCTCAAAGAAGTTGGTGCTTGTTTATGTAGCATTCTGCATATGTTCTCTGTGTGTGCAGGAGTGAGACGGATAGGGAGAGATGAGGAAAAACAGAGGTGAACATCCATCTTTCCGAAAGCTTCCTCAAGGCACACAATGTCCTTTGTCAGCTTTGGATTTCTGCTTGGAGCCCACAACACAGCTCTGCAGGACAGCCACACTTCACCCTGAGCTCCTGACCAGCCTCATTTCCAAGGTCACATTTTTGTGGTTGGGGAGCACGGTAACGAGAAGAGGGTGCACACTCACCGTGAAGACCACCTTCAGATTGTTGAGCATCTCAATCTCCTTAGGGAAGCCCCGGCTGCCCCATCGCACTAGGTAGTTCTCACTGTGGGAAGAAGAGTGGCAGCCCGTTACTGCCAAGGGACCTGACATCCATTTAGTCAAAACATTCACCAAGCATCTACTATGTGCCCAACACCATACTGGCTGCTGGGGGTATGCAGGTGTTTAAGAAAGACATGGTCCTTCCCTCCGAGAGATCACAGTTGTGTTGGGAGACAGACATTAGACAGGCAAGAGCAAAGAACTATTAACCTATGCGTATTTGCCACTACTATCCCTCTCCCATCTGCTAAGCAAATTCTGGCACAGCTGTCTAATATTTTTGAGGAGCATCTGCATACTGATAGAGGTTATTGAGAATGGCAGAGATGAGAGGGGAAAGGACTTTAGTATATTTTATTGGACATTAAGAATATATTTACCCTTTCCGGCCCGTTCCCCATTCAAGACTGAGTAAAGATCTGAATTATTTTAAGTTACCCTTTGAATGTAGAGCTGTTTCCTTGAATGGAATGTCATACAGTGATGGGTCATATAGGGTCTCAGCCATTATCTAAGATACAATTAAATAACTGTTTAAATGCCATTGTAACACTATTTATATAAAATTGTGCTACAGGCTAAGCACCCTTAATCTGAAAATCCCAAATATGAAATGCTCCCAAACCTGAAAATTTTTAAGTGTCAACATGATGCTCAAAGGAAATGTTCATCAGAATATTTTAGATTTCAGATTTTGGGATTAGAGATGCTCAACTGGTAGATATATATAATGCAAATATTCCAAAATCCAAGAGAAAATCTGAAATCCAAAACAATTCTGGTCCCAAGCGTTTCAAATAAGGAATAGTCAGGCTGTATAAAGGAAAAGTTCAGGATGTTGTATGAATGTGTATCAAATGGGCCTGACCTAGTGGGTGGTCAAGGAAGTCTTTGCTGAGGAAATGACATGAAATAAAGTTGGTCAAGAAAAGAAGGTAGGAAAGGGAAATGCTTCAGGCAAAGTCAACGTGAGTAAAGGCCACGAGGCAGGAAACAGCTGGATGCATCTAGGAAACAGATTCAAGGGGGCTGGGCACAGTGGCTCATGCCTGTAATCCCAGCACTTTGCAAGGCCAAGGTGGGCAGATCACCTGAGTTCAGGAGTTCAAGACCAGCTTGGGCAACATGGTGAAACCCTGCCTCTACTAAAAATATAAAAAATTAGCCAGGCATGGTGGCACATGCCTGTAGTCCCAGCTACTAGGGTGGCTGAGGCAGAAGAATCACTTGAACCCGGGAGGTGGAGGTTGCAGTGAGCTGAGGTCATGCCACTGCACTCCAGTCTGGGTGAAAAGGGAGACTCCATCTCAAAAAATAAATAAATAAAAATAAACAGATTCAACGGAAAGTTACAAGAGAAAAATTAGAGGGAGAGGCCAGACCACATAGGCTTTATAGGCCATTCAAGGATTTTTGCCTTGATGATGAGAGTAATGGAAACCCATTGGAGGGTTTTATGAGGACCAGCTATATGGTTCTAACGTACGATCCTTTGCCATCTCATATCTCCTAGCAGCCGTCATGCTGGTCAGTCCCATCACTCCAGGAAGATAGAGAGGTCTAGCACTTATTTAAGTTAGAAGAAGCTTAATATAGTTTGCTGAGTTGAGTCATCAGATTTTCCACGCCATTTAGGAGCATATAGTTGGTGCTAAATAAGTGCCCATTATTTTAAATTAGGAACAAGATTTTTTAAAAATTCAAAAATCAAGTTAGCCTAAGAAGGCATAACGGGATTCAGCAAAATTAAAGGGACTTGACTTCCTTTTAGAGCTTGTTTTATCTCTGATGCCTCGTTCCTCTCTCTCCAGTCACCCCTAAAAGGTTAATGAGAGCAGACTGAGCAGAGTTCAAGCAGGCAATGGGGCCAATAGCAAAAATGAACACAGTCCCAGATTAACCAATGCTTAAAACTCAATCAAGTTAAGTGGATCTTTTCATCTTTTGTGTTTTTTTCAGTAAGATCTAAAAATTGTAGTGGAGTTTGCAGTAAACTAACTAGGAAGTCTCCATGCAAATTTTTTTTATTTTTAATGCTTTCTCATTGGTAATTTCTGTACTGTTGTTAGTGAAATGCTTAGATATATTCCAGTACCTTCCATCATATGTAGCAAGCCCCTCAGTGACCCAGCTTGCTACGTCTAAACAGCAAGCACCAGCAATTTTCTTCCAGGAGAAGCACAATCATAAATAAGGAAAACAATTTGGAGGGCTGAGCTGGTCCCATCCATCCTCACCCAGGAAGATCTAGGTGGTAGAATCTGAAGGCTCACAGCACCAAGACATGTAAGACCTCCTCCAAATGACAACCTACTCAGAGGAACGAGGAGTACTATTCCAACTCCTCATCACACAATTTTTGGGCATAAGCCTTACTGCTAGCCTGATACCTGAACTGCTTCTCTTTTGTCCTGTAAAAATTTACATTAAATTTCCCAAACAGGATCCCTTCAGGGATCTACTGGGTATCTGACCGTGATTCAGTCCAACATTAAAACATCGATCCTAGCTATATTCTCCCCAGTCCACATCTGGGCCACACTGAAGATGTCTTAACCTGCCTGTTGTTCACTGTATGTCGATCCTGGCTACAGCAGGCAGGAGCCCAGATTTCTTGCTTAGGGAAAGAGCAGCTCTTCAGAGTGAGACTGACATTGGGAGTGTTCCCAGATTCCCCTGCCCTCCTTCCTGCATTGTGCCTCTTCTCTTCTTCCTTTGCTTTCTCCTCTTTTCACAATTGCTGGTTTCTGCCCCCTTTGTCCTCCTCTCTCTGTTCATCCCCACTCTCCCTGGGCTGGCCCTCGTCTCCAGCACTCTCAGAGATGTCACTCAGGCACACCCCATTGAGCATGGCCTGCCAGGTGGCACGGCAGGGAGCACAGCTGCCACCTCGCTGATTCATGGTCTCCCTCCACAGAGCTGGTCCAGCCATCCATCACTGAGATGGGGCCAGCCGACCACACTCCCTTGTCAATGTGGCAGGCAGTGAGCACTTTCAGATCTGCTGTGTGTCATAGGCCCCATACTGTTTCCTCTCGGTTGCTTCTAAGGCTCCTGAAACTGCAGCCAGTGAGCCTTTCAGGAACCTTGGGAGTAACTGACAGGGAACAGCAAGGGGCCCCTGCCTCTGACTCCCAAACCATTTCAAGGTGGGCGTAAGGGACCAGGGACACTCATTATCGGGGTCCACCAAGGCTAAGCCAGGTGAATTGGGCTGACTCTTTGAGGTTAGGGACTTTGGTGCATAATAAAAATTACCTTTCCACCATAATGGTGCTGAAACCCTGGTGAAAACCATTTAGAATATTTGACACAACTCATTCCTTGGTGACAGACTTACGTGGGAAATAGCTTGTCTTTGGAGTTAGATGGGCCTGTATATAAATCCCAGCTCTGCTGTTTACAAATATTTGTGACTTTGGGCAAGTTGCTTGACTTCCCTGAGCCTCATTTTCTCATCTTAGTGACACGGAACCATGAGGATTAGATGAGACAATGTACAGACCCCAGCACATTCTTCTGAGATGGACAGCCCCTCCAGTTTCATGCATGTCTCCAGGAGGCCGCTGTTTACTAAAGCACCACTATTCCTCAGGCATGGTGTATTCGTTCATTTAATCATCATAACAACAAGCCAGGAAGACATCATTTTATCCATTTTTCCCACAAAGGCAGAGAGATCATGTCCTAGCTCTTTTCTAATGTGTGCCTCTACAAAAACTTAAAAATTAGCCGGGCGTGGTGGCGCATGCCTGCAGTCACGGTCAGTGGTCTCAAATATGAGACCATGTCTTGGGCTAAAACCCCAATGGAGGAGACAGGCAGTGGTCGCCTGAGAGGAAGGATGGTCTAAGCCACAAGTAGAGGCCAGGAGTCTGGCAGTGGGAGCCGGAGGAGCAGCAAAGTCTCTTCCCTGGAGATTCCCAAGAGTATTTTCCCTTCCTTGAGCTGAGGCACCCAGAAGTTCCCTCACTTCCTCCATTCCCAAGAACAACTTATTAAAGTAGTAATAATAACAACCACTGCCCCTTGCAGTACAGGCAACATGTGCCAGGCCTTGTGCATCACAAACTCTTTCTCATTAAAGCCTGAAGCAAATGACCCTGTGAGGTCAGCACTCGCATTATGCAGATGGGAAACTCAGGCTTAAGAAACATTAACAACCTGCCCCATGTTAAGAAAGAGTAAAGGCTGGGGCCTAGATGTGAACCCAGACAGATCTCAGAGCCTATACCCTTAGCCTATTGCTGCTACAGAGGATTTGGAGCATTCATTTCTTAGCTCCTATTTTGAAAGTAGATATTGGCAGGTAGCAGTGGCTCACCCCTATAATCCCAGCACTTTGGGAAGCCAAGGTGGGAGGATCACTCGAAGCCAAGAGTTCGACACCAGACTGGACAATGCAGCAAGACCCTGCCTCTATAAAAAATTAAAAATTAAGCAGGTGTGGTGGCACATGCCTATAGTCCCAGCTACTCAGGAGGCTGAGGTGGGAGAACCACTTGAGCCTAGGAGTTCAAGTCTACAGCGAGCCGTGATTGCACCCATGCACTCCAGCCTGGGCAACAGAGTGAGACCCTGTCTCAAAACAAAAAAGAAGTACATATTTTTATTCTAGCCAATGCTACTTGTCTGAATCTTGTTATTTCTGACTGCTTTCTGGCAATCAAAATCTATTTTACAAAACCCTACAACCATAAACTCCACTGTGGGAAAAAACTGGTGGTAAATAACACTTCCACTTGACTCCTACAACCTCCAAAGAAGTTATTTCCACATTCTCACTCAGGTGCAGTCTCTTTTCCAGGTGGAGATTGCTCCACAAGTGAGGATGGAAAGAAAAGATGCTCTGTGCACTGCTTCCCATAGTCAGAGAAGTAGGGCAACCCTGGACACACCTACCTTATGACCGTTTGCTTGTTGGGGTCGTAGAGAGACATGAAGAGCTCAGCATCTTCCCCAATTCTGCACACAAAGTTTCTCACAAACACATAGAGGCTATGGGTGGGGGATGAGGAGATCCGGGAATACATTGCATAATCTGGCTGGTCTTTTGACTGAAAGGCAGAAGGAAGAAGGAAAGAAGATGGAGAAAATTAGCCTAGCACCACTTAGAGCAACAGAGAGATAGTCAAGGATATTGGGTTCAAGCCTAAAGTTTGGGCATTCCATCCAGCTCTGCCATCAAAAGCTTCTGTAACCTGAATCAATTCGCTTTGACTCTCTTGGCCTGTATTTTTCTATCTTGGGAAATGTCACCATTGACCCAGACTTCTTCATAAAGTTAGTGTCATAAAAAGCACAAACTAGAAAAGAAAAATATTGCTTAAATGGATTTTTTCAAAACTATAAACTTTTGCTCTTTGAAAGATGCAACAGCTAGGTACAGATTTGGAGAAACTTGCAAAACATATCTGACAAAGAATTTGTATCTAGAACATACAAATAACTCTTACAACTAATTATGAGGAAAATAACCCAATTAAAATGGGTAAAATGTTTGACCAGACACTTCCCAAGAGAAAATACAAGTGGAAATGACAGGAAGCACATAAAGAGATACTCAACATTACTACTTATCAAAAAAAATGAAAATTAAAACTACAATGAGATACAACTACACAACCACTAGAATGGCTAAGTTAAAAAGTCTGATATCAAGTGTTGACGAGGATGTAGAGCAACTAAAGCTCTCATATATTGCTGGTAGAAATGCAAAATTAGGCTGGCGTGGTGGCTCACACCTGTAATCTCAGCACTTTGGAAGGCTGAGATGGGCTGACCATTTGAGCCCAGGAATTCAAGATCAGCCTCGGCAACATAGTGAAAACCCATCTCTACAGAAAATAAAAAAAATTAGCCAGGCATGTTGGCATGCACCTGTGATCCCAGCTACTTGGGAGGCTGAGGTAGAACAATCACCTGAGCCCAGGGGGTCGAAGCTACAGTGAGCCATGATCACACCATTATACTCCAGCCTGGGTGATAGAGTGAGAGACCCTGTCTCAAAAAAACAAAAAAAATTGTACAGCCATTTTGAGAAACAGCATGGCAATACCTTAAAAAGTTATATATACACTTATCACATGATCCAGCAATCCCACTGCTAAGTATTGCCCAAAAGGAATTAAAACATGTCCGCACAAGGATTTGTTTCCAAATGTTCATAGTTGCATTAGTATAATAGCTCTGAACTGAAAACTTACCCAAATGCCCAATAATTGGTCAATGCTATATACCATTGGTAACTGGCCAGTGGTATACTGACTCAGTAATAAAAAGGACCAAAATGTTAATATGCACAACAACATAAACCTCAAAAACATCTTGCTGAGTAAAAGTCAAACAGAAAATTAATACTGCACGATTCCACTTATATGAAACTCTAGAAAAGGCAAATCTACAGTGACAGGAAATTAGGGGTTGCACGGGGCTTGGGGCTGGAGAAGGAGCACAAAGAAACTTTTAGGGTGATGGAAGTGTTCTTTATCTTGATTGTCACGATGTTTATCCAACACAATATATTATTACGATTCATTAAAGAGTAATTTAAAATGAGTGAAATGTACTATATGAAAATTATATCTTAATAAATCTAAAAACAAAATTGCTTTCAAATAACACAGAGTAGCTAAAATAATTTTTTTAAATAAAAGTCAGACTGTTAACCTTTCCTTGAAATCTCTCACTGATTTCCCATCCGTGGGAATAACATCACAACTCTTTTCCAAAACCCCTCAGGCCCTTTGAGATCTGTCTCCACCTACCCGGCCTCTGCAAATCATTGCCTAAACTCCCCTGGTGTTCACCACACCTCATCCTTGTTTGGCTTTCCTACTCCTTGAATAGTCAGAATGCAGTCCTACCTCAGGGCCTTTGCACCTGCTGTGCCCTCTGCCTGGAACACCCTGTCCCAGATCATCCCAGGCCTGGTGCCCTCACATGATTCAGGTGTCAGCTCAAATGTCACTCTTGAGAGAAGCCTCTCCTGGCAGTGCCTTTTAACATAGCTCCTGAGTCACTTTGATTCACATAACCCTGGTTCATTGCCTTTTATACACTCATCTGGAATTAATATTTTCACTTATTTATTTACTTTGTTATCGCCTTTCTTCTTTTCCCCTTCTGGAATCTACAAGCTCCAAGAGATCAAGAAACTTGCCTGCCATTTAACTACCTGTGAGATGGATGTTGAATGAATTACAGATTTGAGTACGAAACCACAGTTAAACACATGTGGTTGCTGATCATCTCAGGTCATAGACAGATGCCCCTTGAATAATACACAGTCTGGTTCATTAGCCCATTATTTTAAGTTTATGATGTGCTAAATGATTGTATCACTTGGCCAAAGCCTATTTAGTAAAGCTCACCATTTCTTCTTTGATACGCTCTGTGATTTTATCAGTTGCTTCCTCATGTGCATGGAACAAGCTGATGACACTGGTATTATCAGGGTCCAAGATATTTCCGTCTTCATCTCTGACAATCAAATCAAGCTCAAGGATTCTGTAAAGCAAAAACTGGAGGTGAAGACAAATCAGGGGAGAACTTTAGGTCACTGGTGAGAAGCTTTTTACCAGAAAGTTCAGCTGATTTCTGGGGGTCATATAGTCACATAGAAGAGCTCTACACTGATAGCCTGGGACACTGCTAGTGAGCACATATTGGTATAGTAGACCCCCTTTAGAAGGTACTGTAGTAGTGTGCATTCAATTTTTTAAAAAGGTGTATTTTCCATGGTATTAAACTGAAACACCCAACACTTGAACTAGGATGTGTTGCAGACTTGTTCACATCAGCAAGTATTGAAAAAAAAAAAAAATGTTAGCTGGGTACGGTGACTCACGCCTGTAATCCCAGCACTTTGGGAGGCCGAGGTGGGTGGATCACCTGAGGTCAGGAGTTCAAGACTAGCCTGGCCAAGATGGTGAAACCCTGTCTCTACTAAAAATACAAAAATTAGCCAGGCATGGTGGTGAGCTCCTGTAATCCCAGCTACTCGGGAGGCTGAGACAGGAGAATTTCTTGAACCTGGGAGGCGGAAGTTGCAGCGAGCCGAGATTGCACCACTGCACTCCAGCCTCGGTGACAGAGCGAGACTCCATCTCAGAAAAAAAAAAAAAAAAAAAAAAAAAAGGTCTACTAAAAGAGAAATGGCTAAATCAACAGTGATCTATCTATAATGGAATACCACATAGCAGACCTTTTAAAATATTATATAGTTTTGCTATGTTTAATAATATATTTCAGTGCAAAAATCAAGCATGGAAAGATGCATACAGTGTGCATACAATATTTATTTTTATAAATAAATAACAATAAAACAAATAAACAAAAAATAGGCCAGATATGTTATCTGGGTTCATGTATAAGAATAAGCTTATGTATGAGAGAAAGCTCTGAATGAAAAAAGGACCAAACTACCAACACAGGTTATCTGTGGGGACAGGTAGGGGCCTAGGGCTGGAGGAGTAAAGGGGTCAAAGGTTACATGTGCCTTGTCTCAATTTATTTAATTTTTTTTTTAATGAGTCAGGGTCTTGCTCTGTCTTCCAGGCTGGGGTACAGTGGTGTGATCATAGCTTCCCACAGCCTTGAACTCTTGGGCTCAAGCAATCCTCCCACCTCAGCCTCCTGAGCAGCTGGGACTACAGGCACATGCCACCATGCCCAGCTACTACCGTACCTAGCCTCTTTTTAAATATATACACAGAGGAGGTATTTATATATTACTCAATAAAAATTTGAAAATAGTGGTTGGGGAAAAACAATCTCAGACATGTTGACTGTTACCCACAGCTTGCTTTCAGCTATTTGACTTCCAGGCCACAAGCTTTTCCCTGTTTGGTATTGATTTGTTTCAACTACACCTGTCATCCTGATCGGCATCAGTGATACTAATAGCAGCAAACTCACACAGCACTTACAATCAGCTCACATACAATAAGTGTTTTACATAAAATTAATCCATTTAATTCTCATAACAACCCTATGAAGGAGGTACTATCAATAACCCCATTTTACAAATGAAGAAAAGACTGAGGATATGAGGACTAATTGCTCAAGGTCATATAGCTAGTAAAAACTAAGAATACATCTTTGTCCACACTCATAACCTCTCTGGTATGCTTACTATAATAGATAGGAGGAGCTTAGGAGCAGTATATGGGTTGTGGAGTGGGGTAGGGTGTGTTTGCAGAAACCTTGAACTTGAAACTGCTTTTGCACTTGATATTGAGATGAAGAGCCTCAGTTGTCCATACAAAGAAGGTAGGAGGAGGTGGGGCTGATGGATTCTGAGAAGGCCAACCATACTCCTGCTTGGTTGCGACTACTAAGTACCAGATTCTGGAAGGGTAGCAAGGACAAATGAAGGAAACTAAGTCTTCATCTCTATCAGAGAATCGAATTGAGAGGCGCATCTCTCATCTCATCCAAATGCAGTCAGAAGCGAGCCAAGGTTCACCCATTTGTCCACATTCATTAGGAAATTAACTCCCAACTTAACATGACTCATAATGGTACACGGCCATGCTGCCCAACGGCAATGCTAAGGGGGAAGAAACACATTCAGCTAATGCTTAGCAGAGGCTCTCCTGACCTTGGAAAAGATGGAGCATCGCTGATACATAATTTAATGCCAAGATCTCTCTGGCTGTTTCTCCTCAAAATTTATCAAAGTGGATTCGGTTCTAAAATACATGAATAAAACATTCTCCTAGGTCTGGCTATCTTGGGATGTGAAGAAGTCATTTGAGGATTCCTCAATCCTTGGACATCAAAATCACTTGGAACTTTGGGAGCTTTGGTAGGATTGACAGGACTCTCATGGCCCAGGGGCAGGAGAGGCTGTCCTCCACAGCCTCTGAATGCAGCCACCATGAATTTTGGGGAGCAGAACATTTAGGCATTCTCTCATCAGGATGTAACCCCAGTGCTCTCTTCTGTTCAAGGAAGTGATAAAATGAAGCCAAGATGAGGGTAGAGGGAAAAGGCCCCACTGTATGCATTTATTTATAATAAAATTTTTAAAAAAGGTAAAATCAGCTGGGCATGGTGGCACGCACCTGTAGTTCCAGCTCCTCGGGAGGCTGAGGTGGGAGGATCACTTGACCCCAGGAGAAGGAGACTGTAGTGAGCTGTGACTGCACCACTGCATATGCCAGCCTAAAAATCTGTGATGGCTCCCCATTGCTGTCTGGACAAATCCAGACTCAGTTGGTGCTAAAATCCTCAAGGTTCCAGCCCCAGTCCACCCATGTCTTCCTCTCCGTGGTCATGTCAACCTCTCATCTCCCACATTCTCTCCCTCCGAGTTTCTCTTCTCCATTTCACCTAATAATTCCTGCTGGTCTAGTTAGATTCAGAGTGGTTGTCATCCCCACCCTGACTCCCACCCCCATGTCCTCCAACCTTCTTGCCCATGCTTCCTGCACTCCTAATGTATATGACTTCCGACTGAAAGTGGCTGTTTACTTCTCTGCCTCCCTTATTAACTCACACAGCTCATGGAAGGCAGTAGAATACAGCAGTCAAGCACTTGAACTCTGGAGCCACATTATCAGTTCAAATTCCACTGCATCTTGAGCAAAATCACCTGCCGTTCAAAAGACCACCAGGATGGCCAAATAGTAGAAAGTGTAACCGAGGATCTCAGCTTCAAAATGCATTTTAAAACTTTTTTCTTGGCCAGGCTCGGTGGCTTATGACTGTAATCCCAGCACTTTTGCAGGCCAAGGCAGGTGGATCACAAGGTCAGGAGTTCAAGACCAGCCTGGTAGAGACTGGTGAAACCCCGTCTCTACTAAAAATACAAAAATTAGCCTGGCATGGTGACGTGTGCCTATAGTCCCAGCTACTTGGGAGACTGAGGCAGGAGAATCACTTGAACCTGGGAGGCGGATGTTGCAGTGCACTCTGCACTCTAGCCTGGGTGACAGATCGAGACTCTGTCTCAAAAAAGAAAAAAAAAAACAAAAACTTTTCTCAAGACTGAAGATGTAACCTTGAGAAAAACTATAGAAGCCTTTTTTTTTCCTTAGTCTTAAGTATACCCTTGAAACATACTTTGAAGCTCCATTCCCTTCCGTCTTCTAACATATACTCTCTTACTCCATGCACATTTACTTAACTCTGTGCTTGTTAAGAAATTCCAGGGGCTAATTTAAAACAAACCAGGCATGAGAGCGCAGCTACAGAATTCTCCCCCACTTAAAGACTGCCTCAAGATGGATCATCTACAGCCTGGCCACTGTCAAGATGGCACCAGTCTGTGCTCCAGGTGGACCATAACTCAAGACTGGCATCAGGGCAAAACACACAGCCCCTGCACCCTACACAGCTCCTGCATGCCTCCCACATCCAGCTTCCCTTTTTGAAACCCCTGCCCTCAGCCCAGAGTTTTGAAGTGGTTTCCAGAGGGGTGAGCCTGTATGTTTCCCCATGGCTGGCTTCGGAAATAAAGTCACTTTCCTTACAATGCCCTGTGTCCCCGTTACTGGCTTTGCAAGCAGCGAGCAGCAGAGCCTGCACTTCATTACAAAAGGAGAACCTCACTGGTTACATCGGTTTGCAAACTTTGAAGAGACAGTCTCTGTCATGTCTGGAAGGTGCTCTCTCTTTGAAGACGGAAAGGACATGTTGGGTTTTATGCCTCACAGGGCCAACATCATACATATTCAGCAGGTTTAGGGGAAAAATCATACATATTTATGGAGACAAGAGCATGCACAACGGGTAAACATGTATGTAACATACATCCCATGTACACTTTGGGGTGGGGTTTATTATTAAAATAAGATGAAACTTGGCACTTTACATCAAAAGGTGAACTACTGGACACAGTTTGCGGGCAGCCTTCAGCTAGCTGAAACTGACTTAAGATTTGCAGTTCTTTATCAAAAAAAAGAATGTTTAGCAGGCCAGTCCTCTGTCCACTTAGAGTTATAGTGGTGTGGATGTAAATCAGAGTTAGGAAGGGTCTGATAATTTGCCTGATAGCTCCTATTGTTAGGGAGTTTGACAAGAGTGTGTTTTTCTTGTAGCTGTAGGAATTTAGGGAGTTGCCATGCCAGCTCCCCTGAATGCTCAACCTGACCCATAGGCAGCTGTTGTTTCCTTAACCTTAGAGTCCATCTTAGTTGATAAAGAGGCACCTGTGTTGGTTTCTCAGCTCACACACCTAATCACTCTTGAGCCTCACTTTCCTCACCTGAGAAACAGGGTGAGAATAGTGCCTACCTCATAAAGTTGTTTTGATACTTCACAGAGTTAATATATGGAAAGTGCTTTAAATGGTGCCTGGTGTACAGTGAGCGCTTCAGAAGTTATCACTGGTTCTCATTGCTTGCTTTTTGATTGTTGTTAAAAACAGAGACTGTATTGTGTATGTGTCTGTACCCTGTACCCTTGGGGCCTACCAGGTGTGCAAAGAAAGTTTGATATCTGAATGAAGGAACGGAATGAATGAGAGAAGAAACAAGCTCATTCTGATCACTCCTCCAAGGTTCAGTTCCACTTTGTGCCACCCCCACCCAATCTCCCAGCTGCTGGAAGTTGGAGGTGGGTGTTCCCAGGCTGATCCTGACACTTGGCCCAGACGCTGGGCCTCCTGGATTTGAGGAAGCTGCCCATCCCATACCAGAGCTCTGAGCACCTAAACTATCAGGCCAGTGATAAGTTGCCCAACTCTCTCGCTTGCAGCTGAAGCAGTCAGGTGAATAAGGGGGCCCCTGAGCTTGAGGTCTCAGTCTGTGCCACGGAGCATCCCTCACTTCCCCAAAGGAAACTGACAGAACTAAAAGCACAGGGCTATAGGTCAGAGGATGCTGCAGAGGAGGGGCTGGTTTAGGGAGGACCCTCTTTCTTCTTTTTCTCCCATCACCACCATTCGCCCACTCACTCAGTTGTCACTCACTGAGAACCTACTATGTGCAGACCTTGTTCCAGGCACAGGCAGAGAGGTGCTTTAGACAGTCAACATCTATAGGATCTTCCACAATAGGAGGGAAGCCAGGCCAAAAAGGAGGCAATTACTACTCAGGGCCTTCAAGAGCACCTACCCCGGGCCAAGGCGGGTAGTGGAAAATCAGGGAAGGCTTCCTATGAGTAGTGACCACTTCTTCCATTCCTGGTCCTTCTTCTCAGGAGCCCCCATTGAGAAAACAACATTTGAAGGTCGTAGATGTCATTGTAAAGCAGCCCTCAATTCCCACACACTCAGCTGCAACTGTGCTCAGCTAAAGACATCATGGAACCAACGGCAGTAGCAGCTGCGGGGCAAACCCTTCCTGTCACTTTAGGATGATGTGCTTTATAAGCAGATTTGGACACGCTTGCCAGATGCCAATGGGGCATCAGCAGAGGGACTGTGTTCCTGGGATGGAGACCAGCTGTGAGTTGGAGCCATTGACTTTCCTCTCCGAATCCTCCCCCTAGTGCTTATGTCAGGGCAAGAAAGCCTGGCCTGGCTGCTGGGGAAACTTCTTTTTATTCCCATTAAATGGGCTTTTTACTTCCCCCTCAGGCCCTGTGTTCCAGCCTTCAGACCCACTTTGCAGTTCCTTGAGTATGCCATGCTCTCTCATGAGCCCCTGACTCTCCTTTTTTAGCCTGCTTAATATCTCTTTATCCTTCAAACTTCAGCTCAGGGGTCGCCTCCTTCAGGAAGTCTTCCTTGACTTCCTTCTCTAAGGCTCATTAAAAGTAACTCTTGCTTCCTGAGCTATCGAACTTCTCACAGTACATATCAGCAGTTTACTTGTGGCTTACTCCTAATTGGAACTGTGACCCTTTAGTGGACAGGGACTTTTATTTCTACAGCCCCAATACCTAGCAGGAAATCCAGCCAACTATAAGTCCTCAATACATGTTTGTGGTAGGAATGAATGAACAAATGAACAGAATGTTTGGAAGCCATTCAAAAGATCAGGAGGGAGGGAAGGTCCTTATAGTTCTCAAATGCTATCCAAGTAGCAGAGTGGTGAGGCCCTGGACTCCACTCCAGGAGGCCCTGGACTCCAGGTGGACCCTGGAGCCAGACTGCCTGGGTCTAAGTTCAGATTCTGTCATTTACTAGCTGCGCGACTCTGGACAAGTTACCTACCCTACTGAAAACCCTCGGTTTCTTTATCGGAAAAAAGTGGGGATAATCAAACTGCATACTCCATAGAGTTATTATAAGAATTAAATGAGACAATGCCTGCAAAACACTTAGCACCAAGCCTGGTGTACAATGAGCTCTGATTAAGAGTTACTTATAATGTTATTATCAGTGGGTTGTCCCACCTCAAATAATTGGTTCATTTTCTCCTTAACTTCATAGCATTCAAATCCAACCAATTTTTACTTCTCTTCCCTTTTGAGGAAACATTTTTGTAATTGTGCATTTGAGTTAGTTGATGGTGTGTGGGTTGGCTACTTTAGGATGGGGGAAGAGACATTAAGTCTCACATTGGGATTTAAGGGAGAGTTTTGCAAATGCAGGTATAAAATGACAACTAAGCTGAAAGTGAACCAGCATGACTATGCTCCCTAGTCCATCGGAAGTAGGTTAAATGAGTGTCCTAAATCTCTCAGCCTGGTAATAACACCATGTTAAGTACAAGCCTTCTCTCCACCTGCATGTCCCTAGGTCCCCCAGGGGTGGTAACAACGGCACGCAAGCACAGCCATTGGTCACAACCTTCTCCCAAACAGAAAGTGACAAAATTGCATCTAAAAATGAAAACAAGCTTCTGGGGAGAGAGGGAAGAAAGAGGATGGCTGGGGGAAGAAAACCTCTTTGCAGAGGAAAGAGAGGTTACTTGTTGCCATAGTCAATTTTGGACGTGACTTTCTGCTTCAGTTCCTTCAGCTCATCCTTGGGTAAGGTTCCTGAGAGAAGCTGGGACCTCCACTCCATCAGATCGTACATCATGGACTGCACCTGGAGAAAACGCTCCTTTTTGCTGGCCTAGGAGACAAGAAACAACCCATAATTACCTGTGTTAAAGGGGCATGACCATCTATTTGGCAGGCTGTGCCAAAGTCAGGTGAGTGTGGTCAAGGGCCATGGCCTGAGGCTCTCTCCCTGCCCTACCCACTACAAAAGGATTAGGTGGGGGTCCTAGTCGTTGATGTATTTATTCCCCGTGGACCACAGGGATTTCCCAAAAGCAAAAATAAAAATCTCAATCATTTCTTGGTTAAGGAATGAGTGATTTCTGACTTTATCTAAAAAGATATTTATTGAACAGGAATGCTACGAACATCTGCCCTAATGGAGGTCCCAGAGCTCAGGCCTTTTGAGGCTGGGAGCCAGGGCCATTTCTCTGGTGATAAAGGACTGCTTCTAGGGCAGCATTCTCCAAAGTGTGGCACGCGTACCACCTATGGGAAGCAAGATGGCTCTTCGTGGTACAAAGATACAAGGTCAAACAACATGGATCCCTAGGTGATTCTCTCCCACTCCATTTCCATCCTTCTGTGTAAGGGAAAGAGAAAGTTGCAGTTTCATAGTAATATGTCTCTAACACCTCTCACATATTGTTAATGTCTTTTTTAACAAACAGAGAGAAAAGGTTTGGACTCAGAGCTTTTGACAGGTACAATAGCAAGCATGTTCCGGAGGCTAAGGCGGGAGGATAGCTTGAGGCCAGGAGTTTAGCACTGCAGTGAGCTATGATGGTCCCACTGCACTCCAGCGGGGGTGACAGAGCAAGACCCTGTCTCTAAATTTTTTTTTATAAAAATAATGTTATCTTGTTTTCATTGTATTTAGATGAATAATGTTCTTCTAATTGTGTCAAGTACTTTTGTCTTTCCATTTGGGAAAGTGTGGGTGGTATAATTAAAAAAACAACAACAAAAAAATATATATATATACACACTTGATTTTTGTCCTTGGTTCTTGAAGCAGTGCTCCTAAAACTCCTGCAATGACCAGAGTGATAAGAATGTATTTTGTTATTCCTAACAATCCCCTTTCAATGATACCTGAGTTTATGCTAATGAGGTGATTCTAGGTGGGCCCCTAGATAGCTTCAGGATGAGGGGCTGGTTGCAGAGGAACCAACTAGGAACCAAACCCCCAATCACATGATTAGAGGGTTGGAACTTAGCCCCACTCCCCTCCACCTGCCCCACCCCAACCTCTGGGAGGGGAGGGGGACTGAGGATTGAGCTCAAGCACCAATAGCCAATAATTTAATCAATCATGCCTGTGTAATGAAACTCTGATTAAAACTCTTGGTTAATAACATTTGAGGGGCTTCCCAGAAGGTGAACACATCAATGTGCTGGGAGGGTGGTGTGCCGAGGACACGGAAGCTCTATGCCCCTCTATGCCTAGCCCTGTGTCTCTTCCACAAGGCTGATCCTGAATTACATTCTTTATAATAAAACCGTAATCACATGTATAGCACTTTCCTGAGTTCTCTGAGTTGTTCTAACAAATTATGAAACTGGAAGTGAAAAAAGGGGGTGCCCAGGCAGGGAGGGGTAGTGAGAATCCCTGAATTTATAGCCAAGTCCAACAGAAGTTCAGGTAACCTGGGAACCCAGGACTTGCGACTGGCATCTAAAGTGAGGGCAATCTTGTGGGATTGAGGCTTTAAACCCATGGAGTCTGGCAGTAACCCTGGGTAGTCAGCGTTGAACTGAATTGTGGGGCATCTAGTTGGTGACGGGGAATCAAGAACTGCTGGAATGATGCAGCATGCTATCTCATTCTTTATGTCTATAGATTCAGGTTTACTGAAAGGAGATCCAAAGCAGCTATTAAGTAAATATTACACAGGTTGTATGCAGATATGGCAAGAATCAGGAATGTGATACCGAAGTACTAGATGTTGAAGGATCTCCTGACTAGAGTAAATGGACTTACTGCTATTCAAAGATTTCCTAAGGGAAAATGCCAAGCTTCAATGGTACGTGTGATTGTGATGTTTTAAAAGGGGTAGTAGGCCGGGCGTGGTGGCTCATGCCTGTAATCTCAGCACTTTGGAAGGCCAAGGTGGGTGGATCACTTGAGGTCAGGAGTTCAAGGCCAGCCTGACCAACATGATGAAACCCCATCTCTACTAAAAATACAAAAAATTAGCTGGGCGTGGTGGCGGGCACCTGTAATCCCAGCTACTCAGGAGGCCAAGGCAGGATAATCACTTGAACCCAGGAGGCAGAGGCTGCAGTGAGCCAAGATCATGCCATTGCACTCCAGCCTGGGCAACAGAGCGAGACTCCATCTCAAAAAAATAAAAAATAAATAAAAAAAAAAGGTCAGCGTATAGTGGAGATGAACAAAAAATTGCTTTAGCCACAAGGATACTATTTTTCCCCTACACTTTTCTAAAAACTTTGAGAAACATGTAAAATTGAGTGTGCCAATTACATCTTCATATTATGAAATGTCCACATGGGAGTCAACATTTAAGACCACGAAAGGTAAGTCTACAAATCCTGTGCATACACCAGCAGGTGTCCACGGTGCCATAATAAACATGCAGTAAGCCTTGGTTGACATTTTCACTCTCAGCTTAATGGTTTGCTTAGCTAATTGCTTTCATTAGGAGCTTTAGAGCATCAAAGGAGGATTTAAAATTAGATTTGCTTCAAAACAGGGAAAACAAATGCAAAAATATATTCTTTGTTTTTCCAAAGTCAAAACTTCTTCATAGATGTGAGGACAATAGCCATTGGTTAAAGTATAAGAACAGTATTTCTCAATGTGTTATCAGCAGACTAGCAAATCAAATCTGAGTTTATTAAAAATGCAGATTATTAAACCCCTTGGGAGGAAGCTTTATTTTTAACAGTTCTTAAGGTGATTCTTATGCATGCTCAAGTTTGACAACTTCTGCACTAAACACCGAAGGTTCACAGTAGACTCCATTGATTATGGCTCTGTCACTAGCTCTGTGGCTTTGAGAAAGTCCCTGATCCTCTCTGGGCCTTGATGTCCTCACACGTAATAGTGTGCGCTCTGCTATGTCACCAAAGCCACCTCCACCTGCCTGACTCAATGCTAAAATGAAAACTGGAACCAAACTGAAGATTGCAAGAAGCTTCCAACTCAGGGAGCAGAGTTCTGAGTCTCACCACATAGAGTTGTTTCCAGATGCTTCCCCATTCCCAAAGTGTCGTTGTCACTTCTTGTGCCAGAGGAATTTCTGCAGGAATGATGTTCTCAGTATTTCTATTTAAGGTGGGAGAAAAAGTGGTGTGAAATTGAGACCCAGGTGCTAACAAGATAAAACACCAACAAATTTGCATTAAGCTGCAGCTGCGGAGGGGCCTTCCTGACATTAGACTAAAACACCTCCAATAGCCACACCAACTACATTATGCAAATACAAGGGACTTGCTTTGTTATGTCCTCCTTCGCTAGGGTGGGCTCATTATTTAGGATTAATCTACTTTAATACAGTTCTAAGGTAGCTGCCAGCAAAAAGTTTGATTCTCCAAACTAATACCCCCTCAGAGTCAGATCTCAGTATGAATCAATTTGGATTAGATCTCCCATTGAGTAACGGAAAGGAGACCCACAAATATACACAGGCACAAAGAAGATAAGCTGAGCAACCCTCAGCTCTTCCAAGTCAGATTTTCAAAATAAACAGGACAGAGACATCCATGAGCCACTGGAGGCTCAAGTCTGGTGAAGAATGGCAAATACCTTCTTTTCTCAACTGTCACTTCCTTGATGTGGATAAATGACTTAGGAAAAATGCCCTGTTGGAAACAAAACAAAACAAAACAAAATAAAATAAAAAGATATATCACCACAGAAATGAATGACCCTACGTCTTTATAATTTTTTTCCAAAAGCTACTGGCTTATAAAATCCCCAGACTTTAAAGGAATAAACCCAGAGCCAGATAGAACAGGGGCTGGATTCTAAATCTACTTGTTTAGATCTGGCTTTCCCTCCAGTTCTCCATCAGTTGCTCTAGATCCCACAATAGCCCTAGATCTCACCATAGCCCTAGATCCCAAGGGATGCTCCAACCCATTATGGCCACTCATCCTGCAGGTGGGCTATAAGACAGTATCGTTTGAAAGACAACCTAAACCACTCACTGACTTTAAGCGAGACGAGGAGCTCTGCTTCTCCCATTGCCTGCCCGATTCCGGAAAGCGGTCACCCTTCACAGTCAGGAACAACTGGAAGGTCAGAAATAACTGGTCCTGAAGCAACAATGTTCCTAGGTGCATTTGGGCTAGTTCGATTTGAGACCTATTCTGCCTGCATTTATTCCATTGTTCTTTGAGAGAGCAGAATAGGACCATCCCTCCCGACACAGCATGTCAGGGAAGAAGGAAGAAGCTTCTATTATTTCCTTACTCCATACATTTGGCTCAGTTAACAAGGTAAGTTTATCAATTACTTGGAAATCCCTTCATAAATGCAACCAATGTGCATACTGGGGACATCTGGTCACTGTGCTAGGTGCTGTGAGAGAAAATGAGACAAGCAAAGCAAGCGCCTGCTCTCATGGAGACAATAGTGAAATGTGAGGTTAGAACAAGAGAACCCCTCAAAAGTAGAAATCAGGCCTGTCCTTTCTGTGTTGACCTGGGTATACGGATGAGGAGATGACTGAATGCTGCAAACAACTCTAAAGGAAGGCAGTAGAATAAATTTCAAATTTATAACGCACAATTCCACAGAGACTCGAGGAAGGGAGAAATCATAAGTGAGTGGCATATCAGGAAAAGTTGCAGGGAGATGGCACCAGAGATGAACCTTAAAGAATGAGGGAAAGTGGGAGGGAGCTGAGCACAGCGAGTGACAAGGCACAGAGGTCAGAGAGCACAGGGCACAGGAGGGAGAGATGGATTCCCTTTGCTGAGGAGCAATGGTGGGAGAGACCTGCTCAGATGGGATAGCGGGGCCATATGAAGACCTCCAGTACTGACACAAATAAAAACCAGGTGACCTTACCTGTAACATTTTGTGCTTTATGAGGTATCCCCTATACCAGTCTGCAAAAAGAAAACAAAGAAACAGTTCCCTCATTTATTACAAGTTTGTTGCTAGTGTTTTTCTGTTTTGTTTTGTTTTGTTTTAAACTAGTAAAACTACTGCAAATTGCTTTAGACCTTGGGTACAGATCAAACTCTGGAAGCTCATAGTCTTTGAAATCTGTTGAATTGGTTGCCAACATCTCAAAATAACATCTAAAAATAGACTTCATATAAAGGTGCTCCTGATTTTGAAAAATCAGGAGCCCCAGTAGTGCTGGCCAGTGCTCCCAACTGGCTGGGAGGAGAAAAGCAGCAGGGTCCACCAGACAGAGCATCTGCCTCCAGTCCACCAGCCTCAACGCAGCCCCTCCCTTGTGTCCATTGCCTTCCTGGGCCCTGTGACCATCTGCATGCTTTCAATTCCTGCCTTCGGGACAAAGAAATGCTCCTGATTTGGGCAAACATCCTAAAATAACACTGACAGTTCTAACAGCAGCAAATAGTGTCTAAAATGCGATTTACAAAAGTTAGTCGTTACAAAACAAGTAAGTTTAGGGACAGATAAAGGGACAGGGATTTTAAGAGATCTACCCTTTGCAGGAATATTATATTAAAAAATGTATCAATGAGCAGAAATCCAAATTACACACAGTCCTCAGACAAAATACGCCTGAGTGCAGCAAGTCCTGATGACTGTAATGAGTCGGCTGGCCTTTGAAATGATTCCAACACAGCCAAGGAGTGGCATTTGTCATCTTTGTAAATAAAACGCGTCTGTCAGGAGCCTCACTAGCAGACCCCTCATTACCGGGCTGACAGATTGTTGATGAAATATGTTCCCAACAGACATACAACCAAGCCCAAAAACAAACAACTTAACATGCAAAGTCACCCTTCATAGTCATGAGCCAGCCTGACGGCCAGGTCCTAAAGGAAACTCTGAAGCAACAGGGGGCCGTGATAGCTTCTTTTTGAGTGACAGAAAGTGAGAGGAAGGAGAAAAGGAGAAAGGAAGGAGAGAGGAAAAACAGAAGGAAGAAAGGGAGGTTGGAAAGAGAATCTCAGGTGGGAAATAAAAATACCATTCTAAGCACTCTTTATATATTAAGCCCTTCAATATTCATAACAACCGCATGAAGTAGGAACGGTTATTATCCTGTTTTACAAATGAGTGGCCTACCTGAGGCACAGAGAAGTTAAGTGACTTTCCAAGGATCACACAGCTAGTAGGTTGCAGTGTCAGGTTTTCAACATAAGCAACTATCACCTATGCTTCCTATATTATGAGGGAATGATTTGATGGTTACCTAATATTAATATTTCCAACTTCTCAATGTCTAAATCTCCAAAACTAAATCTCCACTAAGCTACTTTCCACCTGAATACTTCCAGTGATGGAAGATGTTCTACTTCATGAAGCATCACATTCTATTTTCAGTGGCCTCTAATTATTTGTCAATAACTGTTGAAAAATAATCCATAATTAACAATACTGCTTATACTTTCTAAGTGCTTCCTATGTGCTGGTAACTCTGTTGACATTTTTTGTTTTGTCTTATTGTAAATTAATCTTTACAACAATCCTATTAAGTAGGTACTATTACTGCTTCAGCTCTGCAAATGAAAATAGACAGGCACAGAGATTAAGCAGCTTGCTGATGGTCACACAGCTAGTGGGTGATGCAGCTGAGATTTACACTCAAGCAACACCCTGCTGCGCTGTGCTACAACAACCTCCTTTAGTTGCCCCTTTTCACCAACTAGACAGAAATGCAACTTTGTAATATTATTATTACCTGTCTTTCACTGGTCACCTGCAACATGCAAAGCTGTATGCTAAACGTTGTACAGGCATTCTCTCATTTAATCCTCAGAGCGACACTGTGAGCTAAGTATTATCATTCCCATTTTATAGATGAGGAAACTGATATTCAAGTCAATTGATGGGCTGGGCCAAGATCATACAACCAGAGTTCAAACTCAAGCTTATGTGACTTCAAAGCCAATCCTTAAAGCTGGTTGGCCACATTGTCTCCCATGTGATGGGGTTAGAGTGCAAATAGAGATAGGGTCATCTGGTAGCAGTGACTTGAACCCACATGATGGCTAAGGTCACTAAAATCCACCAAAAAACAGAAAAACAATCGAGGGACCAATAGATGGTCCCTACACAAAGCTCATGTCCACATCTGCATCTCTGTGACAGGGACTCCATTAAGGTAACTTGTCTTCCTGGATCCAAGGAGTTTGCCTGCTCTGACCCTCAAAACTCGGTTATGTGTGTACGTCTTATAGGTTTCCTAATTCTCAGAGTTGCACCTCACTCCTGACGACAGGATTCTGCTGACACTTACACCCAATATTCTTATTCTGGCTCCCAGGTTCAAGTTCAATCAATATTAATTGTGCACCAACTATGTATATTGCACTGGGCTACATGCTTCCAGGGATAAATCCCCAGGGATTCATTGCAAGAAGGCTTTATCTCCACTTGCTGGATGGTGACACTGAGATCAAACAGGTGGGGAAGAAATTCCAACACATTCTTTAGCAGAAAAGCAGCCAAACCAGAATCCAAACCCATGCCTAGTGCATCAACTGCATCCGGACTATCCTTATGACTTTTTTCTGGCATTTTTACTTCTGCCAGGTCATTTATCTCTGACCACTGATGTTGGTTCCCTAATATGGTCACCAATCAGCTATATCTATCTATGCTCCAAAACATGACTGGGCAGATAACAACGGTTGGTACAAAAGAGAAAAATTCCTGGACAGTGGACACCATGATCAAAAGCAGGCTCAGTGTAACATGGCATTTACCATGTCCCAGAACCCGCTCCTGAGTTCAACACTCTTTTGAATTCAACAATAACAAGGGCTTTTTTGCTAACCGTTTTCATGAGATAACCACTTTCTTTAACATAAAATTCACAGTGTGCATTGCTATGGACTGAATGTGTCCTCCCAAAATTCGTATGTTGCAATTCTGACACCTGATGTGATGGCATTAGGAGGTGGGGTCCTTGGGAGGTAATTAGGTCATGAGAATGGAGCCTTTATGAATGGGATTAGTGCCCTTACAGGAGAGTTTGCTCCCTCTCTCTTTGCTCTCTGCCATGTGAGAGGCTATGACAAGAACACAGCCATCTACAAACCAAGAAGCGGCCCCCACCAGAAACCAGATCTGCTGGTGCCTAGATCTTCAACTTTCCAGTCTCCATAAGTATGAGGAATAAATTCCTCTTATTTAAGCAGTTTATGATACACAGTAGCCTGGACTGACTAGACATGCATTCTGGAGGAAGATGAGAAAAGGAAAAATTTTTACAATTCTTTTGGAAAATTATAAAGTGCCAATTATTCAAATAATCCTCCCTTTTCACATCTCAAATACCAATATCAAATACATCTAGAGTCTCAAATCCTCTAAGAGTCAAGGGAGGCAGGAGATTTAAAATATCCCACAACATCAAAAAAGAATCCAAGGTCTAGAGATCCAGTCCTCCCTATGCCATTTCCAAGCCACATGGCCTTTGGTCATGTCACTTAAGCCTCAGTGTTTCTATCTGTAAAGTGAGGGAAATAACACCTAGCCCCAGAGGAGTGCTACAAACACTATTTTTTTAGACAAAGTTAAAAAGTGTATGCATCTGGCAAAGGTACAAAAAGTTGGATGGGAAAAAAACATACTGATTTCAGGATAAGTGTTACCTACATATGGACAAAAGAAAAAAGAATAGAGGAGGGGTAAAAAGGGATTTCAATTGCACTAGAAATTTTTATTTCTTAAAAACAAATGTCTGAAGCAAGCACATACATATGTGTGTGTATATACATATAAACATGTGTATATACATATAAACATGTGTATATACATATAAATATACACACACATATATAAGTTCTCCCACTACCATATTTATATATAAACATATATAAATATGCTGATACTTATATATAAACATATATAGATATGCTGATACTTATATATAAACATATATAGATATGCTGATACTTATATATAAACATATATAGATATGCTGATACTTATATATAAACATATATAGATATGCTGATACTTATATATAAACATATATAGATATGCTGATACTTATATATAAACATATATAGATATGCTGATACTTATATATAAACATATATAGATATGCTGATACTTATATATAAACATATATAGATATGCTGATACTTATATATAAACATATATAGATATGCTGATACTTATATATAAACATATATAGATATGCTGATACTTATATATAAACATATATAGATATGCTGATACTTATATATAAACATATATAGATATGCTGATATTTATATATAAACATATATAGATATGCTGATATTTATATGAGTGATGAGTGCTTAAGAGTGCTTTTTCTTTCTTGTGTGTTGAAATATATAATAAGATTGAGATCAGATGGAAGCTTGTACCTATCACTGGTTGATATGATTTGGCTTTGTGTCCCCACCCAAATCTCATACCAAATTTTAATCCCCTTATGTCAGAGGAGGGACCTGGTCGGAGGTGATTGGATCATAGGGGTGATTTCCCTCATGCTGTTCTGGTGATAACGAGTTCTCGTGAGATCTGATGGTTTAAAAATGTGGCACTTTCCCCTTGCTGTCTCTCTCTCCTGCTGCCATGTAAGATGTGCCTGCTTCCCCCTTCACCTTCCACCATGATTGTAAGTTTTCTGCGGCCTCTTTAGCCATGCAGAACTGCAAGTCAATTAAACCTCTTTTCTTCATAAATTACCCAGTCTCGGGTAGTTCTTTATAACAGTGTGAAAACAGAATAATACAGAAACTTGGTACTGAGAGAAGTCGGGGACTGCTATAAGATGCCTGAAAATCTGGAATCAGTTTTGGAACTGGGCAGAGGTTGGAACAGTTTAAAGGGCTCAGAAAAAGATAGAAAGATGTGGGAAAGTTTGGAACTTGCTAGAGACTTGTTGAATGGTTTTGACCAAAATACTGATAGTGATATGGACAATGAAATCCAGGATGAGGTGCTCTCAGATGGAAATGAGGAACTTCTTAGGAACTGGAGCAAAGGTCACTCTAGCTATGCTTTGGCAAAAGACTGGCTGGCAGCACTTTTCCCCTGCCCTAGAGATCTGTAAAAATCTGAACTTAAGAGAGATGATTTAGGGTATCTGGCAGAATAAATTTCTAAGCAGCATAGCATTCAAGATTTGACCTGGCTGTTTCTAAAAGTATATAGTCATATGCATTCACAAAGAGATGGTCTGAAATTGGAAATTATGTTTAAAAGGGAAGCAGAGAGTAAAAGTTTGGAAAATTTTCAGCCTGACCATGTGGTAGAAAAGAAAAACCCATTTTCTGTGGAGAAATTCAAACGAGCTGCAGAAATTTATATAAGTAACAAGGAGCTGAATGTTAACAGCCAAGATAGTAGGGAAAATGTCTCCAGGGCATTTCAGAGATCTTCACATCAGCCCCTCCAATCACAGGCCCAGAGGCCTAGGAAGGAAATATGGTTTTGTGGGCTGGGCCCAGGGCCCTGTTGCTGTGCAGCCTCAGGACTTGGCACCCTGTATGCCAGCCACTCCACCTCCAGCTATGGCTAAAAGGGGCCAAGGTACAGCTCAAACTGTTGTTTCAGAGGGTTCAGGCCCCAAGATTTGGTGGCTTTCATGTGGTGTTAGGCCTGCAGGTGCACAGGAGACAAGAGTTGAGCTTTGGGAATCTCTGCTTAGATTTCAGAGGATGTATGGAAATGCCTGGATGTCAAGGCAGAAGTCTTCTGCAGGGGCAGAATCTTCATGGATAACCTCTACTAGGGCAGTGCAGCAGGGAAATGTGGGGTTGGAGCCCCCACACAGAGTCCCCCGTGAGGCACTGCCTAGTGGAGCTGTGAGAAGAGGGTCACCATCCTCCAGACCCCAGAATTGTAGATCCACCAACAGCTTGCACTGTGTGCCTAGAAAACCTGCAGGTACTCAATACCAGCTTGTGAAAGAAGCTGTGGGGTCTGTACCCTGCAATGCCACAGAGGGAGAGCTGCCCAAGGCCTTGGGGACCCATCCCTTGCATCAATGTGGCCTTGCATAGATGTGAGACATGGAATCAAAGGAGATTTTAGAGCTTTATGATTCAATGGCTGCCCAGCTGGGTTTTGGACTTGCATGAGGCCTGTAGCCCCTTTGTTTTGGCTAATTTCTCCTTTTCAGAATGAGAGAATTTACCCAATGCTTGTACCCCCATTGTATCTTGGAAGTAACTGACTTGTTGTTTTGATTTTACAGGCTCATATGTGGAAGGAACTTGCCTTGTCTCAGATGAGACTTTGGACTTGGCCTTTTGAGTTAATGCTGGAGTGAGTTAAGACTTTGGGGGACTGTTGGGAAGGCATGACTGATTTTGCAATGTAAGAAGGACATGAGATTTGGGAAGGGCCAGGGGAGGAATGATGTGATTTGGCTCTGTGTCCCCACCCACATCTCATCTCAAATTGTAATCCCCATGTGTCAGGGGAGGGACCTGGTGGGAAGTGACTGGATCATAGGGACGGTTTCCCCCATTCTGTTCTTGTGATAGTAAGTGAGTTCTCACGAGATCTGATGGTTTAAACGTATGGCACTTCCCTTCTTGTTCTCTCTCTCTCCTGCTGCCATGTAAAACATGCCTTGCTTCCCCTTCATCTTCCACCATGATTTTAAGTTTCCTGAGGCCTCTCCAGCCATGCAGAACTGTGAGTCAATTAAACCTCTTTTCTTCATAAATTACCCAGTCTCAGGTAGTTCTTTACAGCAGTGTGAAAACAGACTAATACACTGGTTAAGAGTGTGAATCCTGACTACTAAAAACTTTCTGCATACCAAAGAAAACAACAAAATGAAACAAAAACCTGTGAATTAGGGAAAAAATTGCAAACTATACATCTGATAAGGGGTTAATATCAAAAATTTTATAAAGAACTCATATAACTCAATAGTATAAAAATAAATAACTTGATTACAAAATAGGCAAAGAAACTGAATAGACATTTCTCCAAGGAAGACATGCAAATGGCCAACAGATACATGGAAAGGTGTTTGACATCATTAGTTGTTAGAAAAATGAAAATCAAACCACAATGAGATATCACCTCATGCCTGTGAAAATGGCTATTATCAAAAAGTCAAGAGATAACAAATGTTGGCGAGGGTGTGGAAAAAGGGGAACTCTTCTACACTGTTGGTGAGAATGTAGATTGGTAGTCATTGTTGAAAAAGGTATGGAAGTTCCTAAAGAAATTAAAAATAGAACTAGCATATGATCCAGCAATTCCTCTTCAAGGCATATATCCAAAGAAAATGAAATAACTGTCTTGCAAATATGTCTATACTCTCATATTCGTTACAGCATTATTCACAATAGCCAAGATACGGAAACAACCCAAGTGCTCTCACCAGTGGATGAGTAGATAAAGAAACTGTAATATACATATACAATGGAATATTATTCACCCTTTAAAAAGGAGGAGATCTTGCCATTTGTCACAGCATGGATGAACCTGGAAGACATTATGCTAAGTGAAATATGACAGACACAGAAAGTATTGCATTATTTCACTTATATATGGAACAAAAAAAAGAGTCAAATATACAGACATAGAGAATGAAACAGGGGTTACCAGGGAGGGTAGGGGATGGGAGGAATGAAATGGGGAAACGTAGGTTAGAGGTTACAGGGTAACAGATATGTAGGAAGAACAAGTCTAGAGATCTAATGTACAACAAGGGATCTATAGTCAATAAAATTGTACTGTATTTGAGCTTTCTGCTAAATGATTAGATTTTAGCTGCTGATGCCACCAAAACAAAAACAAAAAAGAAGGGTAACTATGTGAGATGATGGATATGGTCATTTGTTTCACTATCGTAACTATCTTACTACCTTACTACCTATTATGTATCTCATAACATCATGTTGTATACCTTAAACATATACAATTAAAAAAATTTTTAAAGAGTATGAGCTCTGCAATGAAAGTCTGAATTTGTTGGAGATCTGCTACTTAACTGTGCAATCATGGACCTGTTAATACTTTCTTCTGAGCCTCAGTCCCCTCATCTATAAAATGAGAATAATAGTGCCTCACATCTCATGGGAATAATAATAGTGTCTTATCAGGCTTAAATTGGATTAAAAACTCAGAGAGTTTGTCCAGTGTCCAAAAGAGTTAGTAGATACCATTCTTCTAAAAAAATCAATTAAAATAATAATAATGCAGAGAAAGTTGGGCATATTTTCTATTTTATTTTCAGGACCTATGGATTTATAATATCATTTTTTTTTTGCACTAAAGTCATTTCAACATATTTCCATCACAACAAAGCAAATAGACATGCCGCAAATGAAACATAATGGAAGTTTACTGACGTCTGAGCCTCATCCTCACTCAGAAGGGAGGAAAACTTCACATACACACTGCTGATAATGGAGCAGCCTTACTGAAGAAAATGGAGTCCTTTTCAAAGTGACCTGTCACTACAGCAGACCTGAACAAAAGACTATCACCTTGCAAGGTGGTGCTTTAAAAAGATTCCATGTTAAGTGCTTATAATGTCCTCACTTATATTAAAAGCAAAGAATTTGGATAGGTCAAGATCACCCTCAAAGGAGTTATTAGCATGGAAGCCACTGCCTATGGCTCTTGGTGTGCCCTCCTCAGTGAGGGGTACATTCAAAATCTCCTTGTGCCAAGCTTTTGCAGCCAAACCAACAATGTGGTAATAGATATGTGTTCACTTAGAAAGCACTCCAATATTTTCAAATGAGAACAGAAGGTCTCAGAATAGTACATAGAGTATGTAGTTGCATTTCTAGAAAACAGCAACAACAAAAGCAATGCGCTATTTTTTCAAAGCAGAGGATGCTCTATCCATCTCCTCCCTCATTCCTCTGATTTTATTTGTTTGTTTATTTATTTATTTTTAGAGAGAAGATCTCACTCTGCCTCTGAGTCTGGAGTGCAGTGGCATGATCATGCCTCACTGCAGCCTCGAACTCCTGGGCTCAAGCAATTCTCTCACGTCAGCCTTTGGAGGTAGGAAGTTGTTGCCTTAGGAGGGCATGATACAGTTCCTCCACCCCAAAACTACATCCAAACACAGTATGAGTGCATTCCAGGAGCTTCACACAAAGATGTCAGGGGCATCTGGCATCTCATTCCCCAGCTACCTGGCTATTTCTACAATGGACAAGCTGATCATAGAGGGCTTATTTCAGTAGAGAAGACAAAGAACTGGAAAGAAAGCACCCCAAACTCCCTCCTTCCCCAGGTCTTGTTCAAACTGGGGAAACAGAAGAAGTAGGTGAGCTGCACAATATATGAGATTGAAGTCTTCTGATGTCATCAAATATCAGGAAAGATGTCAATCAAATATGACTGGAGGAAGTGACTGGGGGGAAATAAAATAACACTGCTTTTTTTTGTGTTTGTCCCTTCTATGATGAATTCCTACTGCTCAATACACTTACCTGTGTTTTCCACATCTAAAACACAGAATGTTTATGCCGCCTCTGGATAAAAGAGGCAGCATGAGAGATATAATATGGGCAATGAAGTCAGCATTTGATGTCTAAGGCTTAGCATGGCCTAGCATGAGTACCATCTTGAACTATGTGAGTTTTTATCATAACAATATATTATCCTTATAATAAAAAGTGAAATTCACCCTTGTTTAAGCTTCCAGTTTAGGGTCCTGTTTTCCCTCTTCATTCAGCTGAGTAAATTTAGTACATAGGCAAGGAAGGGCTAGTCTCACCCATTCCAGGAAAAGATTCAGCTTCTGGGCCATGTTGTAAAAATATACATCTGCCAGTTTCAGTACAGCACTACATAATAGGGGAGAGGATGGAATTAACAAACACAGAGAACCTTCTATGAGCCAGGCTGGTGGTAGACAGCTTCTTTACTTTTTCTCATTTTATCCCCATAAGAAGCTCAGGAGCAAGGTGAAAACAACCCACTTAACAGATGAGAAACCTAAAGCTTACATACCCAAGATGACTCCACTAGTGGGTAGCAGAAGCAGGGAATAACTTTCTAATTCAAAAGCCAGTGCTCTTTTCACTTCTTTATTGGGGGTGGTGGGGAAGATTTTAAAACTATTGAAAGCCCGGCAAGGTGGCATGCATCTGTAATCCCAGGTACTTGGAAGGCTGAGGCAGGAGGACTGCTTGGGCCCTGGAGTTGGAGACCAGACTGGGCAACAAAGAGAAACCCCCATCTCAATAATAATAATAATAATAATAATAATAATAATAATAATAATAATAATAATAATGCAGTCTTGTAGATTGGAAGCAAATATCCTCAGGTGTTGGCAATGATTAATTATAGGTGGTTGGAATGTAAGTGATTGTTATTTTATTCTTCATACTTTTTTTGCCTTATTTTTCAGAGATGGAGTCTTGTTAGTCTTAAACTCCTGGGCTCAAGGGATCCTCCTGCCTCAGCCTCCCAGGTAGCTAGGACTATAGGTACACACCATCATGCCCAACTTAAAGACTGTATTTTTTTTTGTTTGTTTAAAACTAATATATGCTATTATAAAGAATTTAAACTAAACAGAAAAGTACAAACATATAAGCTTAAAGAATTATCCTGAATCCCATTACACAGAAAAACACTATTAATATCATTCCAGTCAACTCTTCGTTTATATTTATATACATAGAATGACAGAGAGATAAAAAGATAAAATATGGTTTTTAAAATACTCTCATAAAAATGAGCATATGGTGAAGATACTATATAAATACATTTTTTTTTTTTTTTTTTTTTTGAGACGGAGGCTTGCTCTGTCTCCCAGGCTGGAGTGCAGTGGTGCGATCTTGGCTTACTGCAAGCTCCGCCTCCCAGGTTCACGCAATTCTCCTGCCTCAGCCTCCTGAGTAGCTGGGACTACAGGCACCTGCCACCACGCCCGGCTAATTTTTTGTATTTTTAGTAGAGATGGGGTTTCACCATGTTAGCCAGGAGGGTCTCGATCTCCTGACCTCATGATCCACCCGCCTCTGCCTCCCAAAGTGCTGGGATATAAATAAAAATTTTATTTAATCTTATTTGTATTTAGCAGAAGAAAAAGAAACCAAGTGAAATTGAGGGACATTTGAACTTTGATTCAATGTTTCTTTATCACTAAAAAGATTTCCTGAAAACTTCTCTAAAATGAAAATTGTTATGAAAAGCATTCAAAGATAGACGTGGTTATTTTTTTTAATTCCATGTTTTATTTCCAATTAATATTCATTGACTTTGTTGTGAAAGTGATGTCATTGAGTTAGCTATTATCTTCCATTCTCCTCCCAAGTCTCAACTTTATTAGATTTTTTAAAATATTGTCTAGGTTCCCAACAATAACATTCTTTATGGTAGCCATAAAAATCATGATGTCAGGGGCATCTGGCATTTCATTCCTCAACTACATGACTATTTGTACAGTGGACTGGCCAATCATTAGGCTTATTTCAGTAGAGAAGACAAAGAATAGGAAAGAAAACATCCCAAACTCACTCCTTCCCCAGGTCTTGTTTGAATGGGTGAAAGGGAAGAAGTGGGTGAGCAGCACATGGATATAAGATTAAATAAAGTCTTCTGATGCCACCAAATCTCAGGAAAGATGTCAACCAAATATGACTGAAGGAAGTGGTTGGAGGAAAAAAATCACACTGCTTTTTTATGTTTGTCCCTTCTACAAGAAATTCCTACTGTTTTTAATATCAATTTTTATAAATCGATTCATTTGGACCCAATATTAGCCACTATTTCCTTTTATCACAGATTTTTAATCCAATATTCTTGTATTGTGATTCACCTCTCAGTTGGCTGGATTTTGGTTTTGAAGTAGTTTTCTGTAAGAAGGTTTCACGGGTACACCCATATTCTTTCTACTACACAGTTTTGACTAATTTTTGACTAACATTGTGGTTTTCACACCTTTTATATTTTTAGAGGAATCTTTTTTTTTCAATCAGAATCACAGACCATACACCCCATCTGAAGGCAGACAACACCAGACCTGCTCTCAGACCCCCTCCAGCTCCATTACCTTCTGCCACTCAAGGCACCCCAAGAAGACTTTGGATCCCCTATTTGAAAACTCTGCATGGCCATGAGTGTATGCATGAGAAGTCCTAATGATTTGCGTACCAGGAGATATGATATTTCCTCAGATAGCTAGAATCATTCTAGCAGACTTCCAAACACTGTCTTTTCAAATAATTAATAAATTATTAGCCATTTACCAATGAATATATCCAGCTTTTTCCAGCAAGTTATTGTGACTAATTTACAAAGATACATTAAAATAAGACTAATTGAATTAGAAATGGAAAACCAGAACCAAAGAAAGGATAAAGGTGTCCCAGAGATGAATAAAGGTGGCTTGAGTCCACCAGAGTAGCCTTCGTAAAGGTCAGGGCACCAGGCCAGGGAAAGGTACTGGCAAGGCTCTGACTATGGCAGCCTGTGTGGGAGGTTTATTCCCTCAAGCTTTCTATTCAGGGAAACTGCATACAACGAAGAGAAAAATACTCATCTGGATTTCACAATGTAGGACACAGAAAATAATGACCAAGGCCTTGTCATTGTTTTGGCAGGCATGGGTGGAGGAAAGAGTGTGGGCTTGGCTATCAGAAAAGAGCCACTGGGGCCAGGTGCGGTGGCTCACCCCTGTCATCCCAGCACTTTGGGAGGCCGAGGTGCACGAATCACCTAGGGCCAGGTGTTTGAGACCAGCCTGGCCAACATGGCGAAACCCCGTCTCTATTGAAAATACAGGCGTGGTGGCACATGCTGGTAATCCCAGCTACGAATGAGGCTGAGGCGCAAGAATCAGTTGAATCTGGGAGGCGGAGGCTGCAGTGAGCCGAGATCGCATCACTGCACTCCAGCTTGGGAGACAAAAGCAAGAGTCCGTCTTAAAAAAAAAAAAAAAAATCCACTAGCTCACTGTGCAACCTTAGATGAGTCATTTCACTGCCTCCATTTCCTCATCTGCAAATGTGAGGTCTCGTGCCTGTTTCTCAGGATTAGCATCCAGTAGCATGAAAGAGGCACTGAGGAGAGTTGCTGCTGTTTTTATTTTCATTCTTTGCCTTTGGTAGTCACCTACAGTTTGCTTATCTGCCACTGGGCAGAACTAGATTTGTAAAAGATAGGGTTATGCTGTGAGCAGGGGGCAGCGTGCGTGGAATCACAGACCCAATTCAATTCTCTAGGACAGCGTCTCCACCCCTCTCCTCCAGCCTTGTCCACTCCTTGCGTAAAAGGTTTCAACAGGGCCGGAGTGTGAACTTTGCAGGCCCTGGACACTGAAAAGTGTACGGTATCCCCTCATCTACAACCCCAAGTAAAAATAATACTAAAGCATAAAATAAATATAAGGAAGATGAACAAAGTTCTCATTTCCCCCATGACCCCTTTTAAAGTTGTCTTGACATATCAAATTTCAAATTATTTGCCCACAAAATGGTTTTCTGTATGTTTTTTGGTTGTATCTACATGCACAGGTATGCATATGTGTATATATGTACATATGTATGTTTGTGTGTGTCTTTGTGTGTGTCTGTGTGTGTGTATGTGTTTACACAAGCATCCTTGTACAAATCTGCAGACCCAGCTAGGGGCTCTGTTGCCTAAGAGGTTGCATGTAGCTAATCCAGCACTGGAAATGACACTGCCTGTCCTGTGGGTTGTGGTGAGGAGTGACTAGGATCATGTGTTATAAAGAACTTAGCACAGTGTCTATTTTGTGGAAAGGACCAAAGATGGCTACTCCTGCAGGTGACCGCCTTTCCCCATGAAAGGACTCCTTCACAGTGGCACACCTGCCTCCTCCCTGACCGTCACTCCCTCCCCAGGGCCTCCTCTAATGGATTCACTGGGGGCAGAACAGGCCTATGTGCTCAATACACTCTCTCTTCTTCCTCTACCACTCTGCCGAGACACAGGAAGCCCAGGCTCTGTGCCCTCCATGCAGCAGGAGGTATCAGCAGGCCCAGGTAGGAGGGAACTGTGGTAGGCCAGTTGGGCCAGTGAGGGGTGGGAGCCTGCCTGACTGCAGGTAACAGATCAGCAGCTCATTTGGTTCTCATGCCCAAGCCATGCTCCCAATATCAAGTTTATCAATGACATGTTGATTTCCAACTGCCTGACTTATGAGTCCAAGGCCATTCATCTTTGTGCAAATTTTAAAAAGCACTCCCTACAAGCACACCACCATGGGTGGACGCAGCCCAGTAGACACCTGGCTTCACAAGGCAATGGCATCTTTGTAGGAGAAAGAAAGAGATGCCACCACATTGCCCAAGACAGGGCTCCCAGCTTGGGGAGGGGAGTGAGCTCCTGCTCCCTGGGCTGGGTGCCTTCATGCAGTAAACAAACAACACAACTGTGCACATCGGCTCTCCTGGAATTAGAGGTGTGATTTATGGGACCCTTCCAAACCCTAATGATGCTTATTTCCCTTTATCGTGATATTAATACTAATAAAGAACTGTATCTAGGAAGAGTCACAGGCTGAATAGCCCCATGGCTGAAGCAAATGGAGAGCATAACAAACATCGAACCACCCAGTTAGGCTTTTGCTATGAAACATACATTCCTAAAATGAGAAAGCATTTCTGTTTAGTAAATTCTAATTACTAGCGTTACCAAAACGTTTTTAAATAGACCACACAGTTGCAGGTTCAGAGACAGCGCTGAGGGGCCTGGGTGTACTATAGGCTTCCATCAGCCAAGGGTCCAGCACTTGGGGCGTGGGCCAGTGACTCACCTCCACACGTCTCCTGTATTCGCACCACATCGCCGATCTGCAGGGAGAGCTGGGGGGCTCCGCTGCCTTGGAAGTTGTATATGGCTGTGAAACAGAAAGAAAGACAGCTAGGTGAGACCTCTAGATCTCATTAGTCTCTGCTCCTTCCTGCTTTCCCTGCCTCAAGTCCATCCCATGCCCACGCAGCCCACCTGGGCTAAACAAAACCAACACAGAAACCTATTGCCTGCCACAAGAGTTATTTCAGACTCAGCCTGGCTCCCAAGACCTTCTATTAACCAAAGTTGACCTTTCCTCAACACAGGCCCTGCATTGAGCCTGAGTGACAAGGAGGCTGCTATTTACTATGGACTGTCCTCTTACTGTACACCAGGCAGTTAAAATGTTACATCATTTGTTATGCATGTTTTGCTACAATTAAAAAGAAACAACTGCATACTAAGCACCTGAAGTGTGGTGAGGTGCTATACCAGGTAGGAGAGATGCACTGGTGAGCAGGATAGCAGGAGAGCCAGGCAGCTGTGGCCTCTGAGACCCTGAGCCCCTCCTTCAGCCAGGCCTGGGGTTGAGTCCCAGCTCAGGCACCCCAGGGATCTATGGCAAATTATTATGAGAAAGAAAGACAGTCCCAGTGTGTGAAGAGCCTGCCATGTTGTAATGCTCCATAACCAGTAACCAAATGGTAGAATTAGACAGCCAGGGCCTTGTATTCTAATGGGAGAAGCTGACAGGTCCACCTGCAATGACCTGATGGATGGTCTGGGCTCAGGAGGTACAGGTGCTTTGAGAGCACAGGAGATAACATGCTGGAGCCATGCATGGGGGCCACAGGAGGCTTCCTGCAGGCAGGGCCAGCTGAGCTGGGCCCATGCTCCTCCCCGACCAGCACAGCACCATTGGGACAATGGAGAGGGCTACGCAAGGGAAGGAACCTGTGTAGGAGATTTACCAGGAGGAAGGCCCCGGTGTGAGCTCCAGTCCTTCATGACGCCCTTGGCCCTGCTGCTGCCCACACAACAGGCAGTAGCTACGTCTCCAGACTCCTCCAAACCCGCTCTAGCTGGTGACAGCTACAAAACAGACTCACTTTCCCTCTGAATCCGTTTCCCCACTTTTAAAGTAGGCATTATTGTGCCACTCTTACCCACCCCACAATGTTGGGTGGGGAGCTAAGATAAGAAGATACCACTGTAAAAAGGTTATTATTCCTAAAGAGGAACTAAACGTAGGCAGGCCCCACTTTTCTGGAAGTGGCTTATCAGTGTGGATCCTAATAAGAACGAATGTGTAGCAATCACTTATATCCCAGACATGATTCTAAGTTCTCCATGTGCATTTACTCCTTTAATTCTCACAACACTCCTTGCAAGTGAGAAGTCTTATTATTTCCAAATTTCAGATACAGAAACTCAGACAGAGAGAGGTTACTTGCCTTGCCCAAGGTCATACAATGCTGGAACTGGGAGTACAGGCCCATGCTCTTTCCTACTCCTCTACTCTACAGGTACACCTCTTCATAATTACCTCCTTTTACCTTTGAGGATACGGACCGTAGGCTGATCCATTAAGTGACCAGGGTCTAAATAGCCAATGCTGCTCTGTGTCTAACCCCTATGCAGAAGCTGGGTGAAATGCCACTGGGTTCTGTGCAGATTCTTTTGCATCACAGAGACCACCGCCAGTCTCTAACTCTCATTCATCTCTGCCTCTTCCCACTTATCTCCTTCCCTTCCTTCCCTCTCTCTTCCCTCCTTCCTCCTTCCCCTGGTCCAATCACCCCAACACGTCTGCCTAAACCACATTAAAAGACCAGAGTGGTTCAGAAGGAACCCCAGCTCTGCCACTCACTACTGTGTGATCTTGGGCAAGTGACTTCACCTCTCTGCCTCACTTTCTTACAATGGGGATGTTAACAGTACCTATCTCGCAGGGTTTTTAGGATGCTTCAGTGGAACGGAGCACAGGCTGTCCCCTCTACTCCCAGGTGTGCCCCATATCCCTAACCTCCCTTTTGTGTGCATTCAGAGAGATGAAGTCTCCATCCTGAGAGATGATAAAGCTTAGGAGTTAAGAGCTAGTTGTCTCTGGAGTCAGACAGATGTGGCTTTTGAGGCCAGTTCTGTCTTTTCCTGGCTCTGGCCTCAAGCCTAGGGCTGCAGTGTACAACTGCCCAGGCTGTGCCCTGCACAAGGCCACCCAGCCAAGAGAGCAGTGAAGGCTGGCACCCAACCTGCGATCTGCTTGCCAAGGCTTGCACCCTGCCCTGGCACTGTGCCCACCAGAGGAAGGATATCTTTTTGTAATCCACACAAAGGCACTGTAGGAGCCAGGGGCAGCCTGCTTGAGCAAGTGGCTGAATCTCCCTAAGCCTCAGTTCCTCTGACTGTAGAATGCAAGAAATAATGGTCCCTACCTTACTGGGTTCCTGGGAGGCTCAGCTGAAATTAATGCCCATACACGACTTGACTTAATGTCCAGCTATAGTAAGTGCTCAGTAAATGTAGTCACTTTTCTTTTTATTAGCATTATATTATCTCCTGAACAAGGCTCACTCCTCCAGAGCTTTGTGTAGCCTTTAAATCTCCTTTCCTGCACTTTGCAACCAACTGCTCTGTCGACCAACACTTAATCAAATTAATCCTTTGTCCAAAAGCAAATCTAGAGAGGGCCCTCGGGGGATGCTGAGGCTTCTCTCCTCCTGCATAAACGCAGCCTGTTTCTTCATTCCCTCCGCACTTGGCCTGATTTCAACCCCCTTCCCCTCATAGGCTGCTGTTGCTTGGACATACTCCAGTTTGCTGGTGTCCTCACTGGGTAGACTCTGCTCCCTGCTCTTTCAGCCCAAGTGGTCTGCCTGAGGACTTGGCAGTAGAACTGGACAGGATGGTGGAAGCAACTGAGGCTTCCAACAGAAGAAAACCAGGCACAATGTGTGTTAGTCTCTGGAGCACGAGCAAATCAGGGGTGTCCATCAGATATGTGGAGGTGGGGCAGGACCGTGTGTTACTCCGTGACCAGCTCCTCCCTGCTTTCCTCGGGAATCTTCCCTCATCCTCTGCCCAGCAATGTCAGGTGAGAAGGTGCCAGTAGATTGGCTTAAGATGTCCTGGACAGATCTTGAAACTGGGTATTCAAAGTGAAGATCCGTATTCATTCCAAGTACTCACTGATTACAAAAATGAAAGTAACTGACTTTGGCACTTAATTTATAAATCTATTTCTGCCTTTGCATAAGGGCCTCTTAAGGCTCCATTTGAAGAAAAGCAGACATGACTGACAAAGGAAGTGGCTTTGCCTATGAATACCCAATTCTGTTTAGTCTTCTAGATGACTAACAGGAAGCTCCAAGCCAGAATTCCCCTCTGCTACGTTTGATGGCTTATCTCTGTCCTTCAGTTTGCTTCTGACCAGTCTAAGATGGGCCTAACCACTCTCAACTTTTGAACAAGGGATGAAAAAGGCAGAAAAACAAGAGGAAGAAATCATAGCCTGCTCCACCCTGCCCAGTGCCTGTCCACAAAAGATAGACAAATCAGGGAAGCCTACCCACAGCCCTCAGGCCCTCGGCCATTCCCGCAAATACTCATTCCAGCTTCCCCATCGTGCCAGGTCGCCAAGCCCTGGGGAATACTGACACATTCCCTAGGAAAGACTTGACCTCTCCTTGTACCAAAGCACCATACATAGGAACCAAAACAGAAACTGGTATCCTGACAAGCCCACCCAGAACAAAGCATTTATGGCCAAGGATCAAAGGGATGTTCCCAAGTATGGAGCCATCTTGGGTCACTGACTCCAGCAAGGACTCACATTGGAAATCCCAGGTTGGCAAGCCACCGGACTGCTATTTTGAGGCAGATGGAACTTCTAGCAACCCTGGAAATCGAATCCACTGATTAGCTACCAATTCCACCTAAACATATTGAAGTACTCTATTCATCAGGAGTTCAAATAGAGGGAGCTAAGGTGAAAGTAAACACCATTGTTCTAGCACAGTGGCTCACAAAAACAACTAAAGAAGGGTCTCTGTGCTTTGTGCAATTTTAGGAGATAAGTTCAATGTTTCTCTTTGATTTATATATAAGGAAACTGAGGAAGGGGTGGGTAAACAACTTCTCCACCTAATAAGATATATAGATAGATCTCGGAGTCTAAATTCTAACTACTGCACACCCTGTTTCCTAAGAAAATGGTAAATATTTAGAGCACATTTTAAATGCCAAGTATATACTCCATGGTGTTTTCAACAGATATCCATGTGAACATCTAGTGTGTGCTAGATACTGTCCTAACTACTGTAGACACAGTATGTAGTACCTACTGGGTGCTAGATATTGCTCTGAGTACTATAGTCACAGTGATAGATAAGACAGACAAAATCCCCAGCACTGCCAGGTGCGGCGGCTCACGCCTGTAATCCCAACACTAGGGGAGGCAGGTGGATCACTTGAGGTCAGGAGTTTGAGACCAGCCTGGCCAACATGGTGAAACCCCGACTGTACTAAAAATACAAAAATTAACCAAGTGTGGTGGGGTACACCTGTAGTCCCAGCTACTCGGGGGACTGAGGCAGGAGAATTGCTTGAACCTGGGAGGCAGAGGTTGCAGTCAGCCGAGATTACACCACTGCACTCCAGCCCGGGTGACAGAGCAAGACGCCGGCAAAAAAAAAAAGAAAGAAAAAAAAATCCCTAGCACTTTACTTGTATCAGCCCATTTAATCTTCATAGTAACCTCAAGTTATTACTCTTCCTGTAACATACAAGAAACTCAAAGAGATGTTAAGGAACTTGCTCATAGCCACACAGAAAGTGGCAGAAAGCGGATTCAAACCTAGAGTGGAGTCCAGAGTCCCTGCTTCCTCACCAGGCATCACACTCTATTACACATACACTGGGCTTGTTTATATCCTCGTTACATCCAGCCTCAGTAAGGATGGAGACTGAGCCTATCTTGTTGACCACTGAATTCCTAGCGCCTGGCCCACAGTAGAAGTGCAATCAATGTTTATTGAACTTTTAAGAAATGCTCATTGGACGGAAGGGATGTGAATGAACATGAAGGGCAGCTATGTCCCTTCTTCTGGCTATATTCTTTCTTGCATTTATCAAGATTGCTTCAAAAGACACGTCTTGGCTGCCAATTTTGATTGCAGCCATCGAGTGCCCTGTGACCCTTCAAGATGGATTCGTACCTCATCTGGGGCCCTGCCATCTGCTGACATGTTTGAAAACACAAGCTTCAGCCAACACCAAGTGTTAATAGAGTTTGGACAAGTGGCTGTGTAAGAGGAACAAAAGCAATAATGGAGAAAGAATGTAATTGCCCGAAGCTCACTTTGGAGAGTCTCCACTCCAGGGGGAAATAGAACTAGCAGCAGGTCCACTTTGGTGGATTCAAGTGAAATGCGCTCATCGAAATGCGTAAGCAGTGTGCCTGAAGTCTCTGGACAGGTGTTGACAGCCTCCGCACTGAGGCAGCATCCTGACATTGCATCCACGAGGGTGACTGCGATGACCCAGCAGAAGCCTCTGGCAGCCACCCCAGAGCTCAAACCCGGGCGGGCGCTAGTCAGCAGCAAATGAGGCAGAAGAATTACAGCCAGAGGGAACCTAGAAGGAGGAGGTGTTCCTCCACCCACCAGGAGAGAGCAGAGAGCAGAAGAACAGCTAACCTCTGCCAAACACTTCCTGCATACCAGACACTATTCCAAGGGCTTTACGCACAGCCACCCATTTCATCGTGAATCTGCAGTTCTTGGGGTGGGTGTGATTATTATCGTCTCTGTTTTACAGATGAGGAAACTGAGGTAGTGCAAGATCAAGTAAACATCCTGGGGTGAACACAGCAAAGAAGGGGCCAAGTGAGGATTTCACCCCAGACAGGCTGGCTCCGGAGCACACTCTCTCAGCCATGCACCACACTCACATCGCCTCTCACGAGTGGAGATGCATTTGGTCCCAGCACTGTGCCAGGTGCTTTAGGCCTCTTGCTGGATCATGATAACAACCTTATGGGCTGCATATTGTAGCGCACAGTTTTTAGCGAGCCAGTGACATGCCCAGCCGACAAGACGAAAGTTAGGATTCCAGTGAATTCTCTCAAACAGTGATCTCAACTGGGAGCGAATTTGCCCCACTAGAAGAGACATTTGTTGATGTCTGGAGACATTTTTCTTGTCCCAACCTGGGGGAGGGGAGTCGGGGGTGTCAGTGCTACTAGCCTCTAGTGACTAGAGGCCAGAGATGCTGCTAAACATCCTACAGTGCACAGGACAGCCCCATAACAAAGATTTTCCTGGCCCACAATGTCAATAGTGACAAGGTTGATAAACCCTGCTCTGAAACATCATGCTGGATTTCACTCTCTCCATTCTAGTACTCCTATAGGCACATTCACACACACATTCTCACACACTCTTGCACTCACACATGCACACACACACTACAGAGTTGGAAGAGAGTTTATGGTGAAATCAATCAAATCAGCCCTCCAGCCCCAAATGCAGAGAGCGTCTGGCACTCTGCAGGATCCTGCAGCTAGAAAAGTGGGGTGAAAGGGGGTGGCTCCTGCTCTCCTGAGCTTCTGTGAAATCTAGTCGAAGAGACAAAATAAACACACAAGAAACAAAGAGCTGTCTTCAGAAGTGAAAGGCTAAACTGCAAGTCACAGCAGCTGTGGACTCTCAGAGGGAAAAAGAGGCCCCACTAAGGAAGTGAGACTGGAGGGAGAGGGAGGGGCAGAGACTGGCAAGGGGAAGAACTGGACTGAGAGCCCCCAAGGAGGTGGGGAGAGGGTGTGACAGCAGGGAAGAGAGGGGGGAAACCAGCTTGATGTGTGAGGGATGAATGGCAGGGCCATCTTAATGGAGTCCCAGGGAGAACTGGTGAGCTTGGTAGAGTGACCATCTGCAGGAGTCCACTGTTTGGAGACGAGTTCAAGAGTACTCTATTTATTGCTGTGCTGTGCTCTCACAGGACCTCGCCTCCTGACAGGGAAATGGATGAGGTGGGAAGATAAAGGCAAGATGGGGCAACTCAGTCCATCTGAATCCTATAAGGCCACCAGAAAATTTTAAAACCTCCAACTCTTACCCTTTACCCATCCTCCTCCCCCTCCACTCATCTACCCACCCACCCATCCATGCATCCACTCACCCATCTATCATCCATCTACCCACCCATCCATCTAATCAACAACTATCCATCCACCTATGAATCCACCTCTTCATCCATCCAATCAGCAGCCGCTGAGCACCTGCTCTGTGCTGAAGAAGAACAACAGACATGGCCCTGCCATCATAGAGCTTGCATTCTACAGAGGTGCCCAGATCATTCAACATGAGGCTGCAAGGAAGTATGAAGGGGATGATGGCAGCTCTAGTAACATGAAGCAAAGGGGGCACTGCCCCCAACCTGTCCAATGGGGACATTAGTACTAATAATGGTGCTCTCTGCTGCCTCATACAGAAAGAGAGGTTATGACTGGACTGTAAGCTTCCCGAACTGTTTTATTCATCTCTGGGCCCAAACACCCAGCTAAGGACCATCACTCAGGACAGGCTTACTGAACTTAATTGATCTGAACAGACTGTAAGAATTGTTTTCCGACTCTTGACAAGCTCCTGGCTTCAAGAATTCAAACCTTAGGCAGAATGCTTTGGCTATACCTATTGTATTTGTTTACTAAATAGTTACAGAGTAAAATAAGCACATTTTGCCAGGGACCTTAACTGGCTTCCATGAATGAGTTTTGGCGACATTACAATGCAGAACTGCACATGTGCATATTTTAATGGGAAGAAGTGTGTTTCTAGCGGTCACAGGATTCTCAATGGGACCTATGCTACAATAATGATTAGTTTCTCTGACCTACCACGTTCCTGCTATTGCAGTGATGCTGAATGGACTCAAAGTTAACCCTCCATACAGCTCTGCCCTCCAACAATGTACCAGCTAGTGGGGAAGATGACATGCAGTTACCTAACTAAAAGACAAGGTGAAAAGGGGCAACTTCCATAAAATAGAGGGAATTTTCAGAGAGACCTCAAAGATCTATGCCTCAGTTTCCTCACCTGCAAAATGAAGACAGAAGTTATTTTTCTTAGGGTGTCTGTGAGGGCTAAACATGATGACACAAGGGCTTTGTAAATGTACCATGCTATGGGACTGGTACTCAAACAGATATATAGACCAATGGAACAGAACAGAGACCTCAGAAATAACACCACGCATCTACAACCACCTGATCTTCGACAAACCTGACAAAAAGAAGCAATGGAATAAGGATCTCCTATTTAATAAATGGTGCTGGGAAAACTGGCCAGCCATATGTGGAAAACTGAAACTGGACCCCTTCCTTATATCTTACACGAAAATTAACTCAAGATGGATTACAAACTTAAATGTAAAATCCCAAACCATAAAAACCCTAGAAGAGGCTGGGCGTGGTGGCTCATGCCTGTAATCCCAGCACTTTGGGAGGCTGAGATGGGCGGATCATGAGGTCAGGAGATCGAGACCTTCCTGGCTAACACGGTGAAACCCCGTCTCTACTAAAAATACAAAAAATTAGCCGGGCGTGGTGGTGGGCTCCTGTGTAGTCCCAGCTACTCGGGAGGCTGAGGCAGGAGAATGGCGTGAACCCAGGAGGTGGAGCTTGCAGTGAGCCGAGATTGCTCCGCTGCACTCCAGCCAGGGAGACAGAGTGAGACTCTGTCTCAAAAAAATAAATAAATAAAAATTTAAAACCCTAGAAGAAAACCTAGGCAATACCAATCAGGACATATGCATGGGCAAAGACTTCATGACAAAAACACCAAAAGCAATTGCAGCAAAAACCAAAATTAACAAATGGGATCTAATTAAACTGAAGAGTTTCTGCACAGCAAAAGAAACTATCATCAAAGTGAACAGGCAACCTACAGAATGGGAGAAAATTTTTGCAATCTACTCATCTGACAAAGGGCTAATATCCAGAATCTATAAGAAACTTAAACAAATTTACAAGAAACAAACAACCCCATCAAAATGTGGACAAAGGATATAAACAGACACTTCTAGAAAGAAGACATTTATGTGGCCAACAAACATGAAAAAACGCTCAACACCACTGATCATCTGAGAAATGCACAATGAGATACCATCTCATGCCAGTCAGAATGGCGATTACTAAAAAGTCAAGAAACTATAGATGCTGGTGAGGCTGTGGAGAAATAAGAATACTTTTACACTGTTGGTGGGAATGTAAATTAGTTCAACTATTGTGGAAAACAATTCCTCAAGGATCTAGAACGAGAAATACCATTTGGCCCAGCAATCCCATTACTAGGTATATACCCAAAGGAATAGAAATCATTCTACTATAAAGACATATGCACACGTATGTTTATCGCAGCACTATTTACAACAACAAACACTTGGAACCAACCCAAATGCCCATCAATGATAGATTGGATAAAGAAAATGTCAACATATATACCATGGAATACTATGCAGCCATAAAAAGAAATGAGATCATGTCCTTTGCAGGGACAGGGATAAAGCTGGAAGCCATCATTCTCAGCAAACTAACACAGGAACAGAAAACCAAACACTGCCTGTTCTCACTCATAAGTGGGAGTTGAACAATGAGAACATATGGCCACGGGGAGAGAAACATCACACACTGGGGCCTGTCAGGGGGTGGGGGAGTTGCAAGGAAGGGAGAGCATTAGGACAAATAGCTAATGCATATGGGGCTTAAAACCTAGATGACGGGAAGATAGGTGCAGCAAACCACCATGGCACATGTATACCTACGTAACAAACCTGCATGTTCTGCACTTGTATCCCAGAACTGTCAGTAAAATTAAAAAAAAAAAAAAAAGTACCGTGGTACAAAAGGTAAGGCAATGGCATGATTTATGCCAATGTCGATGACTACTTAGATCAAGGTTTTCACTAGGGAAGGCCTCGATGCAGCCCTCATTCTTCTAGCTATTCAGACCAGAAACCTCGGAGTCACCACTGGCTCCTCTCTCCTTCTCATACCCACATCCATTCCAAGAGGAAAACCCCATTTGCTTGACCTACAACACATACATCCCGAATCTAAGCATATCTCACTGTCTCCACTGCTCCCTCCTGCTGCAAGCCACCGCCATCTCTTGGCCTGAGTTATCACTGTTGCTGCCTAACTGGTCCCTCTCCTTCCACATTTAATTCCCCCTGATTAATGCACCATAAAACTGCTATGTTCAATCCTCTTAAAACTTAAGACAGGTCGTCCTACAATTCTACTCCAAATCCTGCAATGTCCCCCTCCCCCATTCAGAGTAAAAGCCAAGGACCTCACAATACCTACGAGGCACTGCTCCCTATGACCTCTCTCAGAGAATCCATTCCTTACTGCTTTGCATCTTGCTTACTCTACTGCAGCCACACTGGCCTCCCACACATCAGAGAGGCTTCCTCCTCTTTATATTGGCTATTCGTTCTACTTAGAAGGGTCCTTCCCTGACTGCCACCGCCAGGGAAGCCAGCAGCAAAAACCCACTTTCCAGGCAAACCCTCAAGGTTCAGCTGACACTGGGATGGCCCTGCTGCTGCAGCCCACCATGTCAGTCAGGGTGTCTCTAGGCCTGGCATTGCACCATTTAATTCAACCAAACAAATGCCTATTACCCCATTCAGACCCTGTGCCGTGACAGTGTGCACGTCATACTGTCCACCTATGTCTCCAACCATCATCTTAGCTTAGGCTGTGATCCAAGGGGCCGTGTGCAGTCAGGGGAACTGAGTGCCCTAGAACAGGGGTCCCCAACTCCCCAGGCCACCGACCGGTACTGGTTGGTGGCCTGTTAGGAACCGGGCTGCAGAGCAGGAGGTGAGCAGCAGGCAATCCAGCATTAGCCTGAGCTCTGCCTCCTGTCAGATCAGCAGGGGCATTCGATTCTCACAGGAGCAGGAACCCTATTGTGACCTGCACACGCGAGGGATCTGGGTTGTATGCTCCTTATGAGAATCTAATTAATGCCTCATGATCTGAAGTGGAACAGCTTCATCCCGAAACCATCCCTCCCGCCCCGCCCCACCTCCCCATCAGTCTGTGGAAAAATTGTCTTCCACCAAACCAGCCCTGGTGCTGAAAAGGTTGCAGACCACTGCCCTAGAGTGATGAACGGAGAGGGCTCTGGAAAGTGTCCACATTGGCGGTCATACTTTCTCCAGCCTCAGTTTCTGCCACCATGACTTTAAACCAAAGCAGAAGCTGACCTGGTGGGGTGCAGGGAGACAAGGAATGACTTTCTCCAAGGAGAACTAACAACAGAATAAGACTTAAGCAGCTCACAAACTCAGCCTGACTGTTTTTCAATTCACACCAATTAAGGGAAGGGGGAAGAAAGGAGAAAGTGCCTATTAAAGGGAACATTTGTGGTGTCTCCGCCCAGACTCCTCTGGAGTTGCGTGGTGATAAGCACTGTCATTCCCCATTTGCAGAACATATGCTGCAGAGCACAGACTGTGGCACCCATGTGTAATTGACTATTGAAAAAAAAAACAAATCCAAAGGTCCAGAAATTAGCGGAGCAGTATGGTGACTACATTTCATCTCTCAAAAGACAGCAGCAATAGGATGCTGATCTCAGGAGGAAGCAGAGCTTAGAAAACACAATCTGTCTTCAAGGCTCATTCAAATGCAAACATTATGGTCAGGGGCAAGATGTCCACTGCCTAATGAGGTGCCCATATAACTACGGATTAGGACAATCTCCTTACATGAACTCAAACAGCCAGCCCAGCAGGCACTCCTAAACAGACCCAAATTGCTGAAGCATCTGAAAGTAGGAAGCCCCGGCACCTAAGAATTGGTGGCAGGAAGGAATTAGATGTCTAATCCATGTATTTTTGTTTCACCAGACTAATTTCTGGGGACCAATCCAAAGGTACAGTCAGCCACTGTAGCAAAGATGCATGTATTAATATCCCTCCAAGCATTGGCTTTGGGATTCTTTTCCCCATTGCTCCTGAGAGGCCTTCTCACATCATCTAATTCAAGACCATTCCTAATATTCTCACTCATATTAAAACAGCACATATCACAATTTGTAATTATATGGTTACTGATTTATTCATGAAATTCTTTTTCATCTTCCCTATTAGACTACAGGCTCCAGAAGGATAGGGGCCATATTGGCCTAATTCTAGTAATCTCAGTGACTAGCATAATGCCTGGCACACACACCCAACAAATATTTAAGAAGTTAATGAAGAATGAATGAGTGAACAAATGGACAAGTTAATGAGTGAGTGATGCTCTCTATCCTTTCAACTGTTGCATTTGGCAATAAAAGCAGTATAATTGGTCCCTCTGTAGTGAAGTTCTGCTCCTGGGTATGTTTGGGATGCAGTTTCCACTCATGCTTCCAACTCAAAGAATCAGTCCCCACCCATGGCTCCTGCTAGAGGAGTAGCAAGCCATGTGACCCCACCTCATAGTCACAGAGAATTAGACCTGCCAGGGGCAGCACCCTCACCAGAGTGAGGCCCATTATTAGGCTGGCAATGAACTCTGACTTGGGTTGTCTTTCTTACAAAGGGAAATCAAGCTACCACTCTCTTCTGTTGGGACTTTGAACAAATAAACACAGAGAAGATTCAGTGGATGCTTGAACTGCAAGGTTGTGCAGAGATGGGTGGGTTGCATGCTGGGGCCACCACTGTGGTATTAGAGTATCAGTTACGAAGGAACAATGCAATCAGAGGGAGGTGGTGGGGAGAGAAAGGAGACCACAGTTGGCATGCTCAGAGAAGCTGAGAAGCCATGAGAGGAGAGGCAGAGGTTTCCAGGGTTGCCTCAGTTCAAGCCCTTTCCGAGGCCTGGCTCCTCCTGTTTCCTGGATTTCCATGTGATTCCTCTGACCCTAAAATACACCACTTCTCCCTGCTCTCCCACAGATACACACCACACACATTTTCGTTGAACTGGTTTGACTAGATTTTGTTCCCTTCAACAAAAATCCATGTGCAAATGACACCAGCACACATTGCCCACGCCAAATCTGTCAGTGTGCATGGATCAGCTCTGTCCAGGGTCCTGGGCTGCGACAGCATCACCCACATCCCTGAACCACGAGCTGGTTATGGATTCCTCCATATTCCCCAACCAAGCTGTGAAAAAGATCCCTTCTCTGCTTCTGCAGAGCCTGTTATGGTTTGAATTGTGCCCTCCCCCTCCAAAAAAAGAGACGTTGGAGTCTCAACTCCCAGTACCTCAGAATGTGATCTTATTTGGAGACAGTCTTTACAGAGGTAATCACATTTAACTGAAGTCACTAGGGTGGGCCCTAATCTAATATGACTGGATGTCCTTTTTAAAAGGAGAAATGCGGAGACAGACACGCACACAATGAGAATACCACGTGAAGTTGGAGGCAGCGATCAAGGCAACGCTTTTGTAAGCCAAGGAATGCCGAGGATTGCCAGCAAACCACTGGCAGCTGGGGGAGACACCTGGAACAGATTTTCCCTCAGCCCTCAGAAGAAACCAACAAATATTCCTCAACACCACACATGGGTGTAAAACCATAGCTAGAGAGAAGCTGCATACAGAACAGGTTTCTGATCAAAATATGCCACTTCCATAGGGCATATTGATTATTTTGAGCTGGATGCAAATAAGAATCAACAGGTACAGCAAGAAGCTTTCCTGGATATTTATCTGAAGAAACTCCTAAGAAATAAGGACTGTCATAAATCCCCTCTCCCAGGGAAGTTTTATGGCAATGAAGAAGACAGAAAGTTGGCTCCAAGATGAACCTGCACAAATAACCCTTTATCTTCCATTAGATTCCCCATATATTTCCCTTCCCACAGTTTGCTGCCCTTGGAGGCCTAAAACCCTCCTTTGACTTGCTACTTCTCTAAACCTTTATTGTACCTTTGCTAAGATGCTGTATAAGCTCAAGTTCAAACCAACCCTTTGAGTACTCCATATGTAAGCAGGATGTACATGCTAATAAACTTGTTTGTTTTCTCTTGTTCATCAGTCTTTTGTTAGTCTAATTTACAGAAAACCCAAGATGCAGTAGCAGAAAGAAGCTTTTCCCTCCCCTACAAGAATAACTAGAGTCCCACACAAATCTGCCTGGCAGGCTCAGCTTCAGGGTAAACAAAACTCTTTTCTACCCTCACCCTTTATCTCAGGACTCCTGCCTTGAAGCCCTCTTTATAGTCCCAAAATACCATGCCAGAGACCACAGATTATTTGTCATGAATTTGTGTCCCCACCAAAATTCTTATGCTGAAGTCCCAGTCATCAGTGTCTCAGAAGGTACTCCTATTTGGAGATAAGTGCATATTCGGAGATAAAGGAATTATTAAGTTAAAATGAGTCCTTTAGGGTGGGATGCTAATCCAATATGACCGGTGTTCTCATGACAGGAGGAAGAGACAGCAAGGGTGTGCCTGCACAGAAAGCAATGAAGAGGCAGCAAGACAGCCATCTGCAAACCATGGAGATAGGCCATGAGACAAGCCAACCCTGGTGGTGCTTTGATCTTAGACTTCCAGCCTCGAGAACTGTGAGAAAATACATTTCTGTTGTTTAAGCCACCCAGTTGGTGGTATTTTGCTACAGCAGCCTGAGCAAACTAATATATCATCCTCAATATTCTTCCTCCTCTCCTTACTTATGAAGAGAACTCCTAATTTTTAGCTGGGTACATGGCTGCCTACATTACAGACTACATTTCCTAGCTTCCCTTGCAGCTATAGTCAGTCATGTGATTACATTTTTGCCAATAGGATGTAATGTAAGAAGAAATGTCAAGTGTGCCTTCAGGAAAATGTCTTTAAAGGGAAAAGCCATGACCTTCTTTTTCCCTGCATCCTTTTTGCTGGCTGGAAGGTGGACCTGATCACCGAAGCTTAAGCAGCCTATGTGGCTCAGGAGGCAGAAGTCACATGCCAAGGATACAGTGTGAGATATAGAATGAGCCACCTTACCACCTCTTCCCAGACCATTTCTGAGCTTTCCATGAGAGACAGAAATAAACTTGCAGCTTGGTTAGGCCACAATTTTGGAGGTTTTCTGTCACCCTTTGTCACACTTAACCCTAACTGATACTGTTAGTTTCTCTTTCTACCTCCTTCTTTTCTGCCCTTTCCTCTCTCCTGCAAGGAGAAAGCTCTCTTCACTGACAAGAGCCTCAGGCAGAGTGGATTAACCTAGTAAAGGTTAACAGGCAATGTTGATTATAAGTGACCTCCTGCTAGATTAACCAGGCAGTCAGCAGACAGGTAAAACTGTTACCCATTTTCCTTCTATTCTAAGTCCAATTCCCCACTCCTATCCTAATTAACTATTTAACTTCTTCCAGATGACACTGCTCAAAACCTCCAGTGCTCAGAGAAGGAAATCCAAACTTTGAAGGTTGGCACTCAAAGCCCTTCACAATCTAGCCATAATCTACCTCTGAAATTTTTTTAACACTAAAAGCAATACTAAAACCAAAACAGACTACTTATTGTTTGACCCACACACTTCAGGGATGCCAGTTCCCTGCCTTTACCCATGATGTTCCCCTTCTAGATGCTTTTCTGGTGCCATGCAAAGGGCCTAGGGTCTGAAGACAATTGAATTTAAGGCCCGCTCCATTGCTTCCAAGTGATGTAAACTTGGTTACTTCACCTGTAAGTTGGGAATAATACACTGCCTCACATGGGGGTTCTGAAGTCAGACAGAGATTGCATGACCTTTGGTCTTGCAAACCATGAAATACTACAGTCTCATAAGGCATGACTGTCCTGAATCTGGCATTAGGGTGCATCTTGGTGCTGGTGTCTCTTGGTTCTGAAGCTGCTAGGTAAGACCCTGGACCTGAATCACTAACTCTTATTGAGCCAGCACACTACTAAATGCTTTCCATGCATAACCCCATTCAATCCTCACAAGAGTCTCATGAGACCTGCATTATTATTACTTCCACTTTATAGACGAGGAAACAGACCCTGATTTGAACTCAGTTCTGACTTCCCAGTCCAAGCCTCTAGCCTTACACATAACTCCTCAAGGGCAGAAGCTGTATCCTTCCTTACTTTGTAACTGCCCCTTGAGATATGAATTATTATTTGTTCTCTGGATGGGGACCATTTATATCAAAATGACCCCACAGTGCCCGGTACCCAGTAATTGAGTGGATAACTGCTGATCTCTCCAGGGCAGTGTTTCCCAAACAGTGGCCTGGGGACCCCCTGCATCAAATCCCTCTGGGTGTTTGGGTCTTCCAATGCCTCACCTGCGAAATATTTATCTCTGAGATGGTGTCTGGTATCCGCCTGTGTAGGAAGCTCCAGAGTGACTTTTTATTTGATATTTAAGTTTAAAAACCACAGTGAGTCCATGGAGATTGCACCACGGATGACACTTAGAGTAGCAGCACCTGAGGCCTCCCTTCCCCCAGCCACCACTTCCGCCCCTGAGCTCCAGGCAGAGGCTTCTGGGAGTTTAGATGGCTGAGGCTGACGAAGCTAGCTTCTTGGTTACCCTAAGACCACCTGGCGGGAGCCTTTTTCCCCAGAGGCTCTGGGGGGCTGAGTAGAGAACCCCACCGTCCAGCCCCATTCCCCCAAGCTTGAGCTGCCCTCTGGATGCCCTGCCAAATCAGGAGTCATCTGACCCAGGAGGAACAGACAGGGGAAGCAGGCAAATGGGTGTCGCTTTGGAGGGGGTGGAAGTATGCATGGTGGGCAGGCCAAGGCTGAGCCAGGGGAGAGTGGAGCTCCCTCTACAAGGCCAAGTCTCCCACGCGGCGAGCTGGGGCACTCCTGGGGACGCCGAGTTTGGCGCGAAGAACTGAGTTGTCAAGCGCAGGTCTTGACCCTATCTCGGAAATGTCTAAGGTTCCCTCAGCAGGCGAGAGGGCGAGGGCTGTGCTTAGCCTGCGGGGTGGGGTCCCGCCGTCCTCTCCCCGAGCCTCGGCTTTCCCGCCCCGAGGCCCCGCCGCAGGCTGCGCCCTCTGACCTGCAGGCAGCGCGCCCTGCCCACCCCGCGCCGCCGGCCCCGCAGCATCCTCCTGCTCGCGGCTCTCCCGCCACCTGTCCCGCTCCCTGCCGCGCCCTGGGGCCCGCACCTACCCACGCCGTGCCGCTCCTTGTCAGCTTTGCGCCAGGGGGCCATGGCTGGGCCGGGGCCTCGCGTCCTCCCGTGGGGAAGCCGTCAGGGGGTGGCTGGGCGCCGCAGGGCCCCACTTCCTTCCTCTTTTCAAACTCCTCTCAGGGCCCGCCCTCTCCTCCCTCGCCGGGGCTCCCCGCTCCCTCCTCCCTCCCGTTGGGCAGGGGCACACTAGAAGGCTGGTGCCCCGTAGGCTAAGACACGCCACCCCACCCCACTTCACGCAAAACTTGGGGACCACTCCCACTTTGTCTCCTCCCCAGGCGAGGGAGCAGAGGCCAGTCCCCACCTGGGGCTCGCCAGACCACCACCGCAAGTGCAGAGAGTTTCCTGATTGCCGTGCCTAGGGACTGAACAAACCTCCTTAACTCCCCTCAGCATGAGCTTTGGTGTCAGATCTCGGTTCGAATCCAGACGGGGACAAATGACTTCATTTTTCTAAGCTTCAGTTTTCTCATCTGTGAAATGGGATACTAATACCTACTTCATATGATTATTGTGAGGGTTAGAGAGACAATGTACACAGCAGGTGACATGGAAGAGTAAATGTTTACCTGGAGGTGGATCCTTTACAGCCTTTTTTTTTTTTTTTTGTGAGACGGAGTTTCGAGTTTCTCTCTTGCTGCCCAGGCTGGAGTGCAACGACGCGATCGCGGCTCACCGCGACCTCCGCCTCCCGAGTTCAAGCGACTCTCCTGTCTCAGCCTTCCCAGTAGCTGGGATTACAGGCATGCACCAGCATGCCCGGCTAACTTTGCATTTTCAGTAGAAACGTGGTTTCTCCATGTTGGTCATGCTGGTCTCGAACTCCCCACCTCAGGTGATCCGCCAGCCTCAGCCTCCCAAAGTGCTGGGATTACAGGTGTGAGCCACCGTGCCTGGCCCATTTACAGCTTTTTATCGTTTTGGTGCTACAAACCCGTTGGAAAATCTGATGTAAGCTCTAGAAGCTCTACTCTGAAAATACGTAAATACACTATTTACCAACATCACTGCAAGGTGAAGGGTGCTGTCACAGCCAGCAACAGTGGGACCCAGGAAAAGAGCCCTAGAGTTAGGCTAATGGAGACATTTCCTCGAAAAATCTCATTTTTGCTCTGAGAACAGATTCTGTCCAAAAAAAAAAAAAAAAAGTCTGATCCACAGTGATAAGGCTGAATTTAAGTTTTGCTGAGTTTTCTTTCTTTATTCATGACTCTCACTACCCCTTTCTGCCTTACACTGGAGAGTCATTAAGATAGATTAGGCAATATCACAGCTGAACTGGAGCAACAAAAAATTATTGATTTTGTTTTATCTGCAGTTATTTTCTTTTCTGTTTTCTAGCAGCACAAATTAGGTAATAATGTCTTATACAGTCAGCAGTGGTATTAGGGTTCCACCAGATGACCAGAGTAGGAGATTTTATATATATGCATACATATATATACATACATACATATATGCATATATATATACACATACATACATACATATATGCATATATATACACATACATATATGCATATATATACACATACATATATGCATATATATATACACATACATATATGCATATATATATATATATATATACACATACATATATATGTATATGAGAGACAGAGAGAGATTGGGGATTGGCTAATGCGATTGTGGGGCTGTCAGGAAGAGCAGTTTGGAAACTCACAGGCAGATGTCCTCAGGAGGAATTTCTTCTTTTTCAAGGAACCTCAGTTCTATTCATAAGGTTTGTCAACTAATTGGATCACACCAACCAAATGTATTGAGGATAATCTCCCTTAATTAAATTCAATGTATGGTAGATGTTAATCACATCTACAAAGTACTTCACAGCAACCCCTGTGAAGATTGTGAAGATTGGTATTTGATTGAATAACTGGGCCATAGCCTTGCCAAGTTGACTCACAAAACTAGCTATCACAACAATGTTATAAATTGGGACTATACAATAGAGGATGCCAAACATTTTCTGTAAAGTCACAGATAGTATTTTAGTCTTTGCAGTCCAGAAAGCAAAATCAAGTATATATGTAGGATGCAGGTACTTATGTAAAGAAAGAAAAAAGGTTCTAAATTTTTTTTATTAATAAAATTCAAAATATCATGTGAATGAGTATTTTTTGTAATACTAGCTTAGTAAGGCAAAAAAAAATACATTTTGGGAATGATATCACATTTCACCTTATTGGAGTTCAAAGTTAATGTGCCTTATCGAAATTGATTCAAATATTCATATGTTAATGCTGATCTGACAGGATATTTACTTTCTATTTCTGAAAAAAATGTTTACCAAATGGGCAATGGTTAAAAGTCCAGAAAAGCTAATAAAATTAACCTTTGATACCACTGATTCAATAACATCACAGATTTAGATATTTTCCACAAAGTACCTGATGGTGAATATTACAATTAATAATCATAAGCTTTAAATATCTTATATTTTCACCCACCTTCTAAATTTGCTCCAAAAGCCTTCTTCTGCTCCACAGATATTTTTTTTACCATGAACACTAGCAACACATCTTAGCAGATTCCACTTCAGGTTGTGTTGAATTAGTGTTTTCTCATTTTCTTTTAAAGTAATCTTGCCTATAGTTCTTCTACACAGGCTCTTCATAGAAGCTATTTCTTCATTCACTTCGAACTCAGCATTGACTTCTCAAATAAACAACAACTGAGCTGTATTGGTAATATTTGTCAACAAGAACTAAGGAAAACCACTAGAAGTCATTTTAAAATTCACTATTGATGCTTCTGTCAATGTTCTCAACCAAGCAACCAGTGTCACCAAAAGGCTAAAAGTCTTAAACTAATTTATTTTCACTGGATATATTTCATCTGCTGCTATAATCAAACATGATTTAATGAACTTAACATCAATAAAATATTTTGCCTTGCTTGCATAACAAATAAGCCACTTGGAAACTTATTCTGGTTGTAGTCTCATTTTCACTTTTTATTATTTTAAAGAAATTGTGCTGTGATGAGATATTCTGTTTTAAATTTTCTAATTTTTCTTGTCATTGCTTTTGTGTAAGTTGGAAAAGATGTGATGAGTGCTTAATCTATTATATTGTTTGGAGTGTCAACATGTAATAAACACAATGCTTTCTCCTCTGCTTTGTTTGTTTTGTGCTGCTATAACAGAATGCTACAGACTGTGTAATTTATGATGAACAGAAATTTATTTGGCTCACACCTCTGGAGGCTGGGAAGTTAAATATCAAGGGGCCAACATCCAGCAAGGGCATTTTTTTGCTGTGCCATCCCGTGGTGGAAGGTGACAGGGCAAGAGCCAGAGAGCAAGAGAAGCCCAAACTCACTTTTATAACAAACCCACTCTCACAATAACTAACCACTCCCTCAATAACTAACCCACTCCTACGATAACAACATTAATCTATTTATGCAGAGCCCTCATGATCTACTAATTACATCTTATTAGGCCCCACCTTCCAACACTGTTGCTGTATTGGGGATTAAATTCCCAACTCATGAACTTTGGGGGGGGTCACATTTAAACCATAGTGCTATTTAATTTGGTAACAAACAATACACACTCCACTGTGCCTTAGAAGCATGACATTTGGAGCCCACTATTCTTTCTTTTCTTTTTGACATGGTGGCTATAGCACTGGTAATTTTTTTAAATGTTACCATAGAGAGAGATATGCACTTTAAATGCTGTGGAGTTGTAATCTCATCCTCGTGATTAGTGGGTTGCTGGAGAGCACTGTGTAGCATTGAAAACACCATACACAGTCCTTGTTGCAAATAGTCAACTCTGCCATTGTAGAATGAAAACAACTATAAATGATGCATAAATGAATGAGCATGGCTGTGTTCCCATAAAATGGAATTTTTACTTCCTACAGTTTTCATATAGCATGGAATGTTATCTTTATTTTGATATTTTTCAGCAGTTTAAAAATGTAAAAACTAGTCTTAGTTCATGGGCCATACAAAAACATGCAACAAGCCAGATTTGATCTGTGAACCACAGTTTGCTATCTTCTGCTATACACAGTTGTGTTGTCTTCATAAACTTGTAGCCAGTTGATCTAAAATACACTTTTTTTTTTTTTTTCGATTTAGGTTTAAGCTTCTGACATACAAACAGGCAACTTCACATTAACAGTGTGGTAAAGTATCTGATGGGAGGCCAAGAGTAGGTGGTGGTGCCAGAAAGCAAATAAGATTGAACTTGAGGAGCACTGAAGTTTTTTTTTCCCCATTCAACTTGTGACACAACCTATAATAGGAATCTCTTCCTTAAATAATGTTAAACAAACAAATTCAGCATATTAAAAGAGTTGAAAAACTGCTTTCAGTTGAAGGAGATGAAGTTTAGAAATTTTGACTGAGGGTTAATTAACTTCTTAATGGGGTGGCTTTTAGTGCAGAAATCTTTAAACTTCATATGGTTAGGAGATGGCTTTTATGTTTCTGAAATATGGGCTTTTCATTACAGTTAACAATCCTATGGCATCATAAAAATTTTTTGGCAAGAGAGATCAATAGTCAAACATAAAAATCTGACTAAAACCACTTAAAGAATTTACAATAATCTTGGTCACACAATTTTATTAAACACCATCTGTCAGTTACTTGACTATTAGGTAGTACACTCTTGATGACTATAACTTCACATACATTGTGAGGGATGACTGTGGGTAAAAGGACATCTCTAGCCAAGATTTCTGTTAAGTTCAGTCCTGTGTGTCCAACTACCTCCTAGACATCCCCTCCCAGCCCCATCAATGTCTCCATATTTCAAAACCAAGCTCATATCATAACTGTACCCTAGACTTGTCCCTCTTCTGACTGTTTCTACCCAATGTTAACAGATGAAGTGACCAGACTGTGCTTTAATCAGGTGCTAGAACCCCATCTCCATCACTTACCTAGCTTTGTGGTTTGCAGCAAATTCACTGAACACTTTCTGAGCCCCATTCATTGAATACTTACTGCCTTTCAATCCCTGATTTAAACAGTTGGCATGCATTATCTCGTGTCATCCTAAAAGCAGCCCCATAAGACAGGTACCATTATTACCCCAATTTTACCCCCAATTTGCTAATCAGCAAACTGAGGCCAGAGAAATGAAATCCCTTATTGTAGCCAATATCCACTATGATTGCCCATGAGTGCATCATTACCCTTCACTTCACTCGGGTCAGAAATTTAACTCATCCTAATCTTCCTTTCATTCCAAATGATAATCTCAAAAACAGCTGTTGAATCTGCCCTCTTCCCCATCCCACAAACTTAAGATCTTCCTTGAAACTTGGATTAGAGATCCCTTCCTCCAACCTTGCCTCCTTCCAATCTCTTCTCCATGTTACTTCTGAGAACCTTTGCCCAAGTAGTTTTGGTCTTCTCAAGCTTCTGGAATAATCTAGGAAAAATATAAGCAAAGCAGGTTTGTAATAACGTGAGAGGTTTAACAACTTTTGTGAAATGTGAAATAAAGACATTCCACAGGAAATAACTATGCAAAGCCTCAAGTATAGCCCAAAGAAATCTAACTGGACTCATGGTTTAGGTAAATTGAAGAAAACTCTTTCCCTAAGGCACAGCAGAAGGGGAGGTTTCTGATGTCCATCTTTTTCAGAGTCATATGTATTCAGGTCCAAGATTTGGCTGGATTTCACTAGTATGCCTGTAATGATTACTAAATATTGGAATATTTCCATACAGTTGCTAAATAGCTATATCTCAAGACATTCGAGTGCCCTCCTCCCATTCTTGCGTCACTACAGTGCCTGTCAGCTTGTTCTGAGTAGTTCATGGGGGTGGGCCCCCTACTGCACAAGTCCACCAACACCCAGCCAGAGAGCTCCTGGGCCCAGATAGGAGAGAGGGCTACCCGGAGTTAGCATTGGCACGTCAGTAGGTAGATGCCTAGAGGCTTCTGGTGTCCCACTGACCTGTGTCCATCACATGGCTGCCTTTGGAAACTCCATCCTCCACAGTACTAGTCAACATTTTTCTCATTGTCTCTTCTTGTGTTAGCTGTTACAGTCATGGCAAATAGCCGAGTATATTCTCAGCAGCTCAGACAGTCGAGAGCAAAAGCTTGTACTTACCTAAATTTTACTCACCAAAGAGGAGTCCACATTCCGATCAGGACCATAAAAGACTCTCGGTAAGAAGGATATACGCTCCCAAAATCAATTAGTTACAGTAAAGGAAGGAGGCCCAACAACAAAGATGGCATGTAGATAAGTAGGCATTCAAATAATTCTGCCTTCAGTAACAGACAAAACTCTAGAAGTGACTGTGGGAGTGAGGGTTGGCGATAGGGAGAATCAAGAGCTTTCCTGCTTACCTAGAGTTTGCTCTATCAGATGAATGTTAATAGCCTCATCCAGGTCACTGCGAATGTCACTAATTCATTCATTTTTATGGCTGAGTATTATTCTATCATAAGTATATTCTAAGTGAAGTAACTCAGGAATGGAAAACCAAACATTGTATGTTCTCACTCATAAATGGGAGCTAAGCTATAGGATGCAACGGCATAAGAATGACAGAATGGACTCAAGGGGAAATGGTGGGAAGAGGGTGAGGGATGAAAGACTACAAATAGGGTGCAGTGTATACTGCTCAGGTGATAGGTGCACCAAAATTTCACAAATCACCACTAAAGAACTTATTTATGTAACCAAACACCACCTGTTTCCCAATAACCTATGGAAATAAAGTATATATATATGTATATATATTTAAAAATGTTAATAGCCTCAAGCCCACTGCTAGTTAATGCTGTAGGCATCTGCCGGTGGGATCTACCTCAACTGTGAGACTAAGACGTCAAGGCCCAGATTAATATCTTTCAGTGCATCCTTCAAATACTTTTGCACACTATTTAAAAGTCTTAAGAATATTATGCAGGGCCATCATTCCCCCCGACAGCTTCATTTCCTGCCTCCTCTGCCCCTTCTTACACCACCTCCCTGCACCACACCCACAATCACCCTACACTCTTACAAGATGGTGCTGTTTGAAGTTTCCTAGAAGTGCCACAATTCTCAGATCTCTGTGTGCTGTAGTCCTTCCTCCAATAGGAATACCTCTTCTTGCCCTCTAGGTTAAGTAGTTCTGGGAAGATTTACTTGGTGACTCCCCCCACCTCCCAATTCCCCCTCCAGTTAGACAACCCTCCTGCGGCAGCCCATGCTCATGAACTACTGGTCTGTCTAGTAGTCGCAATGGCTCTTTCTGCAAAGCTGCCAAGGCTCATACTGGGTGCAGTGACATCAGCCCTGCTCCTTTTCCACATCTCGTTGGCACTGACTCATCTAGAAACAATGATATTTGACAGGGGCCAACTACTAGCAGTCCAAAGGCCAAATCTGGAGGGTGACATATTTGTTTAACAAGCATATTTTATTTTACAGTTTTTAATGTTTTTAAAAATTGCCAGCAATTAACAATCAAGAGATTTTACCTGAACTTCTAGATTTCTAGTCTCTCTCTAAATAAATGTAGACACTGCATTTCCACAAGGCAGTTTCAGCTGGAGGCAGCTTCAGCAGCTGTCCTTGAGTTTGAACATGCACTCTAGTTGCCACAATCTCCAATGCTGAGGCCAAATTTCAATGGCTATTTACCATTGTGCTTACACAGTTGTTTTTCTTAAGATAAAAACAAAAATGAAATACTGCTTGGCCCTGTGTTCTATCAAAAGTGGGAAAATAAGAGAGACTGAAAAGATATATGTTTCAGGAAACATGGGAGAGGGTGTATATATTTACAGATGTGAAGAATATTCTTAGATGTAGGTCTACATAGAACAAGTTCTTCTTAAGTTGCCATAATAACAACAAACCCAGTTTGCTTCATTCATTTAAGTTACCTGCCTAGTCCCCATAGACACTGAGTTGAGACCTTGGTGGGTGTATTACAAACGAGAAAGGCCAACAGTTTCTGGCCAATAAGGAGGCTTTGTATTGGGTGATAGCAAACCAACCCAGTTAGGTCTTCTCATTTCAGAAGTATAAATAGTAGACATTACTGCAGAAAGCAAATTACTTGAGCCAAGAGCGCCTCTTGAATAATCTCAATCTCTTGATTTTTTGGAGAAATCAATTATCTGGTTTAGAAAGAGACAATAGATTCCTCATAAGCCTTCATGTTCTAGCAATAAGCCTCCAGTCATCTGGGTGTATCTCTTCTCTAAGTCCAATACACATCTGCATGCCATGTTGTAATTGTGGCTTTACTGGACTTCCACCCATTCCTAGAGGCTGAGTGCTCCTTCATTCCACAAACGTCTATGGAGAACTCATCATGTGAAAAGTCCTGAGGATATATCTTGGGGAACAACACAAACAAGATTGCCACTCTCATCAATCCTGTAGGCTAGAAGGGAAGGCAGAAAATCCATGTACATAATACATTTTAATAAAGAAAATAAATTGTATAAAGAGTACTGTGGGAGAGTGGAAAAGGGGATGGTCTGGGAAGGGCTGTCTGAGAAAGTAATAGTTAAAAAGTGACCCTTGAGGAATCACCAGACTGTCTTCCACAATGGTTGAACTAATTTACACTCCCACCAACAGTGTAAAAGTGTTCCTATTTCTTCACAGCCTCGCAAGGATCTAGAACCAGAAATACCATTTGACCCAGCAATCCCATTACTAGGTACATACCCAAAGGAATAGAAAACAGTCTACTATAAAGACACATGCACATGTATGTTTATTGCAGCACTATTTACAATAGCAAACACTTGGAACCAAACAAAATGCCCATCAATGATAGACTGGATAAAGAAAATGTCGTACATATACACCATGGAATACTATGCAGACATAAAAAAGAATGAGTTCATATCCTTTGCAGGGACATAGATGAAGCTGGAAGCCATCATTCTCAGCTAACTAACGCAGGAACAGAAAACCAAACACCACATGTTCTCACTCATAAATGAGAGTTGAACAATGGGAACACATGGCCACAGGGAAGGGAACATCACACACTGGGGCCTGTCTTAGGGTGGAGGGCAAGGGGAGGGAGAGCATTAGGACAAATAGCTAATGCATACAGGGCTTAAAACCTAGATGACAGGTTGATAGGTGCAGCAAACCACCACGGCACATGTATACCTATGTAACAAACCTGCACCTTCTGCATATGTATCCCAGAATTTAAGTAAAAATATTTTTTTAAAAAGTGACCCTTGGGAAAAACATGTTCCTGGGAGAGGCAAACACATTTGTATAGATCCCAATGGGAGAACAAGCTTACTGTATTTAAGAAACCAAAAATGGCCTGTGTCATGGGTGTGCAGTGACCATGTGGTAAAATTTAGGTTGGAAGTTAGATAGGAACCAAATTACATAAAACCTTGAAGATCACACTAAAGAGTTGGAATTTTACTATAAGTGTACTGGGAAGTGAGAAAGACAGTCAGGTGCTGGCTAGGCCCTTACAGGTAGGCTGTGATATTCTCCTATTGAACATGAACAATTTCTCATGTTGAACATCAACATCAGGCAGCGCCAGCCTGTGACTGTGACGAATCTAGACAAAAATAAGACAACTCTGTAACCATGAGTGATCATAGACAAAACATGAACATTGTCCAAACCAAAAATGACCAGATGTCATTATTCTGTCATGGCTAACGTGAATGACTACTGATTTTTCCTTTTAATCAGTTTCAGGCTTAGCCTCATTCTAGTCTTCCATTCTTCTAGATGAGATGTATTAAGTTACCTAATCACAGAATTAACACTGCCTTCTTAAACACTACCCCAAATCACATAACACAAGTCCAAGACCTATCCATAGTAAAGTCCCTTCTAACATACTCTTACTGGAACACCCCAGGACTCCCCATGGTATGCAGCCACAAGCAATAAACCCAACTTTTTTTTACTGCAGGTGCATTGCTGGTGGTCTTTAGGTGGAAGGCATTGACAATGTCACTAGAGGATTTTAAGCAGGAGGTAATATAATCTTTTTAAAAAATTATTTCAATTAGAAAACAAATTCTATAGGTCAAGAATGAAAGTAACAAGGCCAGTAAGTGGTTCAGCATCCAGGGAAAGATGATGGTGGATTGGACCAAATGGTAGGGGCTCAGCAGTCAAATGCAAAATATATTTCAGAGATGGTATCCATAGGACTTGCCTACCAAGGAAATGAATATGTAGATCAAGTAGGCAGCCAAAGCCAAAGACCCAAAAATAAAGTAGCCAAAATAAGATAGAAGTCCAATTCTTTTCTGCATAGTTGGTATTGCAGTTCTATGACATTGTGAAGGGTGAAGGCTCCTTCTTTCTTGCTATTCCATTATCCCCCAGGTTCACAATCATTATGTGCATGATCCACAATGACTCACCACCATATTTCCATTCCAGTCAGCAGAAAGGGAGTTAGAGGGAAATAACAGCATGGCTCAGAATAGCACTCAACACTTTTGCTCACATTCCTTTGGGCAAGAATTGGTCCCATGCCCACATCTAGTTGCAAAGAAGTCTGGAAAATAAAGACATACCTCAGATATACTGAAGGTTCAGTTCTCGACTACTGCAACATAAAGCAAGTCACACAAAATTTTGGTTTCCCAATGCATATAAAAGTTATGTTTATCCTATACTGCAGTCTATTAAGTGGCAGTAGCATTATGTCTATGAACACAGATAATGTACATACCTTAATTTAAAAATACTTTATTGCTAAAAAATATTAACAATCATCTGATCCTTCAGTGAGCCATAACTGTTTTTGCTGGTGGAGGATCTTGCCTCAATGTTGATGGCTGCTGACTGATCAGAGTGGTGGTTGCTGAAGATTGGGGTAGCTGTGGCAATTTTATTTTTCTTTCTTTCTTCCTTTGTTTTCTGAGATACAGTCTTATTCTGTTATCCTGGCTGGAGGGCAGTGATGTGTGATCATGGCTCACTGCAACCTTGGCCTCCCAGGCTCAAGCAACCCTCTTGCCTCAGCCTCCCAAGTAGCTGAGACTACAGATATGTGCCACCATGCCCAGCTAGTTATTTATTTTTTAAAATTTATTTATTTTTTGAGATGGAGTTTCATCCTTGTTGTCCAGGCTGGAGTGCAATGGTGTGATCTTGGCTCACTGCAACCTCTGCCTCCTGGGTTCAAGTGATTCTCCTGCATCAGCTTCCTGAGTAGCTGGGATTACAGTCATGCACCACCATGCCCGGCTAATTTTGTATTTTTAGTAGAGACAAGGTTTCTCCATATTGGTCAGGTTGGTCTTGAACTCCTGACCTCAGGTGATCCACCCACCTCGGCCTCCCAAAGTGCTGGGATTATAGGCATGAGCCACCGCGCCCAGCCTTATTTTTTAATATTTTTGTAGAGACAGGGTCCCACTATGTTGCCCCAGCTGGTATCAAACTCCTGGGCTCAAGTGATACTCCCAACTTGGCCTCCCAAAGTTTTGGGATTATAGGTGTTAACCACCACACCTGGCCGTGATTTCTTAAAACAAGACAGCAAATAAATTACTACATTGATGAACTCTTCCTTTCATTAAAGGTTTCTCAGTAGCATATGATACTGTTTGATAGCATTTTTCCCACAGTAGAACTTCTTTCAAAATTAGTCCTCTCAAACCCTGCCTCTGCCTTATCAACTACATTTGTGTAATATTTCTAAATCATTTATAGTTATTTGAACAATGTTCACAACATCTTCACCAAGAGTAGACTGCATCTCAAGAAATCACTTTATTTGCTTATTCATAAGAAGCAATTCCTCATCCTTTCAAGAGTTACCATGAGATTGCAACAATTCAATCACATCTTCACTTCAGGCTCCACTTCTAATTCTAGGTCTCTTGCTATTTTCACCAAATCTGCAGTTACTTCCTTCAGTGAAGTCTTGAATACCTCAAAGTCACCCATGGTGGTTGAAATCAACTTCTTCCAAACTCCTGTTAATGTTGATATTTTGACCTCCTCTCATGAACTGCAAATGTCCTTAATGCCATTAAGAATGGTGGTGAATCCAGCTAAAGCAGTGTTAAGAGGGAAATTTATATCACTAAATGCCCACATCAGAAAGCTAGAAAGATCTCAAATTGACTCCCTAACATCACAGTTAAAAGAACTAGAGAAGCAAGAGCAAAGAAATCCAAAAGCCAGCAAAAGACAAGAAATAACTAAGATCAGAGAAGAACTGAAGGAGATAGAGACACAAAAACCCTTCAAAAACTCAATGAATCCAAGAGCTGGTTTTTTGAAAAAATTAACAAAACAGATAGACCACTAGCTAGACTAATAAAGAAGAAAAAAGAATCAAATAGAGGCAATAAAATATTCTAAAGGGGCTATCACCACTGACCCCACAGAAATACAAACCACCATCAGAGAATAATATAAACACCTCAATGAAAATAAACTAGAAAATTTAGAAGAAACGGATAAGTTCCTGGACATACACCCTCCCAAGACTAAACCAGGAAGAAGTCAAATCCCTGAGCAGACCAATAACAAGTTCTGAAGTTGAGGCAGTAATTAATAGCCTATCAACCAAAAAAAGCCCAGGACCAGATGGATTCCCAGCTGAATTCTACCAGAGTTACAAAAAGAAGCTAGTACCCTTCCTTCTGAAACTATTCCAAACAATTGAAAAGGAGGGACTCCTCCCTAGCTCATTTTATGAGATTAGCATAATCCTGATACCAAAACCTGGAAGAGACACAACAAAAAAAGAAAACTTCAGGCCAATATGAACATCAATGCTAAAATCCTCAATAAAACACTGGCAAACCAAATCCAGCAGCACATCAAAAAGCTTATCCACCATGATCAAGTCGGCTTCATCCCTGAGATGCAAGGCTGGTTCAATATATGCAAATCAATAAATGCGATCCATCACATAAGGAGAACCAATGACAAAAACCACATGATTATCTCAATAATGCTGAAAAGTCCTTTGATAAAATTCAACATGCCTTTCTGTTAAAAACTCTCAATAAACTAAATATTGATGGAACATATCTCAAAATAATAAAAGCTATTTATGAAAAACCCATGGCCAATATCACATTCAATGGGCAAAAGCTGGAAGCATTCCCTTTGAAAACCGGCCCAAAACAAGGATGCCCTCTCTCACTACTCCTATTCAACATAGTATTGGAAGTTCTGGCCAGGGCAATCAGGCAAGAGAAAGAAATAAACGTTTTCAAACAGGAAGAGAGGAAGTCAAATTATCTCTGTTTGCAGATGACATGATTCTATATTTAGAAAACCCCATCATCTGAGCCCCAAAACTCCTTAAGCTGGTAAGCAACTTAAGCAAAGTCTCAGGATACAAAATCAATGTGCAAAAATCACAAGCATTTCTATACACCAACAATAGACAAGCAGAGAGCCAAATCATGAATGAACTCCAATTCACAATTACTACAAAGAGAATAAAATACCTAGGAATACAGTTAACAAGGGATGTGAAGGGCCTCTTCAAGGAGAAATACAAACCACTGCTCAAGGAAATAAGAGAGGACACAAACAAATGGAAAAACATTCCATCCTCATGGATAGGAAGAATCAATATCATGAAAATGGCCATACTGCCCAAAGTAATTTATAGATTCAATGTTATTCCTGTCAAACTACCATTGACATTCTTCACAGAATTATAAAAAAAAAAACTACTTTAAATTTCAAATGGAACCAAAACAGAGCCCTTATAGCAAAGACAATCCTAAGCAAAAAGAACAAAGCTGGAGACATCATGCTACTTGACTCCAAACTATATTACAAGGCTACAGTAATCAAAACAGCATGGTACTGGTACCAAAACAGACATATAGACCAATGGAACAGAACAGAGACCTCAGAAATAACACCACACATCCCCAACCAGCTGATCTTCGACAAACCTGACAAAAACAAACAACAGGGAAAGGATACCCTACTTAATAAATGGTGTTGGGAAAACTGGCTAGCCATATGTAGAAAACTGAAACTGGACTGCTTCTTACACCTTATACAAAAATTAACTCAAGATGGATTAAAGACTTAAATGTAAAACCCAAAACCATAAAAACCGTAGAAGAAAACCTAGGCAATACCTTTCAGGACATAGGTATGGGCAAAGACTTCATGACAAAAATGCCAAAAGCAATTGCAACAAAAGCTAACTAAAGACTTTGCTGAAGTTGCTTATCAGCTTAAGGAGATTTTGGGCTGAGACGATGGGGTTTTCTAGATATACAATCATGTCATCTGCAAACAGGGACAATTTGATTTCCTCTCTTCCTAATTGAATACCCTTTATTTCCTTCTCCTGCCTAATAGCCCTGGCCAGAACTTCCAACACTATGTTGAATAGGAGTGGTGAGAGAGGGCATCCCTGTCTTGTGCCAGTTTTCAAAGGGAATGCTTCCAGTTTTTGCCCATTCAGTATGATATTGGCTGTGGGTTTGTCATAGATAGCTCTTATTATTTTGAGATACGTCCCATCAATACCTAATTTATTGAGAGTTTTTAGCATGAAGGGTTGTTGAATTTTGTCAAAGGACTTTTCTGCATCTATTGAGATAATCATGTGGTTCTTGTCTTTGGTTCTGTTTATATGCTGGATTACATTTATTGATTTGTGTATATTGAACCAGCCTTGCATCCCAGGGATGAAGCCCACTTGATCACGGTGGATAAGCTTTTTGATGTGCTGCTGGATTCGGTTTGCCAGTATTTTATTGAGGATTTTTGCATCAATGTTCATCAAGGATATTGGTCTAAAATTCTCTTTTTTGGTTGTGTCTCTGCCCGGCTTTGGTATCAGAATGATGCTGGCCTCATAAAATGAGTTAGGAAGGATTCCCTCTTTTTCTATTGATTGGAATAGTTTCAGAAGGAATGGTACCAGCTCCTCTTTGTACCTCTGGTAGAATTCAGCTGTGAATCCATCTGGTCCTGGACTCTTTTTGGTTGGTAAGCTATTGATTATTGCCAAAATTTCAGAGCCTGTTATTGGTCTATTCAGAGAGTCAACTTCTTCCTGGTTTAGTCTTGGGAGGGTGTATGTGTCGAGGAATTTATCCATTTCTTCTAGATTTTCTAGTTTATTTGCGTAGAGGTGTTTGTAGTATTCTCTGATGGTAGTTTGTATTTCTGTGGGATTGGTGGTGATATCCCCTTTATCATTTTTTATTGCATGTATTTGATTCTTCTCTCTTTTCTTCTTTATTAGTCTTGCTAGTGGTCTATCAATTGTTGATCCTTTCAAAAAACCAGCACCTGGATTCATTAATTTTTTGAAGGGTTTTTTGTGTCTCTATTTCCTTCAGTTCTGCTCTGATTTTAGTTATTTCTTGCCTTCTGCTAGCTTTTGAATGTGTTTGCTCTTGCTTTTCTAGTTCTTTTAATTGTGATATTAGGGTGACAATTTAGGATCTTTCCTGCTTTCTCTTGTGGGCATTTAGTGCTGTAAATTTTCCTCTACACACTGCTTTGAATGTGTCCCAGAGATTCTGGTATGTTGTGTCTTTGTTCTCACTGGTTTCAAAGAACATCTTTATTTCTGCCTTCATTTTGTTTTGTACCCAGTAGTCATTCAGGAGCAGGTTGTTCAGTTTCCATGTAGTTGAGTGGTTTTGAGTGAGTTTCTCAATCCTGAGTTCTAGTTTGATTGCACTGTGGTCTGAGAGACAGTTTGTTATAATTTCTGATCTTTTACTTTTGCTGAGGAGAGTTTTACTTCCAACTATGTGGTCAATTTTGGAATAGGTGTGGTGTGGTGCTGAAAAAAATGTATATTCTGTTGACTTGGGGTGGAGAGTTCTGTAGATGTCTATTAGGTCCGCTTGGTGCAGAGCTGTGTTCAATTCCTGGATATCCTTATTAACTTTCTGTCTCATTGATCTGTCTAATGTTGACAGTGGGGTGTTAAAGTCTACCATTATTATTGTGTGGGATTCTAAGTCTCTTTGTAGGTCACTCAGGACTTGCTTTATGAATCTGGGTGCTCCTGTATTGGGTGCATATATATTTAGGATAGTTAGCTCTTCTTGTTGAATTGATCCCTTTACCATTATGTGATGGCCTTCTTTGTCTCTTTTGATCTTCGTTGGTTTAAAGTCTGCTTTATCAGAGACTAGGATTGCAACCCCTGCCTTTTTTTGTTTTCCATTTGCTTGGTAGATCTTACTCCACCCTTTTATTTTGAGCCTATGTGTGTCTCTGCACATGAGATGGGTTTCCTGAATACAGCACACTGATGGGTCTTGACTCTTTATCCAATTTGCCAGACTGTGTCTTTTAATTGCAGCATTTAGTCCACTTACATTTAAAGTTAATATTGTTATGTGTGAATTTGATCGTGTCATTATGATGTTAGCTGGTTATTTTGATCATTAGTTGATGCAGTTTCTTCCTAGCCTAGATGGTCTTTACAATTTGGCATGATTTCGCAGTGGCTGGTACTGGTTGTTCCTTTCCATGTTTAGTGCTTCCTTCAGGAGCTGCTGTCTGATTGTTCCTCTGGAAGTTTTGTCTCAGAGGAGTACCCGGCCGTGTGAGGTGTCAGTCTGCCCCTACTGGGGGGTGCCTCTCAGTTAGGCTGCTTGGGGGTCAGGGGTCAGGGACCCACTTGAGGAGGCAGTCTGCCCATTCTCAGATCTCCAGCTGCATGCTGGGGGAACCACTGCTCTCTTCAAAACTGTCAGATAGGGACATTTAAGTCTGCAGAGGTTACTGCTGTCTTTTTGTTTGTCTGTGCCCTGCCCCCAGAGATGGAGCCTACAGAGGCAGGCAGGCCCCCTTGAGCTGTGGTGGGTTCCTCCCAATTCGAGCTTCCCAGCTGCTTTGTTTACCTAAGCAAGCCTGCGCAATGGCAGGCGCCCCTCCCCCAGCCTCGCTGCCACCTTGCAGTTTGATCTCATACTGCTGTGCTAGCAATCAGTGAGACTCCGTGGGCATAGGACCCTCCGAGCCAGGTGTGGGATATAATCTCCTGGTGCGCCATTTTTTAAGCCCATCAGAAAAACACAGTATTAGGGTGGGAGTGACCCGATTTTCCAGGTGCTGTCTGTCACCCATTTCTTTGACTAGGAAAGGGAACTCCCTGACCGCTTGTGCTTCCTGAGTGAGGCAATGCCTCACCCTGCTTCGGCTTGCGCATGGTGCGCTGCACCCACTGTCCTGTGCCCACTGTCTGGCACTCCCTAGTGAGATGAACCCAGTAACTCAGATGGAAATGCAGAAATCAACCGTCTTCTGTGTTGCTCATGCTGGGAGCTGTAGACCAGAGCTGTTCCTATTCGGCCATCTTGGCTCCAGCACACCAGCACAATCTTTAATAAATAATTTTTGTTGTCTATGGCTGGGGACATGGGAGAGGAGTTCTGAGTCCTCTGATATTTTGGTTCTTTTTTGTCTTACAAGACCCTAAAGTAATACATTATAGGAGACATTTTATGTCTATAAGATTTATGATGGCCATCAGGCCACTGTAGTATCTTCTAGAAATTTTATAGTTGTATATTTGATGTTTAGGTCTAAGATCCACTTTGAGTTATTTTTTCATGAAACATATGAGGTCTATGTCTAGATTCATTTTGTTTTGTTTTGTTTTACTTGTGGATATGCAATTGATCCAGCACCACTTGTTGAAAAGACTATCCTATCACTATTGAATTGCCTTTGCTCCTTCATCAAAGATCAGTTGACTTTGTGTGGGTCTATTTCTGGGCTCTCTAATCTGTTCATTCATCGATTTGTCTATTCTTTCACCAACACCACACTGTACTGATTACTGCAGCTTTATATTAAACCTTGAAGTTGGGTAGTATCGATCCTCCGACTGTCCTTCTTCTCCCATATTGTCTTGGCTATTCTTTGTCATCTACATTGCCATATAAACCTTATAACTAATTTATTGACATCCATCAAACAGCCTGCTAGAATTTTGATTTGGATTGCATTGAATCTAAAGCTCAACTCAGGAAGAACTGATATCTTAACTGTATTGAGTCTTTCTATATCAGGGGAAATTCAGCCAGATATCAGGCAAAATTCACCCCCGATATTTCATGTAGGTTCTTTTCTATTTTCCATAAGTGTCACCCGGTCTGAGAAATAAAGGGACAGAGTACAAAAGAGAGAAATTTTAAAGCTGGGTGTCTGGGGGAGACATCACATGTTGGCAGGTTCCGTGATGCCCCTGAGCCATAAAACCAGCAAGTTTTTATTAGTGATTTTCAAAAGGGGAGGGAGTGTACGAATAGGGTGTGGGTCACAGAGATCATGTGCTTCACAAGGTAATAGAATATCACAAGGTAAATGGAGGCAAGGCGAGATCACAGGACCAGGGCAAAATTAAAATTGCTAATGAAGTTTCGGGCATGCATTGTCATTGATAACATCTTATCAGGAGACAGGGTTTGAGAGCAGACAACCAGTCTGACCAAAATTTATTAGGCGGGAATTTCCTCATCCTATTAAGCCTGGGAGCACTACGGGAGACTGGGGCTTATTTCATCCCTACAGCTTTGATTGTAAAAGACAGCCACCCTCAAAGCAGCCATTTTAGAGGCCTACCCTCAGGGACGCATTCTCTTTCTCAGGGATGTTCCTTGCTGAGAAAAAGAATTCAGTGATATTTCTCCCATTTGCTTTTGAAAGAAGAGAAATATGGCTCTGTTCTGCCTGGCTCACTGATGGTCAGAGTTTAAGGTTATCTCTCTTGTTCCTTGAACATTGCTGTTATCCTGTTCTTTTTTCAAGGTGCCCAGATTCCATATTGTTCAAACACACATGCTCTACAAACAATTTGTGCAGTTAACGCAATCATCACTGGATCCTGAGGTGACATACATCCTCCTCAGCTTACGAAGATGACAGGATTAAGAGATTAGAGTAAAGACAGGCATAGGAAATCACAAGGGTATTGACTGGGGAAGTGATAAGTGTCCATGAAATCTTCACAATTTATGTTCAGAGATTGCAGTAAAGACAGGCGTAAGAAATTATAAAAGTGTTAATTTGGGGAACTAATAAATGTCCACGAGATCTTCACAATTCATGTTCTTCTGCCGTGGCTTCAGCCGGTCCCTCCACTGGGGGTTCCTGACTTCCCGCAACATTTCTAACCATAATTACGGAATGTTTCTTCATTTATTTAGATCTTTTTTGACTTCCTTCTTCAGAGTGTTGTAGTTTGTCTCACATAGATATTGTACATATTTTGTTATAACAATTTCATTTTGGGGGGTTGATAGTGTAAATGGTATCATGTCTTAAATTTTAAGTTATACTTTTGTATTGTTGTAATAGTAGATAGGAAAGCAGTGGACTTTTGCACATTAACCTTGTATCCTACATTAACCTTGTATCCTACAAACTTGTTATAATTTCTTATTAGTTCTAGCAGGGTGCTTTTTGTTGTTGATTATTTGGGATTTTCTACATACGCAATGATGCTATTTGAAAAAAAGAGACAGTTTTATTTACTTATTTCAAGACTGCATGCCTGTTTATCTTTATTTCCCTTTTTTTTTTTTGTCTTACTGCATGAGCTAGAACTTCTAGTACAATGTTCAATAGGAGTAGTGAGAGGGGGTATCCTTGCCAAGTTTCTAATCAGGAGGAAAGCACAAAGTTTCACAGTTGAGTGAGATATATATATATATATATCTCACAGTTGAGTTAGATATATATATATGTATCTCTCTCACAGTTGAGTGAGATATATATATATATATCTCACAGTTGAGTGAGATATATATATATCTCTCTCACAGTTGAGTGAGATACATACATATATATCTCTCTCACAGTTGAGTGAGATACATATATATATATGTATCTCACAGTTGAGTGAGATACATATATATATATCTCACAGTTGAGTGAGATACATATATATATATCTCACAGTTTCTTTATCCACTCATTGATTGATGGGCATTTGGGTTGGTTCAATGTTTTTGAAATTGCAAATTGTGCTGCTGTAAACATGTGTGTGCAAGTATCTTTTTCATATAATGACTTCTATTCCTCTGGGTAGATACCCAGTAGCAGGATTGCTGGATCAAATGGTAGTTCTACTTTTAATTCTTTAAGGGATCTCCACACTGTTTTCCATAGTGGTTGTAGGAATGTGCCAAGTTTCTCACCATTAAGCATGGTGTTAGCAGTAGGTATTTTGTTGATGTCCTTTTGCAAGTTTGGAAAGTCTCTCTCTATTCCTGGTTTGCTGAGAGTTTTTGTCATAAATTGGTGTTAGATTTTGTCAAATACTTTTTCTGCATCTATTGATATTATCATGTAATTTTTTTTTGCTTTAGTCTGTTGATGTGATGGATTAACTGATTTTTGAATGTTGGACCAGCCTCACATACCTAGAGTAAATCACATTTGGTCATGACATATAGTTCTTTTTGTACATTGTTGGGTTCATTTTTCTCATACTTTGTTGAAAAGTTTTGCATCTTTGTTCATGAGAAATATTGGTCTATAGTATTTTTTTTGGTAAGGTTTTTGTCTGGTTTTGGTATTGAGGTAATGCTGACCATGTAGAATGAGTTAGGAAGTGCTCTGTCTGCTTCCATTCTCTAAAAATGATTGCAGAGAATTGAGATACATTCCATTTAAATGTTTGGTAGAATTCAACTGTTTGAATTCTACCAAATGTTTGGTGCTTCCTGTTTTGGAAGGTGATTAATTACTGATCATTTTATTTAACAGGTATAGGCCTTCTCAGATTATCCATTTTTCCTCATGTGAATTTTGGTAGGTTGTGTCTTTCAAGGAATAGGTCCGTTTTATCTAAGTTTTCAGATTTGTGGGCATAGAGTTGTTTGTGATATTCTTTTATTATCCTTTCAATGGCCGTGGGATCAGTGGTGATAACCCTTCTTTTATTTCTAGTACTAATAATTTATATCTTCTCCCTTTTTTTTCTCAGTTAGCCTGGCTAGAAGTTTATTAATTTATTGATCCTGTCAAATAAGCAGCTTTTTGTTTCATTGGTTTTCTCTACTTATTTCCTGTTCTTAACTTCACTGATTTCTGCTCTATTTATTATTGATTTTCCTCTCCTTACTTTGGATATAATTTGCTATTTTTTTCTGGTTTCCTAAGGTGGAAACTTAGAGCATTGACTTTTAGATCTCCTGAATGTTCTAATATATGCTTTTAATGTGAGAAATTTCCCTTGAAGCACTTCCTGCATTGCATCCCTCGATTTAGATCAATTGTGTTTTCATTTCCATTTAGCTTAAACAATTTTTAAATGTCTCTTAAGACTTCTTAAACTCGTGTTATTTAAAAGTATGTTGTTTAATTTGGAGATATTTCCAGCTATCTTTCTGTTATTGATTTCTAGCTTAATTTCATCATGATCTGAGAGCATGCTTTGTATGATTTCTATTCATTTAGATTTGTTAATGTGTGTTTATGGCCTCAAAATGGTCTATTAAGGTGAATGTTCCATGTGAACTTGAAAAGATTGTTGTATTAGTCCATTTTCACATTCCTATAAAGATATTACCCAAGGCTTGGTAATTTATAAAGGAAAGAGATTTAATTGACTCACAGTTCCGCATGGCTGGGGAGATCTCAGGAAACTTGTAATCATGATGGAAAGGGAAGCAGGCACCTTCTTTACAAGGCAGCAGGAGAGGGAGAAGAGTGAAGGAGGAACTTCCAAACACTTATAAAACCATAGCATCTCATGAGGACTCATTCATTATCATGAGAACAGCATATGAGAAATCACCCCCATGATCCAGTCACCACCCACCTTGTCCCTCCCTTGATACTTGGGGATGACAGTTCAAGATGAGATTTGGGTGTGGACACAGGAACAAACCATATCAAATGTGTATTCTGCTGTTGTTCTATAAATGTCAATTAGATCCAGTTGATTGATGATGCTGTTCAGTTCAACTATATCCTTACTGATTTTTTTTGACTACTGAAGCATCTATCAATTAATGATGGAGGGCTGTTGAAGTCTCCAACTATAAAAATGGATTTGTGTATTTCTCCTTGACATTCACTTAGTTTTTACCTCACATATTTCAACACTTTTAATTTATCTGTGTCTTTAAACTGGGATTCTTGCAGACAACAAACAGTTGGGTATCAGCTTTTTATCTACTCCAACAGGCTGTCTTTGAATTGCATTTTAACCATTCACATTTAAAGTGATTTTGATATTGTTGGATGAATACTTACCATATTTGTAGTTGTTTTTTATTCATCACCCTTGTTCTTTGTTTCCTTTTTGTCTTCCATTATTTTCCTGCCTTCTCTTGTTTTAACTGAGCATTTTGTATGATTTTAATTTCTCTCCTGTCATCTTAGATTATCAAATTAAACTTTAAAAAATATTAGTGGTTACCCTATAGTTTGCAATATATATTTACAACTAATCTAAGTCCACTTTCTTTTTTTTTTTTTTTTTTTTTTTTTTTGAGACGGAGTCTTGCTCTTTCACCCAGGCTGGAGTGCAGTGGCACAATCTCAGCTCACTGCAAACTCTGCCTCCTGGGTTCACGCCATTCTCCTGCCTCAGCCTCCCGAGTAGCTGGGACTACAGGCACCCGCTGCCACGCCCGGCTAATTTTTTGTATTTTTTTAGTGGAGACAGGGTTTCATCATGTTAGCCAGGATGGTCTTGATCTCCTGACCTCGTGATCCGCCCGCCTCGGCCTCCCGAAGTGCTGGGATTACATGCGTGAGCCACTGCACCTGGCCAGTCCACTTTCAAATAACACTATAGCACTTAACAGGTAAGGCAGGTACTTTATAACAGAATATTCTCAGTTCCCCTCTCTCATCCTTTATTACATTGCTTTCATTAATTTTACTTACCTATAGGCTATAATCACCCAATACATTTTGTTGCTATTATTATTATGAGCAAACTATTATCTGTTAGATCAATTAAAATAAGAAAAAAAGTTTTATCTTCATTCTTTCCTTGTCTAAAGTTCTTTCTTTATGTAAAACCAAGTTTCTGACCTATATCATTTTTCTTCTCTCTGAAGAACTTTTATGAATATTTCTTGTAAAGCATTTTTACTGTGATACATTCCTTCATTTTTTGTTTTTCTAAGAAAGTATTTCTCCTTCACTTTTAAAGGATAATTTCACAGGGTGCAGAATTCTATATTTTTTTCAAGACTTCATTTTATGCCACTCTTCTGTTTCTTTGCATAGTTTCTTTTTTTTAAATTATTTCCATAGGTTTTTGGGGAACAGGTGGTGTTTGGTTACATGAGTAGGTTCTTTAGTGGGGATTTGTGAGATTTTGGTGCACCCATCACCTGAGCACTACACACTGCACCCTGTTTTAGTCTTTTATCCCTCACTCCCTTCCCACCCCTTCCCCCTGAGTCCCCAAAGTACATTGTGTCATTCTTATGCCTTTGCATGCTCATAGTTTAGCTCCCACTTATGAGTGGGAACATATGATGTTTGGTTTTCCATTCCTGAGTTACTTCACTTAGAATAATAGTCTCCAGTCTTGTCAAGGTCGCTGCAAATGCCATTAATTCATTCCTTTTTATGGATGACTAGTATTCTATCATATATATATATATATATATATATGATGTGTATATAATACATATATATGTATATAATACATACATATATGTATTACATATATGTACACATATATACATATATATATATATATGTATGTATTACGGGAGAGATGAGGATCCAGTTTCATTCTCCTACATGTGGCTAGCCAATTATCCCAGCATCATTTGTTGAAAAGGGTGTTTTTCCTCTCTTTATGTTTTTGTTTGCTTTGTCAAAGTTCAGTGGGTTGTAAGTATTTGGGTTTATTTCTGGGTTCTCTATTCTGTCCCATTTGTCTACATGCCTATTTTTATACCAGTATCATGCTGTTTTGGTGATTATGGCATTATAGTGTAGTTTGAAATCATGTAATGTGATGCCTCCAGGGGAAGCTGAAATTATATCAAGCACTCTCTTAGACCACAGTGGAATAAATCTGGAAATCAACTCCAAAAGGAACCTTCAAAACCATGCAAATACATAGAAATTAAATAACCTGATCCTGAATGATCATTGGGTCAAAAATGAAATCAAGATGGAAATTTAAAAATTCTTCAAACCAAACGACAATAATGACACAACCTATCAAAACCTCTGGGATACAGCAAAGGCAGTGCCAAGAGGAAAGTTCATAGCCCTAAACACCTACATCAAAAAGTCTGAAAGAGCACAAACACACCATCTAATGTCACACCTCAAGGAACCAGGGAAACAAGAACAAACCAAACACAAAACCAGCAGAAGAAAGGAAATAACCAAGATCAGGGCAAAACTAAATGAAATTGAAACAAACAAAGAAACAAACAAATACAAAAGATAAATGAAACAAAAAGCTGGTTCTTTGAAAACATAAATAAAACTGATAGACCATTAGCAAGATTAACCAAGAAAAGAAGAGAGAAAATAAAAATAAGCTCAATAAGAGATGAAACAGGAGATATTACAATGGACACTTCAGAAATACAAAAGATTATTTACGGCTACTATCAACACCTTTACGCACATAAACTAGAAAACCTAGAAGTGATGGATAAATTCCTGGAAAGATACAACCCTCCTAGCCTAAATCAGGAAAAATTAGATATGCTGGGCAGACCAATAACAAGCAGTAAGATTAAAATGATAATTAAAAATTACTACCAAGAAAAAATCCAGGACCAGACAATTCACAGCTGAATTCTACCAGACATTCAAAGAACTGGTACCAGTCCTATTGACACTATTCACAAGATAGAGAAAAAGGGAACCCTCACTAAATCATTCTATGAAGCTAGTATGACCCTAATACCAAAACCAGGAAAGGACATAAGCAAAAGAGAAAACTAGAGTCCAATATCCCTGATGAACATAGATGCTGAAATCCTTAACAAAATAGTAGCTAACTGAATCCAACAACATATCAAAAAGAAAATCCACCATGATCCAGTAGGTTTCACACCAGGGATGGTTTAACATACGCAGGTCAGTAAATGTGATACACCACATAAGCAGAATTAAAAACAAAAATAGACGATCATCTCAATAGATGCAGAAAAAGCATTTTACGTAATCCAGCATCACTTTATGATAAAAATTCTCAGTAAAATCAGCATACAAGGGACAGACCTCAATGTAATAAAAGCCATCTATGACAAACCTACAGCCAACATAATACTGAAAGTTGAAATCATCCCCTCTGAGAACTGGACCAAGACAAGGATGCCCACTCTCACCACTCCTCTTCAACATAGTATTGGAAGTCCTAGCCAGAGCAATCAGACAAGAGAAAGAAATAAAGGGCATCCAAATCAGTAAAGAGGAAGTCAAACTCACTGTTTGCTGATGATGTGATTTTTTTTACTTAGAAAACCCTAAAAACTCCTCCAGAAACCTCCTAGAACTGATAAAAAAAATTCAGCAAAGTTTCCAGATACAAAATTAATGTACACAAATCAGTAGCTGTTCTATATACCAACAGGGACCAAGCTGAGAATCAAATCAAGAACTCAATTCCTTTTACAATAACTGAAAAAAAAAAAGAAAAAAGAAAAAGAAGAACAACTTAGGAATATACCTAACCAAGGAGGTGAAAAATCTCTATAAAGAAAACCACAAAACACTGCTGAAAGAAATCATAGATGACACAAACAAATGGAAACACATCACATGCTCATGGTTGGGTAGCATCAATATCGTGAAAATGATCATATAGCCACAAGCAGTCTACAAATTCAATACAATTCTCATCAAAATACCACCATCATTCTTAATGGAATTAGAAAAAACAATTCTAAAATTCACATGGAACCAAAAAAGAGCCCGCATATCTAAAGCAAGTCTTTTCATGGTTTCTGAATAGAAGTCTGATAGAATTCTTATCTTCATTTGTCTCTAAGTAAGGTATTTTCCCCCCCCTCAGGCTTCTTTTAAGATTTTTTTTTGTCTTTGATTTTTTGAAGTTTGAATATGATAAACCTACATGCAGTTGTAGATTTTTTAGTATTTATCCTTCTTGGTGTTGTTTTGAGCTTCTAAGATCTGTAGTTTGGTATCTGCTGTTAATTTTGGAAAAATTTTAGCCATTATTATTTTAAATATTTTTTCTGTTCCTTTTCCTCTCTCTTCTTCTTTTACTAATCCTATTACATGTAATGAAATGTAGACCTTTTGTAATTGCTTCACAGTTTTTGGATATTCTTTTTTTTTTAAATTTGTTCTTCTCTTTTCAGTCTGAAAAGTTTCTATTAACATATCTTCAAGCTTACTTGAAGATTCCTTCCTTGGCCATGCCCAGTCCTTTGATCATCAAAAACAATCATCAAAAGCATTCTTCATTTCTGCTACAGTGTTTTCGATTTCTAGCATTTCCTCTTGATTCTTTCTTAGAGTTTCTCTCTCTTGGTTTACATTACCCATCCATACTTGACTGCTGTCCACTGTTTCCATTACAGCTCTGGGCATATTAGTCATAGTTATTTTAAATTCCTGACCTGATCACCTAAAATTCCTGTCATATTCGAGTCTGCATCTGATTCCTGCTTGATTCTCTACAGTGTGTTTTTGCCTTTTGGTATGCCTTGTAAATTTTTTTGAAAGCCAAACCTAATATATTGAGTAAAACGAAGTGATGAGTTTTTGTTTATCTGGCTAGGGTTTTGGCTGTGTTTGTTTGCCGTAGCTATGGTTTAAGCCCAGTTTTTTGAGGGTTTTATCATGAAGATATGTTGACTTTTTTTTTTTTTTTTTTTTTTGAGACTGAGTTTCACTCTTGTTGCCCAGGCTGGAGTGCAATGGCGCGATCTCAGCTCACCGCAACCTCCGCCTCCCAGGTTCAAGCAATTCTCCTGCCTCAGCCTCCTGAGTAGCTGGGATTACAGGCATGCACCACCATGCCCAGCTAATTTTTTTTTTTTTTGTATTTTTAGTAGAGATGGGGTTTCTTCATGTTGAGGCTGGTCTCGAATTCCCGATCTCAGGTGATCCGCCCACCTCAGCCTCCCAAAGTGCTGGGATTACAGGCGTGAGCCACCGCGCCCGGCCGATATGTTGACTTTTATCAAATGTTTTTACAGCATCAATTGAATTGAATTTTTGTTCTTCATTCTGCTGCTAAAATGTTATCACATTGATTGATTTGTGTATGTTGAACCATTCTTGCATCCCAGGGATAAATCCCATTTGGTCATGATGAATGAACTTTTTAATGTGTTGTTGAATATCCTTTTTTGGGCTATTTTAAAAATAATTCATTGTGTAAAAACTTGGGTTTGCTGCTGATAGCCTTTTGAACTCTACAGCCTGTGGCTGGGGGAGAGTCATGCAAGCACTCCCTTAGCTGCTTTGGCTGGTGTCCTGGTAGGTCATGTGCCCCCCAGTCCACTGGCTCTGAGTCCTGCTCAGCAGCAGGACTCACGTAGGAGTTGCAGTCCTTGTGACCTAGTCTGAGTTTCAAGTTGACTTAGGATGCCAGAATACTTTAGCCTGGTGGTGAGGCTTGTCGGAACTCAAGTTCTGGCTGCTTGGATATGCAACTCCCCTCTGGCTAGAGCTAGTATATATGCTCCCTCTGTGGGTGGGCACCAGCTGAGTTACGCTAGTTTTGCTTTCCACTGTGACAGAGCAGCACTGAGTTTAACGCAAAGTCTAATAATTGCTGTGCTTTTCCTCCCCAAGCACACAGATCCTTTTCTCTGTGCCATGTGGAGGATGGCAGAGAGGAGGAATCAGCAATTCAAGACTGTCTTTCCTACCCCCTTCAGTGCCTCTTTCAGTAATATGAAGCTAAAATCAGGTACTCTGAGTGCTCACCTGATTTTTGTGATTTTTAGTTGTTATGAAGGTTCTTTTTTTGTGTGTAGATAGTTGTTAAATTTGGTGTTCCAGTGGAGCCTTCTATTTGTCATCTTGCTCCCCACCCTTCTGCGGGATATCTTTTTACCCACTAAATAGTGTCATTTGATGCACAAAAGTTTTTAATTTTGATGAAGACCATTTTACCTATTTTTTCTTTTGTTGCTTGTGCTTTTCATGTTATATATAAGAAATCATAGTGAAATCCAAGTAACAAAGATTTAGCCTTATGTTTTCTATTAAGGGTGTTATAGTTTACTTCTTACATTTGGATCTTTGATTCATTTTGAACTTATACTTACATATGAGGTGATGTAAGGGTCTAACTTCATTCTTTTGCATGTGGTTATCAAGTAGTTCCAGCATCATTTGTTGAAGAAACTCTTCTCTCCCCATTAAATGGTCTTGCTACCATTGTTAAAAATCAATTGATCATACATGTATAGGTTTATTTCTGATTTACTTATAGTCTCATTTATTTCTCAATTATATTCCATTATCTATGTCTATCTTTATGCCAGTTCCACACTGTTTCGTTTCTTGTCTCTTTACTAAGTTTTTAAATAGGAACATGTAAGTCCTCTAACTCTGTTTCTTTTTTTTTTTTTTCAAGATTGTTTTGGCTATTGGGGTCTCTTGCAATTTTGTATAAATTTTAGAATCACGTTTTCATTGGGGTTTTGATAGGAATTGTATTGAAGCTGTAGATCACTTTGGGTATCCCCTGCCAAAATTCATATTTCAAAATACGAACTCCCAATGTGATGGCATTAGGAAGTGGTGCCTTTGGGAGGTAATTAGATCATGAGGGCTCCACCCTCATGAATGGGGTTAGTGCCCTTATAAAAAGACACACAAACTTATTCTCTGTCTCTGCTCTTCAGCATGTGGAAGATACAAGAAAATTGCCATTTGCAGACCAGAAAGTGAGCCCTCAGCAGGTACTGGATCTGCTGGCACCTTGATCTTGAACTGTCTAGCATTCAGAACTGTGAGAAGAAATGTTAGTTGTTTAAGCTATCCGGTCTACAATAATTTGCTACAGCAGTCCAAACTGACTAAGACAGAAAGTATTGCCATCTTAACAATATTAAGTCTTTCAATCCATGTACATGAGATATCTTTCCATTAATTTAGGTCTTTAACTTCTTTCAATAATACTTGGTAGTTTTCAGTGTGTTAAAGTTTCACTTCCTTGGTTAAATTTATTCCTAAGAGCTTGTTCTTTCTGGTGCTGCTTAAATAATTTTCTTAATTTCATTTTCTAATTGTTCATTGCTAGTGTGTAAGAAAACTAGATTTTTATATGTTGATTTTGTATACTGCAACTACTGAAATCATTTATTAGCTCTAATAGATTTTTGGAGAATTCTTTAATATTTTCTATGTGAAAGATGATGTCATCTGTGAATATAGATATTTTTACTCCTTCTTTTTTGATTTGGATGCCTTTTGTTTCTTTTTCTTGTCTAACTGACTTGGCTATCAATTTCAGTACAACGTTGAATATAAGTGTCAAGATAAGACATCCTTTTCTTGTTCCTGATATTACGGGAAGAGCTTTCAGTCTTTTACCAGTATGATTTTTTCATACTTTCATTATTTTTTTCATTAATGCCCTTTAATTAGTTTGGAAGTTCCTTTCTATTTCCAGTTTGTTGAGTGTTTTAAAAATCATAAACATATACTGGATTTTTTCAAATGCTTTTTCTGTGTCAATTGAGGTAATCATGTCAGGGGTGTTTCCCCCTCTTTGTTCTGTTACTATGGTGTGTGTATTGGTTCAAATACTATCCCCCCAAAATTTATCCACTCAGAACCTCAGAATGTGACCTAATTTTGAGTATGGTCTTTGCAGATATAATTAGTTAGGGATCAAGATGAGATCATACTTAGTTAAGGTGTCCTTATAAGAAGAGGAGAGGACACACAGAGATGGAGATGTGGGCTGTGTGAAGACAGCCAGACATTGGAGTGATGGCTAAGAATGCCAAAGATTGCTGGGAGCCACCAAAAGTAGGGAAATATTTCTTCTCTATTGCCTTCAGTGGGAGCAAGACCATGCCAACAACTTGATTTCAGACTTCTAGCCTCCAGAACTATAAAACAGTACATTTTTATTGTTTTAAGCCATTCAATGTGTGGTAATTCATTTCACCAGAAACTAATACAGTATATTACATTGGTTTTCCTGTTTTAATTTACCGTTGCATTCCTGGGACAAATCCCACTTGGTCATGGTGTATAATTCAGTATGCTGCTGGATTGAATTTGCTAGTATTTTTTTTATAGATTTTTTGCATTTATATTCATAAGGGATATTGGTTTGTAGTTTTCTTCTGATGTCTTTGGCTTTGGAATTAGGACAATACTTTCCTCATAGAATTAGTTAGGAAATAATCTCCTTTGATGTTTTGGAAGAGATTGAGACATACTAGTTTTAGAAAGATAAGCTCTTTTTTAAGTATTTGGTAGAGTTCACTAGTGCAACCATCTGGTCCTGAGCTTTTCTTTTTGAAAGTTTTTTTGATTACTGATTTGATTCCCTCTTTTAAAGCTCTATTGAGTTTTTTTTTTATTTCTTCTTGAATAAGTTTTCGTAGTTTGATTCTAGGAATTTGACTATGTCATCTAGTATACATAATTTGTAATTGTTTATAGCGTTCTCTCATAACCCCTTTTACTTCTATAAGATTGACAGTATTGTCCCTACTTCCATTCCTTATTTTAGTAATTTGAGTCTTTTCTCCTTTTTCCTTGATCAGTCTAGCTAAAAGTTTATTAATTTTGATTTTTTCAAAGAACAAACTTTAGGTTCCATAGATTCCATTGTTTTCGTGTTCTCAATTTCATTTGTTTTTGTTCTCATCTCTTATTTTCTTCCTTCTGCTGGCCGTGGATTTAGCTTTTTAGTTTTCTCTTCTTGTTTTAGTTCCTCAAAGTATAAAGTTAGGTTATTAGTTTGAGAGCTTTCTTTTTTAAAATGTAGGCATCTCCAAATATAAATTCCCCACTGAGGGCTTTTGCTTTCGCTACACTTAACAAGTTTTGTTATTGTTGTGTTTTCATTTTCACTCATTTTAAAATATTTTAAAATTCATCTTCAAAATATTTCCCTAGTGATTTCTTCTTTGATTCATCTGCTGTTTAAAGAGTGTATTGTTTTATTTCTACATAGTATTTGTGAATTCTCCAGATTTTCTTGTTGTTGATTTTTAATTTCATTCCATTGTAGTCGAGATACTTTTTCAACTTTTAAAATTTATTGAGACCAGATTTGTGGCATAACATTGGTCTGTTTTGCACAATGTTCTGTGTACACTTAAGAAGGTGTATTCTCCTTTGGGTGGAGTATGCTACATATTTCTTTAGGTCTAATTGCTTTATAGTGTTATTCTGAACGTTTCTGTGAGGATGTTTTTGGGTGAGATCAGCATTTAAATCAGTGGACTTAAAGCAGATTGCCTTCTCTAATGTGAATGGGTTTCATCCAATGAATTGAAGTCCTAGATGGAAAGACTCACCTACCCCAGCAAAGGGAAATTCTGATGCAGACAGCCTTTGAACTTGAACTGCAGTGGCAGTTATCTCCCTGGGTCTTTAGTGTGATGGCTTTCGGACTTGAACTCATCAGCTCTTCCCTTCCCTGGTCTCCAGTCTGCTGGCCCACCCTACAAGTTTGGACTTGCCCCCACAACCATGTGAACCAATTCTTGAAAGTAAATCTTTATATACACACACATCCTATTGGTTCTATTTCTCTGGAAAACCCTAATTCTCCTACCTATAGAATATATGAAATTGTTGTAAAACTATAATCATTTAAATGAAAGAGTATTTGGAAAGTTTAGAATTAAATCTATCTATCTATCTATCTATCTATCTATCTATCTATCATCTATGTATGTATATATGCAGATGCTCCTTGACCTACAACGGGGTTACAATTCGATATACCCATAAGTTGAAAATATTAAGTCAAAAATGCATTTAATACACCTAACCTAATGAACATTATAGCTCAGCCTAGCCTGCCTTAAATGTGCTCAGAAAACTTACATTGGTTTACTACTGGGCAAAATCATCTAACACAAAGTCTATTTTGTCATAAAGTGTTGAATATCTTATGTGATTTATTGAGTACTGTACTGAAAGTGAGAAACAGAATGGTCATATGGGTACTTGAAGTACAGTTTCTACTGAATGCATACTGTCTTTGTACCACTGAAAAGTCGAAAAATCATTAAGTCAAACCATTGTTATGTCAGAGACCATCTGTATATGTACATATAATTAACCATAAAATTATATATAAAATTATACATAAGGGAATTAAGAATTCCTGAGGTTTCTTTTTTCCTCTTATTTATTTCCCCCACTTTTTTTTGAGACAGGGTCTTGCTGTGTTGCCCAGGCTGGAGTGCAGTAGTATGATCACAGCTCAACTACAGCCTCGACCTCCTTACTGGGCTCAGATGATCCTATCACCTCAGCCTCCAGAGTAGCTGGGACTACAGGTGTGCACCATCATGCCCAGCTAATTTTTTGTATTTTTTTGTAGATATGGGGTTTTGCCATGTAGCCCAGGCTGGTCTCGAATTCCTGGGCTCAAGCGATCCACCCGCCTCAGCCTCCCAAAGTGCTTTTTACTCCCTTTTGATAACATCCTGTTACCTATAGAGAGTAAGAAATTTAAGGATAAATCACTGCAGTTTTATTTAAAATTTTAGACAAAATTTAAATCATGTATATAAATACAAAGATGAACATTGGTTCTTTAAACACTGACAAAATCCTGAAACAATATAATGTATATATTTTAAGCCACATTTCCTATTTTTACAACATAGTTTACAACCTTCCCATTTTTACAACATAGTCTAAAACTAAGTTTATAAAAAAAAGTACATAGGAAAATATGATTGAAGCATTCTCAAATACATGGCTCTGAGGGTAGATTACTTGTTTTTTATCATTTAATCCATATACAATGCAGCAAATAGATACATTAATTATAACATTTTCCTTCAATTAATAGTTTATTCACTGTCATAGAAGCTCCATGAAGGGGCATCACTTAAGAAGCTCTCCAGGTTAGAGTCAAGCAAATTCTGAACACTTGGTCAAAGGCACATGAAAATGCCAGGTCCTGGCACAATGAGTAAATAACCCAGAAGGTGATATATGTCAGATCAAGACAATCTTAAGCACCATAGTAACTTTTGAGGCAAGTGGCACCGTACTCTTATTAAAGACAAGTCTTTACTGTTGAGGGCACTGGGTCTCTGGAGTAGATTTAGAAGACACATATAGAATAGGGTGTAATTTCTTACAAGTTTCTTTTTCCAATTTGCTTGAAGTTTCTTTTCCTTCTTTAACTTCTGTTTGAAGCTTTGATTCAGCAGCTAACCTACAGGCATTAAAGCATCCACTCTGAATTCAAATGTGGTTATGAAGGATTGAAGAAACAAACCCCCAGTATAATGGGCCTCCAATAAGGCATGGTATTCAAGGAAAAAAAATATAGTTGACTCTAATACTGTAAGAATATTAAGTCACTGGCTGTCTAAAAGTCTTTTTATATCAATAGGCTCAATTATTGTTATTATTACTTTTTGAGACAGAGTCTCACTCTGTCACCAGGCTGGAGCGCAGTGGCATGATCTCGGCTCACTGCAACCTCCGCCTCCCGGGTTCAAGCGATTCTCCTGCCTCAGCCACCGGAGTAGCTGGGACTATAGGTGCGCACCCCCACATGCAGCTAATTTTCGTATTTTTAGTAGAGACAGGGTTTCACCACGTTGGTCAGGATGGTCTTGATCTCTTGACCTCGTGATCCACCTGCCTCAGCCTCCCAAAGTGCCGGGATTACAGGTGTGAGGCACCACGCTGGGCCAATTATTTTTTAAGTCTAAAGAATATCTTTAAAAAGTCATGGCAAGCCCTAAATTAAAGAAAATATGACAGGGCACCTATCATGATAAGCACACCTAACACAAAAACTGAAATGTTACAGCAATATTTTAATGTTAACATGACATACAAAAGGCAAGACAAAAATAACATGGAATCTTGGGCTGCATGAATAGATGTCTATTTGTTTCATATTAAAAAATTGAGTTTCAACTAGTAGAATAAAGAAAAGATAAACAGTAGAGAGATTCTTAAAGGCCTGTAAAGATTCTCGGTAACAAGAACACCAATTAGTTTTGTAAAGCATGCAATAGTGAAGTTCCCAATAAAAGCCATATTTATTGTTCCAAAATTATCTTAGGATTGTGTATCTAAGTTAAACAGGCAGAAAACAAAGAGTCGGAAACATTTTAAGTTAGCAGATGGACTCACACACACACACACACACACAAATGTTTTGTGGTATTTTATTTTTTGTTTAACGAACAAGACAAAAAGTTTCCAACGTGCTACTTGAGTCAATTAGCCACATACATTTGCTTAAGTGATTTTTTATCAAGCAAAAAAAGGCAGAAAAAGGAATGAAGACAATACAGATAGCAAGGCTGGCACTTATCAATTCTGGAAATCCACCTCCAGAAATATACACTGGTCAAGGATGTTTATACAATGCATCACATATAAACAGGCATAATCTGCTGGATTCATTTCAGAACTCTTTGAAACCATGGGTATGTGGCAGATACTCATTTGAAGTTACTTTTTCCTTAAGAATGGTAAGCTTTTATTTTATGTGACTCAGAGGTTATAACATTCTATAAAAATCCAAGGAGGGAGTAATAAAATTACTATGCCTTATAATAATAGCAGCTAACATTGTTAAAGTGCTTTTACTGTTGAATATTACATTTAGTAGCACTGAAGACTTGGAGAGAAATCAGATAAAACATATAAGCCCTTTTAAACAGGGCTGTCTTACTCTCTCTACTCAAATGCACATTAGTAAAATGTCTTATTAATCTGTCTCCACTCTCTAAGACTAAGGTAGCCCTAGTAGCACCTTCAACATCTCATTTCATAGGAGATAATCTAGGCTAGTTATTGGCACATCTTTTTGAATGTCTAGATATTTGTTTTAAATGCCTCTAACAATCCCATTGCATGCAGACATCCTTCATCTTTCTTTTACTTTCTTCAATTTCCTCATTCACTTCTCCTGCTGCGCACATCCAGAACTCGAGCCTCAGCCACTGCTACTTACCTTTCCCTTCCATTCACTTTCTCTTACCTTCTGACCTCAATTATTTTTATTAAGACAAAGCCCTTGGGACATTAATTCCTTCAGACACACATATCTGACGCTATTTCTTTTAGTCACAAACTCAATTATGCAGAAACTAGAGGCTTTCAAGTTTTGGAAACAATGAAAATGAGTTAGCTTTGATATGTAAAAATGTCAAAATAAGTATTGAAGCCCATTTTTGAATGCCTAGGATAAGCAATTCAAAAGACATAAAAAATTCACCTAAGTTTCCTAGAAGGCTGAAATTTCTTAGACTACTGGAAAGCCCTTTGAGAAAGTAAGTTAATTTTTCTTTCATGGCCATGCTTGAACCAGGAGAAAAATAACAGTACATGTATTCAAACTGATAAAACATTCAGAGATGTGTTAAACTGTGATATTCCCTTTCATGAAACAGAAACGTGTAACTTTTTAATGTGATTGCCTTATTCAAGAGTCCTTTCCCTTTGCAATCAGTTTAGTCTTTCTTAAAGTTCTGGAAAAGTTGAAGGTAGGTAGATGAAACTGAGGAATTATACTGCATGCAATTGTAAGAAAGTAGATAAAGAAACAGACAGCACAGTTCATGCAGCGAGAGAGGAGAGATGGAGAGGTCTGCTGGCTGCCTGGAGGAAAAGAGGACACTGACCTGGGAGAGTTAGGGGTGTTTCCACTTCTTTCACTTAAGGCCTCAGCGTCAGCGGGAACTCCTATGAGTTTCACACATTTCTTTTCCTTCTTCAGCTGCATATCCACGGGCAGATTTTTGTGAGGAGAGAGACTGACTACTGGTGTGTATATAGAAACTGATTTTTCTAATTGCAAGTTGTTATCTTCTAAACTGTTAGGGCAGGACTGTGTCTCCTCTTTCTGAGGCGGTAATCGATAAACTTCTCCCCCGAGAGCACTGTTGTTGACACATGCATCTTTAGCGGTGGTTATATCCACAGGGAGCACCTCACGCCTCTTTTTCAGTACAGGCACTTCAACTGTCTCTGAGAATAAAAACGAGTGGGGAAAAGAAAAAATCTAAGAAAACAAAGACACAATCAACACAAGAAGCCAGAACTAGTTATATGTATACCTTTTTCCATTCTTTTAAAATGCAACCATCTCCTCACTGAAATGCATCCTTTGTTTCTACCTTTTATTCTTTATCATGGAATCTATATAAACTATATATTTTAAAGTTTATTTGGCTATATATTTTTCCTTGGGAATTCAATATTTTGACTTTAGGCATGAATGCTTCACTGTTCTCTCTTGGTGTTTTGAAAAAGGTGGTTCATAAGATCTCAGTGTGGAGATGAAGAGACAGCGGCAGAGTCCAGGTTCGAATCCTAATCCTCGTATGTGACAGCCATGTCTTTGGGGAATTATTTAACCTCTCTGAGCTTCATTTTATCTGTAAAATGGGGATTAAAAGCACCCACTTCACTTGGTATTGTGTATTAGAAGGATTAAATGACAAGAATAGGCCAAACTTTCTGAATATTGGTAATATATGCCTGTTAGCTCTACCTACAAAATATAAGCAGAATCAGACTACTTTTATGATGGATACTTCCCTAGTCCAATCCTATCATGTCTCATCAAAGACTACTGCAATGCCTTCTATCCTCATGGCCTAATATCATTCTATCTAAACAGGTCATAAACACAGCCACTGAATTAACTGCTCTAATATCTTTTCCCTATGCCCATTATCGATGTGTTTCATTTTCAAAATCAAAATGTTAGTGGAGTCTGAGGAACACTGGTAGCACAAGGGGTTGCTGTTTTTGCTCTACATTGTTGCTTTTAGACCATGATTTCCCCTTTTTCTGGCACTGCTCCTTTGAAACCCACATTATCAGGATTCACTACCCTGCCTCCTGTCTATTTGCTGTGTTCAGTTCAACAGATGTTTGAAATTCATAATGGATAATTCTTAATCAGGGGAGCCTATTAGAATCATGGAAGAAACAAAAAGAGTTAAGAGCAAGAGAAGCCTTTTAAAATTGTGTAAAAACCTTCCTATTTTTGGCAACCTCCCCACTATTGTTGAGAATCATAGCAGTTCACTGAGACAATACGAAGAGAGACTGAGGCATGTGCAGAGTGCGGGGACAAAAACTTGTTGAGAATCCTTAACCTAAAACATGTAACACTCTTTTAGGGAAGGGGTGTTGTAGAACCATCACATTCTTAGACTCCTTCACACTTGGCCTTTTGTTTTTGAATTTACATACAGTAAACTTCACTCTCTGTAGTATATAAGATGCAGAGACTGTATGGTTAGGCTACTTTCCAGCTCAGTCATTAGACTTGCTAGATATTCCCTAATATGTTTCATTGTTCTTTCCTTTCCCCCCCATTTTGGTGGAGAATGGGGTCTTGCTATATTGCCCAAGCAAATCTCAAATTCCTGGGCACAGCTATCCTCCTCCCTCTGCCTCCCCAAGAGCTGGGATTACAGGCACGAGCCACCACGCCTGGCTCACTGTTCTTCCTTAATAAAAGAATTCCCAATATTTAGTTAGGAACATGGCCCCTGAGAATCAAGACTGCATTTCTCAGCCCTTCCTGTCAGCAGGTGAGGCTGCATGACTAAATTCTGCTCCACAGGATGGCAGCAGACCAACAAACACAAGAAGCCTGAATCTTGATACCGTGGAGTGCTTTCCCAGTCCTGGAAGGCCTCCTCCAGACTTCCATCAGAGGCAGAGATAAAGACCCACCTTTTTAAAGTCTCCATTACTTTAGATTTTCTATAAACAGTCCTACCTCGTATAGCTTCCAAACATCAGCTGCTTCAACATAATTAAACTATTAGGTATGACATAAAATACTGTAATCTTAAAATGGGAAAGTCTCAAATCTCAAGTTTCTACTATACAGTATGATGAAATTAGATATCCAAAAAGGATACATGTTATATTCAGGCACACCCAGTATCCAGTTCTCCCTGAATTTTCCTACCTATTTTACACAATAAATTTGCTTTATTAACTATAGGTATATAACTACAAATGAGTTTGTAATAGAGTTGCATAAAACTACAGTAAGAAAATAATTTGATATAATTTCAGGTTACTCATAATTTAAAAGACAAAAATATATGAGACATATATACCTTCAGGTTCATATTTTAGTTTCAATTCATCTAGTTTAGCTCTCAGTTTCATATTTTCACTTTCTGAAAGCTGGAGGCATCTTTCATTTGCAAAAAGTTTTCGCTCAATATCTAGAGCCCGCTGGCTCTCAAATAATGCTTTCATTCGCTGTATGGACAATTCACCTTTAGTGCTTTCAATTTCTTTGCTATGATAATAAAAAAGGAGAACCAACGAGTATTAAGACAGCATATAATAAGTGTAGTGGTATAAATATTTCATCGCATATTTGAATTCTTAGTTAAAAATACATTTTTCTGGGGTTTTTAGTAACAAAGAAACAATAAACAATTTAAATAATCCTTAACAATAGTAGTGTTAAATTTAAAAAATACTCATGCATTCTTGAAAGGAAATGGACAAAGGAGGAAATAGTCTTTCAAATGTATTCACACATGAATATCTGCACAAAGATATTTTTGTTACCTTTCTTTTCGGAAAATTTCCTTTGGCAATTTCAAAAAAACTTTGTAGTCACTGACACTACCATAGTAAGCAAGTGACATGTTCATCTTTCCATCCACCAACCCAGACACTTACTTTAAGTTATCCAGCTTCATCTGAAGTAAATCTGTATAATAGGTGTTATCTTCCAGAGTACCAGAGTCGACTGAAGGCTTAGATTCCATACTGTCATATAAATTCTTAAAAAAGCAAAAGTTTGTATTACTTAAAATAAATAACAAATAAGGTTAGTGTATGTTTATTAATAATAGCACCATCACTTCCTGAATTTATATCCCTTGGCGTACTACGCTAAGAACTACCCATTTAATTTATCTGCCTTCTGAAGTAGGTAAATAATTAACATTCCTCTCTTACAGATAAGGAAACAGGCTCCGAATACAGATGAAAGTAAACCAAGAAGAGAGAACCTGAACCCAAATCTGACTACAAGGCCTAGGCTTCTAGCCTTACCTACATGCTCTGCCTTCTCTCTCCTGGCTTTGAAAATAGAAAAACAAATGCCTGCTGGATTAAATTCTGGCCTTTGTAACAAAACCATAAACTGGAAAAATATGAAAGGAAGATGAGAGCCTTACATTTATATCTGGTGTCCCCCTCTTCTGAGATTCTTCCCCCCACCCCAGGCAAGAATGTAGTGCAAGCTCTTCTGAGACTGATGGAAACTATACATTTCTCTAGTGGGATAGAAAAGGTAAATCTGCTTAAAAACTTGAAACAATTTCAGGTTATAAATAAAATTCCCCTGATTTAAGGCCATAATTTTCAGAGTATAGTTCTGAGCCCACTGATGGAAACATAAGGCTGCCAACTTAACCAAATTTGTAGTTCTTTCAACAGTTTTTATAAGACACAGAAATAAAGTTATGTAAACTTAATTAAGATTTTATGACATACTAATGGCTACAATTTAGAATGCCTAAGAGGTTATTAACATTTACAAAAATTTGTCATTTAGAACTTTAGTTCATTAGGAGGTTAATGAAGATATCAATGTTCCCTAAGTCAATTTATAAAATCTTAAATTGCATGCAATTTTAATAGAAAGCCAACAAGCTTTTTTTGGTGCTAGACAAGATGTTTGTAAATGAAAGCTAACATTCAAAAATAGACAGGAAAATACTGAAAAATAAAAAGTATAGTGAGGAAATAGTCCTACCAGATAAACATACTTAAAAGCCTTTATAATTAATAAAACAGTGTGGTACAGACACACAGAGAAGCAGACCAATGGCGTAGACAGAAAATTTAGAAACAGACTCAAGTATATATGGAAACTTGATGTATGATAAAGGTGTCAACTCAAATCACTGGGATCAAGATTGATTTTTTAACAAATGACTCTGGGACAACTGCCTACTTATTTAGAAAACATGGGTGAATTCTTACACACACACACACACACACACACACACACACACAAATGCTTACACAAATACCATTCTCAACTAAAATAAACCAATGTTCCTTGAAGAAATGCTAATCCCAGAAGTGGGCCAGGTGAGCTAGGAAACCCTTGTTGTGCCATAGAGTAAGGAAATATTCAAGTAAGAGCACTTCGACTATCAAATCTGGGACAATTTGAGTATCAGAGTAAATAAAGCAAGCAATGGATTATAACTCATAGGATAAAATAAGAATCCATGAGGCTATACTGATATAAATGAATGAGTAAGTGAGGAAAAAGATTTTTCTTTTCTGTCCCTTTACTAAAATTCCAACTAATAAATATAGAAGAAGTGATGGAATTACCCATTTAGCAATCATCACAGAATTATGTTTCAGGCAAGAATCACCAATGGATGTTTAAGTATAAGGAGAAACAGCCATTTACTTAGTCTCAAAGTATCTCCCACAAGATATTTATTAATAATTTAAACTTAAAAAACAAACCAAATTTTAAGATATTCAAATCAAAATTTGGATGTGTGTTTTTTTAACTGTTATACATACCTTAAATTTCTCCAGATTTCTAATTTCACCTAAAAGATGTTTTATTTCACCATTCTTCTGCTCCAACATGGCAAGCAACCGTTCCTGCTGCTCAAATTCAGTTTGAGACCCTTTCATCTGTAGCAACGTGGCAATTTGTAACTAGAAAAATAAAATTACCCCCTCTAATAAAATTAAGTGAGAGAAAGATTCTGATAACTACTTTTTTGATACAATTCATAATTTGTACTATATTACTTTGAACTCATTTTGGAAACTAAATTAGCTATTTCTAATCTAATAATAAATTTTTTTGTAGACATAACATTTGAATACTTATTTTGACTACTTATGAATGATAACTGAAGTCTGTAATGTAATTATTTGTACTTTTGTGAAACATAAAACTGACTTGCATGGCTGTGGTCTGAAAGCACACCACTGAACTGGTAAGTAAGCCTGGCCAAACGCTGCAGACTGCTTATCATAAGCACTCGCTCTTATTAAGGTTCTGATGGGTTTCTCAAAATTTTTAATTAACTTTAATTAAGTGAGGAAAACTAAGCTACTGACAGCCACAAATGTTAGATTCACAAATGACGTTAAAAGCAAAGATAAAAGGCTATCTTAGTATACTGGGGTAATCTTCAATATACCATGTTTTAATTTTTTTAGAGCAGCACTCAACTTACCTCATTATACCTCCCCCACCCCAAATCTGGAGTTGTGAAGCTACCAGAGGGAAATTAAGTAGACTCTAAATCTAGCATTTCTTTCTGCCTTTGGAAATTTCTGGAGTTGAAAAGAGTGCCTATTAGTTTAAATATAGTTTTGAGTAAAACAATCAATGATATGAGGTTGCAGATGACTTTTAACATTTTAAAGGATATCCTTTTTGTTCCTGTTTCAGATTGGAGGCTAGGCCCACTTAGCCTAAGACTCAGAATGCTTCTAGTCTCTAAAGATAGTTTGGGACATATGCAACATTGGTAGATTAAAAGTAACCCCAACAAATACTGTAAGAAAACTAAAGTAAACGTGAGAAAATTTATAAAGAAATACTTCCCAGACAGGGGAGAGTCTCAGGAAATGAGGCAGCACAGTCTGGAAACCCTTAGAAATAAAATTCACAGCTGTTGTTCATTAAACACTCATTTGCCAAGTAGCAGGTTAAGTATTTTACTACACTTTCATTTAACTGTAGGACAATTCTAAGAGGGGGTTCTATCATCTTCACTTAATAGATGAGGTACTGTTGCTTTCAAAGTTAAAATACTTGTCCAAGGTCACAGAGCTAGCAAGTGACAAAACTATGATTCAAACCCAAATCCACCTAACTCCCAAATTTAATCATTAACCTTTCCCATTTCTTTGGCAAAGCCCATGATTCTGAATAAAAGGAAGGAAGCCTTTCCAGATTCCAATTACTACCTCAGTAGAGTGAGGCACAATGGATGAGGGATCAGGATTCTAAGGACTGTTACAATACTGAAATCTTTCTAATTCCCACATGTTTTTCTGCTACCTCTTATTTGGCTAGAATGACAACCAACAAAACCCGTAAAATTAAAAGGGTCTATGTGCTTGACTTGAGGAGCTACAAGGAAAGGGAACCCTGAATAATCCAAATTTCACTCCATAATAAGCCTTGGTGAAAGAGCAGAGGAATGGTGAGGCAGCGAGTTTCAGCTGAAGTAGGAACCCTAGGGCTATGCTTGGAAAGACATCAGGCCAAGAATAAGAAATAAATACTTTTCTTTCTTCTACTCCACAAAGAAAGATTTAAGTCAAAGCTAGTGAGTAACCATTAAAACAAACAATAATCATTGCTAAATATACTATTACTAAATATTTATTCCAAGATTTTTAAACTATAAATGAATCTTTTAATTTCAAAATTGATTTTTTGAAATCATGCAGTTCTAGAAACAACTATATAAGTACACTCCTTGCAGAAAAAGCTAGTTTCTTTGATGTATTCATACATGTAATGCTGACACAAAATTTGTTTAATAAACCTTTGATAGTGAAAGTTCTATACCTTCATTCTCTGCATCTGTTCTCTGTTAAATACATTTTGCTTCTTTAGTGACTGATACTTGACTTTCATACTGATGAGCTGACGTTCCATTGCTGCCCTTCGATCTTCCACCTACAAAATATTAACATGCTTAATTGTTCTGGTAGTAAATGAAAATACCAATTTAGTAGTTAGGATACTTATAAGTACCTCTGCAAACAAAGAGTTGCCTTTACTATTGGGATCCAAGGCTTGCTGGAGTGCCTGGTCCAACTGTACCTGAAGATCTTGATTTGCTACACGAGCTTTCTAAATTCAAAAGAAAACAATTTAGGCAACAGAGATTACATTAGCAAGAAAATAAGTTATGATAAATTGGAAAACATGATGTTACTGTAATCATAGTACCTCTAGGGCATTATAGTAAGAAACTGCTTCTTTCTCTCGCTCCTCTTTTTCCTCTTTAAGCCGGTCTACCTGGCGCATTAGGTTAGTAATAAGAAGTTCTAGCTGTTCTTGTCTGTATTGTAGTTCATTCACTTCTTCTTTGAGGGTGGTCTATTTAACAGGAATTGAAAAGGAGGAAATTCTCTTGAATAATCTTTCATTTGGCAGCTGCTCAGTTTATCTCAGTTGTGGTTCACATCCAAAATTAAAACTAAAGAACCAGTCAAAAGTTGTCAGGTACATTCTAAAATAATAGAAATTACTATTACTGTTAAATTTTTCAACAAGGAAACAAATGGCTTTAGAGACTGCCCTTTTTCCTCTATCAATTTCAGGCTTTAATTTTTAATTAACCTTAGCTTTCAATGAAAAAACCAAGTTCACATGCATTTCAACTTCCACTGAGCCAACGTTTTACACTGGGCTCTTACGATAAAATCTGGGATCAGAGTATATGCCTCTAAATTCTTCCAGACGTTTCATTAATCTAAGAGAAAGGCTGCCTTACATAATCATATAGTCTAAAGCTATATTATGAATGAAGTCATCCACCTAAAAAAAACCCATTTTTTAATTAGTTAGATGCAAGTTAGGTCAAAAAATGTTTCAGCCTTCAAACTAGCTCTTAAGAATTATTACCAAAACATGTAAAAATATGCCAGAAAAAAAAAGAGAAAACCCTGAGAAACACATGCCATAAAAATTACCTTCATACTCTCCATTTCTGTCAGCTCAATTTGAAGAGCCAGCATCTCTGAAGACATGCTTTCCTGCACACGTTCAGACATTACGCGCAGTTCCTCTGATTTACAAGAGAGGAGTTCCTTCTGATGATCTACTTGGTGCTTCAGCTGCTTTTCACTAAGCCTGGCTTCATCTAATTCCACTTTCAGTTTTTCTATCTAAAGCCAAAAAAAAAAAAGTCATAAATTGAAAGTTATTTTCTTTCTAAAAACAATCACTGATTGAACTGATTGAACCAAACTTACTGAATGATGATACTATTGGAGTTTCCTATTTGCCCAAGGTTAGGCATCTTTTAACAGCTAGTGACACACCTTGTTTAATAAACATAGAAATAATCCATGAGTAATCGGGGTGGGTCTGGATGCCTCAGAAGCAATCTGGAGGCACTATGATGCGGACCACTTGGCTACTGTGTGAAGAATGACTGGCATGAAGAGAAACAATGGAAGCAAGCAACCTGGTCAGAAGGCTACAGCAGTAGTCCAGGAAAGAGATGATGAAGGTCTGGATTGGAGTGGCAGTAGCGTCATAGATGTTTTGTAGGTCAAGTTCTTAGAACTTGATGAATTAAATGTGAAAAATAAGAGAAGAAAAGGTATTAAAAAAATCCAAATTTTGGCATAAGTGATTTGAGAAAATCAGTAAAACAAAATATTTCACTAATGTACTCTTTGCTCCACCAAAAAAAAAAAAAAAAAAAAAAGCCATCTCTATAATTAGCCTTACCTCAGTCCTGAATACTCCCTTTATTACTCTTTTTTGTTTAGGTGATGAAAACTATTGCAAAAATAAAAATAACAACCAGAGGGGGAAGAAAGCACATCATTATCAGTCATTAGGGCCTCAAATCCGACTAGTTTCAGACAAGCTGGATGATATTATCTGTCAGAGTGGTATGCAAGATGATTATATATTACATGAAGGTATATTTAGATAGCTATGTTTGTTTTAGTGTATACTGGGAAAAAATAAGCAAGCTTAAATATGTAATTTTGGCCAGGCGCAGTGGCTCAGGCCTGTAATCCCAGCACTTTGCGAGGCTGAAGTGGGCGGATCACGAGGTCAGGAGTTAGAGACCAGCCTGACCAACATGGTGAAACCCTGTCTCTATTAAAATACAAAAATTAGCTGGGCGTGGTGGCGCACACCTGTAATCCCAGCCACTTAGGAGCCTGAGGCAGGAGAATCGTTTGAACCCGGGAGGCAGAGGTTGCAGGTGAGCCGAGATCATGCCACTGCACTCCAGCCTGGGCGACAGTGTGAGACTCTGCCTCAAAAAAAAAAAAAAAAAAAAGGAAAAAAAAATACTTTCATTGATGTTTCTTAAAATCAGTAAACATTAAAAGAGAGTCAATGAGAAATTAAGTAATAGTATAGGTGGTATACAGAAAAAGAAAAATCTTAGAGGCTGCTATACAAGAAGCTGAAAATTGGGTAACAGACTTCTGAGAAAGGAGGACAAAAGTCAGGCAAGTTTTGGTAGACAGTGTCTGGAAAAGTCAGAGTATAGACTATACACAAAGCAGATCCATGATAAAAAGTTCTGGATTCCTCAGAAGCAACCTGAAAGCACTGGCTAGCTGGGAAAAGGGAAAACCACTGACCAATCATTTATCTTGCGTTTATGTTTGAAATGGAGCCAGTGTAACATGCTGTTAGACTATGTAGTGATTCAGTAACACAGCCTTTGGAGTCAGACAGCCTCAGTTCAAACCTAGATGGAGAATTTCTAGTTCTTGAATTGTGTCCAATTTACTCAGTCTGTCTAAACACTGGCTCTTTCATCTGGTATATGGAAATGATAATGGTACCTTTCCACAATATTATTGTAAGAACTGGAGCACATGTATTAGTTTATCCTCAGTAAACAAACTATAAAGTGTCATTTGTAATGCACATTAACTAGTAAGAAACTACTGGTCTGTTTTACAGAATTACAAAGCATACCACTGACTGCAGGGAAGGCTAGGAGACGAGGCTTTCTGCAAGGGGCTGCTGTACCCACTATCAGCAAGGAGGCCATGCTAGTCACTAAACTAAACCTTCACAAATATCCAGCAACCAAAATTAAATAATTGTATTTAATTAATAGGATATAATTTATACAAGTCCCTTAGACAAACTCTTGTATCTCAGTGTTCCCACCCCCAATATTAAGATAATGAAGACTTAGATCTTGGCTATTTTGCAAAGCTGACACTTAAGAAAATCTTTATCATCTAAAGTTTACAGATGGCTGCATAAATATGGAATATTTTGTGCTGAAATACGCAGATATCCCAACCTTAGTTTTTAGTTCATTCACTTCCTGTCCATGGCTTCTGCTTAGTTGTTCTTCCAATTTCTCCAGGTGCATTTTTTGTTGTTGTTTAATAGCTTCACATTCGCAGCTCAAACTTTCTAACATTCGACTCTTGAGTTCAACTTCTCTTTGAAGGGTATATTTTTCTTGTTCATAACTCTGAAAACAGATTCAATTACAATTCAATTACATAAAAATAGCCTAAAGCCATTACATACAATCAGTTTTCAACTTCAATTGTTTCATTCTTATTTCAAGCATTTGCTGCTTTCCAAATAACGAAGACATGTTAAACCTGGAATAACTTTGTAGTTAATCAGTCTTAATAAACCCCTGAGGTGTATTTCGAAACTATGTTAAACCCATGCAAGGGATACCTTACTGCTTCTGTGCCTTGTCAAGGAAGTAAAATGTGCTCCATGGTATGTCAACACGTCAAGTCAAGTAATCTCTGCTAACAACAAAAAAAGATTTAACAGCACTTAAGCTTTCCTCATGAGAATTATTAGTTTGATAATGAGATGCTCTACTTGTAGCTCTGAACACAATGTAGTAGTAATAATAGTTGAAAAAAAAGAAATACTGAATTAGCCTTTACTTTCAGAATGTAGTCATCTGAGAAATGTCACAAAAGGTCTATCAGAATGAATGCAGAGCTGAGACAAAAGGAGTAATTAAAAGGGCTTTTGCTTACTCACAGGGAAGTTTAGACATTAAAAATGTTACAAGTACGAACTCCTTCAAGAGGCTTTAAAAAATGATAAAATATTCCCCTCAAAAACCATTTTATTTTAAAGGAAGACAAAGAGTATTAACTGTTAAACACTGAAATTTGACAAGTTATGACTCAAAATGATTAAGTATAACAGTTTTATTTTCTATTAGTGATATTTGTAATCTTTACTTTGCCTTTATGACTTTGCACTCAGTTCTTGGTTTACAACAGTACTATGTAGAAACACAAAGGTTGCCATCACTAGTTATTTTTACCTGCTACAGATATTTTTTACCTGCCATATTTACAATGTTGAGATTCAAGTTTAAATATGTTACTGAGCATTTGCTAAATTACCCAGATTTATTCATTCATTCTTTTAAGAAATAATCGTGTGGCAGGCATTCAGGATAGTGAACAAGGCATACAAAATTCCCTCTCTCATGGAGTTTATAATCTAGAGATAATTAGCAATGCAGATAATTAAGAGTGGAATCAGGGCCGGGCACAACGGCTCATGCCTGTAATCCCAGCACTTCGGCAGGCAGATTACGTGAAGCCAGGAGTTCAAGACCAGCCTGGTCAACATGGTGAAACCCCATCTCTACTAAAAACACAAAAATTAGCCGGATGTGGTGGCACACATCTGTAACCCCGAGCTACTCGGAAGGCTGAGGTAGGAGAATCTCTTGAACCCAGGAGGTGGAGGATGCAGTGAGCCAAGATTGCGCCACTGCACTCCAGCCTGGGCGACAGAGTGAGACCCTGTTTCAAAAAAAAAAAAGAAAAAAGAAAAAAAAAGTGAATCAGGGCAACTTTACATTACATAGTAAGGGCTGACCTCTCCGCTGAAGTGACATTTAAATGAAAGCTGAAATCTGAGGACTCAACCCAAGAGCAGTGAGGGGTAAACAACTCAAAAAAAAAAAAAAGGCAATAGCTGGTGTAAAGCCCATAAGGGAGGACCAGTATAGTCAAGAACAAGGCAAAGCAGTTTGAGGTGAGGTCAGAAGCTTGGCAGGGGTCAGGTCACATAGGGATCTACAAACCCAAGGATGGAGCTCAGATTTTGTTGTAAATAAAATCAGAAGCTGTTGTATGGTTTTTAGCAGGGCTGTGGCATGACCTTTGGTGTGTTATTCCACGACCACTTAGACGCTGAGTGAAGAATGAATGGCATGAATGGCAACAATGGAAGCAGGCAACCCGGCCAGAAGGCTACAATACTTGTCTAGGAGTGATGATGGTGATCTGGACTACAGTGCCAGTAGCAAAGATACATGCTTTGTAGTCTAGTTCTTAGAACTTATTAATGAGTGAAATGTGAGAAATAAAGGGAAGATATTGACTAAAAGTTCTAGATTTTTGGTATATAAAGAAACCAAAAATATACCAAAAATCTTTGGTATATAAAGATTTTTGGTGTTCAAGAAACTGAATGCTATTATATTTACTAAATAAGCTAAAAAAAATCGTAAAAGAATATTTGGTTAACGGACAGGGAATCCACTCTTCTGTCTGTGTTAAGTTTGAGAAGTCTATTAGTGGGCAGTTGAACACAAACCTAGATTTCATGGGGGAACTAAGGGCTTGGTGTAGTGTCATGGGGCACTTAGATGTTTAGAGGTCTAAAACAAGTGAGGTCTTCTAGGAAGTGTGCAGACAAAGCAAAATCTGGTAGTAAATGTGGCAAAGAGAGTAATGATAACTTGATCTTTCAAACTCTGAATACACTAGGGTGGAAAGAATAACAGGAATTCATTTAGTTCATTCTTTTTTAACAGGGACGGGGCAGGGCGGGAACTAGATCTAAAATCTTCAGAAAAGAATAAACTACTACTACTATTAATTGCTAAACAGGACAAATCTTCAATAGCTAAGCACACTCTTGCAGACAGAGGAGTCCAGAGTCCTACCTCAGTCATGGTCATCATTTCATTACGACATTTATCCAATTGATTCTGTAATTCATTTTGACTCTCTACTAGTTGTAAACCATACTGTGCAGCTTTTAGTCGCTCTTCTTCAGCCTCTTTGAGCCTGCATCGAAGATTTGTGATTATATCTGCCTCCATGTTCTTTTCTTTTTTTTAGCCAACTGTAAATAGAGGAAATAAAACTACTTAAGCTTATACAAAAAACTCCATGCAATAATATCAATAACAGAAGAAACATATCTACTCAATACTACTGTCGTATAAAAACATTAAAATTTTCTTCCTGACTAATAAGTAGTCAAATTTGCATTCTTGTTCCAAGAGCAAGAACTGTTCTGACAATTCTGTTACTGATTTGGGATCAAAAATTAAAGAGTGGAATAGAATACATTTAATTTTGCTTCTAAACAGTTCACCATCAGAAAACTGTTCAGTTGTTGTATGCTAAGCTTCCAATATGTTAAGGTAAGTTTGGTCTCATAATTGGACCACTATCCATATAATCAAAATTAAGGGAATAACAAAAAAGTAATCAAGAAACCTCATAGTAGCAGGTATGGTGGCTCATGCTTGTAATCCCAGCAACTGGGGAGGATTACTTGAGGCCAGGAATTCGAGACCAGCCTGAACAACATAGCAAGACTCCATCTCAATCAATCAATCAATAGAAATAAGGTGGGGATGGTGGCAAGCCCCCGTAGTCCTAGCTACTTGGGAGGCTAAGGAAGGAAAATTGATGGAGTTAGAGGCTTCAGTGAGTTATGATCATGGCACTGACAGAGCAAGACACTGTCTTGAGAAATAATAATGATAATAACAATAATACCACCAGAAAAGGAAGGTCTGGGTACTATAAACACATAAAATATAAAAAGGCAGCTGTGAATAAGGCTCATAAGGTAAAGTAAGAAATATCATGTCTGTAATTTTTCACAACAGTGTTAACTTCCTGAATATATTAAATCTGCTTTCCTGGAAAGAGATTCACTAGTATTTTTCTAGTTATTCATAAAAGTATGCAAAAATAGAAACCATATCCATAAGAATTAAAGGATGTTGCTTTCATTCTAGATTTATAAACAAAGACTTAAACATTATATATAGAAACATTCCACTTTAATCAACCTTACTAATTATCCTTTACTATTTGGTCCCAGCCTCCTAAGCGAGACTCAAACTCACCTTTGCCTTCAAAGGGCACCAGGTCATTGCAAGATGTTCCCCCATGTCTCAAGTCAATGTAGTCATTCACTGAACGAGTATTTCTTGAATGCCTTATATACTAGGTTCCATTCTGGGCAGTTCAGATTCATTAGGGAACAAAATGGACGAAAAAAAAGCTCCTCCCTCATGAAACTTACATTCCAGGAGGGGAAGATAAACAGTAAGTAACAGAATATTAATAAATTAGAAAGGGGAGATGAGAAAAAATAGAACAGAATAAGAATCTGGGAAGAAGGGACAGGTGATGTAACCAGGAGGCAGAAGATGAGAGAATCAGCCAGGCAGCTATTTAGAAGAAGAATGTTCCAGCAAGAGGGGAATCCTTAAGGCAGGAAGAAGCCCAGGGAGTGAAATTTGGCTAAGAGATAGTAGAGAGTGGGCAAATCAGGCCATTATAAGGACTTTGGCTCCTACTTTGGGTGACATGGGAAGTCATTCCAAAGTCTGGAGTAGAGGATCTGATATAATTTAAAAGAATCATTTTGGCTGCTATGTTGACTAGTTTAGAAGGGGAACAAGGCTGGAAGCAGAGACCATGTGAAATGGCTCAGACTAGGGTGGCAGCATAGGAGGCTGTGAGAAATGGCCAGATTTTGAAGGTTTTGAAGGTAAGGTCAATATGATTTTCTGAAAGATATAATTTGGGATGTGTGAAAAAGGGAAAAGTAAAAAATGCCTCCAAGTCTTCTGGCCTGAGCACCTAGTAAAATGGAATTGCCATCAGCTGAAGCACTGATGTAAATAATGTTTTGGAAATAAAATCAGGAATTTGAGTTTTGAACATGAACTATGTCAAGTAGGCAATTGGATATATGAGAAGAGGAATCTTGGCTGGATATGCAAATTTGAGAATTATCAGTCTATAGAGGATAAAAGTATTTAAAGAGAAATGGACCAACGACTGAACCCTGTTATGAGGTAGGGAAGAAGACAGCGGAGAATCAGGAGTGACCAGTGAGGTAGAAGGAAAACCAGGAGTATGTGTTGTCCTGGAAGGCAATAAACAGTGTATTAAGGAGGTGGGAGTAATCAATCATGCCAGATGCTGCTGCTAAGGCAATTAAGGTGAGAGCAGAGAACTGGCCATTGAACTTGAATTCCTGGAGGTCTCTGGTGACAAGAACAGTTTTGATATCCAGGTGGGGGTGAAAGCCTAACTAGAATGCCTTCAAGAGAGAATGGTAGGAGATAAAGATAGCAAGCACAGGTTTGCTGCAAAGGATAACGGATAAACGGAGCAGCAGTTGGAGAGGAAGTAGGGACAAGTTTTTTTATTTTTAAGATGGAAAAAAATAACAGTGTTTGTAGGTCATGGGATAAATCCAGGAGAGAAGAAAAACTGATGATCTAGAAGACACTGGAGAATTGCTAGTGATGTCCCTGAATAAACAGGATGAAGTTTAATGTAGAGACTGGTTTTAATAGAAGCATGGATATTTCATTTAAGCAAAGTATATGAGTTTAGATGCTGATAAGCAGGTACAGTGGTGGAAGTCTGTGTAAGTAACCTTTTAACTGCTTCAATTTATCAATGAATTAGGAAGCAAGGTCTTTAACTGAGAATGAAGACAAGGGAAGAGATACAGGGTTTAAGAGAGAAAAAAAGGTGTTCTAGGTAATCCCAGCTTGGCAGTCACTGCTCTAAAATGCAAGACCTTTTCAAAGCCTGTACATGATACGGCCAGCCAACTAAATGTTGTACTGTTCACAATAACTTACATTCGTTGAGGATTTACCATTTGCCATGCTAACTGCTTCAAATATATTATCTCATCTAATTATCTTGATGAGCTTGAGTTAAGTAAATACTGTCATCTCAACTACCAAAATAAAAATAGGGTTAACCTCAAGACATTCCAGCCAGGCATATCCAGAGAAGCCAAAAAAAATTTGCTTTAGTTTATTCAAAAAATTTGCTGGAATTCTTATTGTGTGAGACATTGTGCTAGTGTTGACAACACAATGGCAACCTAAAACAATATTCCTGTCTTCTTGAATCCTAGTCTATTAGTAAAAGACATTAAATCAAGTAATTGAACTATCAAGTTACAAGTATGATAAGTGCAAGAGAGACAGATGTATGCTACCTGAGCCTGTAACAAGGGGGAGCTGTCCTAATCTGGGGGGCAGCGCGTAGAAGGGAACATGGACAAAAAAATTTTCCTGAGGAAGTAACTTTTCAGCAGAGGTCTAATGGATGAGAAAGAGTTAACCTATCAATCTACAAAGAGAGATAGCCGTGGTTGATTAAAAACTACTAATGTGTGACAGACATTGTGCTTGGTGCTTTATACACATTCTTTTTTTTTTTTTTGAGACGGAGTCTCGCTCTGTCGCCCAGGCCAGACTGCGGACTGCAGTGGCGCAATCTCGGCTCACTGCAAGCTCCGCTTCCCGGGTTCACGCCATTCTCCTGCCTCAGCCTCCCGAGTAGCTGGGATTACAGGCGTGAGCCACCGCACCCGGCCGCTTTATACACATTCTTATTCAATCTTCTCAACAACTTCAAGAGGTTGAAGGTATTTCCCTCATTTTACACATGCAAGCTGAGGCATAGAAAGTTTTAAGTAACTTGCTTAGGGTTACCCGCAAGTTAAGACGCGAAGTGTGATGGGAACTAGAATCTACCTAGAAACCATGGTGCTGCAACCATTTTTCCTGTCCTGCTTCTCAAAAATATAGCACACACAAAGCATTTGGGACACAGGAAACTCTGGGAATCAAACTGCCTGAGTTCTTACCCCGCCTCCACTACTCACTGGCTGCATGAACTTGGACAAGTTATTTAATTTCTGGTTTAATCATCTATAAAAACAAGCACAATAACACCCACCTAATCGGTTACTGAAAGGATTAAATGAGATAACGAATGAAAAGCAATTAGGGTAGAATCTGACACACGGCTGGGGCAGTGCTGTCCAGCAGAAATATAACGCGAGTCATGTACGTGATTTTAAATGTTCTAGGAGCCATCATGATTTAAAAAGTAAACAAAGATGAAAAATTAATTTACATATTTAAACAAATACACTCAAAACATCATTTCAACATGTAATCATTATAAAAATTATTAATGAGATATTACTCCTTATGCGCTATCTCTGAAACCCAATATGTATCTCCCATCTGCACCATTTCTTAGTTCGGGCTAGAGGCTACCGTACCGCACAGCGCAGATCCAGTGGCGGTTATAATTTTGAGGACCCGGCAACCGACCCAACGTTCCATATTTGTCCAGAATCCCTGAGGGCGGCGAGGTGGTCCAGCGGAAGATAAGACCGGCTCGGAACCCAGTGTATAAGACCCCAGGGTTCCGGGGAAGGAGATGTTTCAGCTAAAGGCCTCGGCCGAGACCCCGGCCCCTAGCTTTCTTTAGGGCCTGTTCGACTCTCCCCACTGCCGCTCTCCACACCCACCTCCCACCAGGCCCCTTGCCCCTACCTCTCACGCTAGTCCCCTGCTGCCGCAGCCAGCGGCTCCTAATGGGAGCTCAGGGCGTCCACATTGAGGACGCTAACTCCACAGTCGCCGGCCCATTCGCTCAGCTAGCTCTCGAGTAAGCGCCTGGGATATTTGAATGCAGTTCCCGCGAGAAGTCCCACGTCTCACGAGACGTCCGCCCAAGCCGCGCGGAAAGGAAAAACCAAGAGAAACGCCCAATGGAGCGCCCACCCCCTCCTACAGCTACTGCGCATGTGCAAGTGGCGCGCCGTGGGCTTGGCGCAGGCGCAGGCGCAGACGTGGCTCCACATAAATTTTTCCTTGGGCTGGTTTCCTGCATGTCTTTTAAGTATTTGCTTTTAGTTTCCGTGTTTTGGTGTTTTGTTTGTTCGTTTTTTTTTTTTTTTTGTTTTTACGACAATGCCTTCTAGGGGAACAGTGTCGCTGGGCTGGGCGGTGGAGAGACACCTTTGGCACCATCGTGCGATCTCATGCACCCTACCAGTGGTAATACTGGCGTTAATATTTAAGTTCCCACCATGTGTTAAAGTTTACAGATTATCTCAGTTAAGCCCGCAGCCTTATGAGGCAGATATTACTCCTCGTTTTCTACAGAGAAAAAGCCCGAAGAAAAAAAGTGCCTTGTCCAAGTGGTAGAACTAGAATTGAATGCAGTCTTAGAGTCCAAGCTGTTTGCATGTGTTTTTAATAATAATATTTTGTAACCCTGATGCCTATTCAAAAATTGAAGCGATCAGAAATAATAATAGATAACATTTAATGAGCACTGATGAGTCCTAGTAACTGTTACATGAATCATGTCGTTCTTTCGAGCCCATCTTTTCTTGCCTATTTGAGAACTTGGCTCTAACTGCTCTTTTTTGCATCTTCAGTTTTTTCTTCTCTATTGGATCTTCCCTATCAGTTCATAAACATGCTGCAGTGATTGCCATAAAATCATTTCATGATTTCATTTTTTAAAAAATCCTCCTTGACACCAATCGGCAACCACCCCATTTGTTTTCTTCTCTTTATAACAAAATTTCTGGGGAAAAAAAATCTTTACATCCATTATCTCCATTTTCTTACCTTTTGTTCTTTTGTTTGTTTTTCCCACTTTAACCAGGATTTGGTCCCAACCAATACTATGAAGTGGCTCTTGTTAGGTTTACCAGTGATTCCTACCTTGCAAAATTCGGTAGTCAATATTTAGTCCTCACTTCTGGTGAAATTTGACAGAGTTGCTTGCTCTCATTGATTTGAGTCTTTATGTCTTGGGATGCCACACTCTCCTTGCCCTCTTCTTCTCAGTTTCTTTTGCAGACTACAATTTCTGCCTGAGCTAAGCCAGACTCAAAGGGTTGATCTGAGCTTTAAGATTGGCAACAAATTGCTCACAGTGTTGTCTCACAGATTTATCTGGGACTCCAATGAACCAGATGCTCATTCATTTGTAATCACACCTATGTTCTTGGAGAAATGAAACAAATACCATTTTCCCTATCACTGAACAAAGATTCCTTAACTCAGGGGCCAGGAAAAGATTGTTCTAGCTTAGGCCAATCATGACTGGCTGCAATTAGGTAATCTAAAATCGATCTGAACTTATTTTTTCTCCTTTGTTACAAGAGAAGGTATACCCTATGTTATTAATGTTTCTTCCTATTCTATTTTAAAAATATGTATTTTAAACTATTAATTGAGTGACTGCAATGTGTTAGGCATAGTGGAGGAATTCAGAGATGTGGTAAACTCGACTATTGCCTAGAAGATGCTCGCAATATAGTAGGAGATTTTAAAAAACAAATAGAACTTACAGGGCTGTAAATGCTATGCAAGTGGTATGTGCCCCACACTAAAGGAGTTGTGTGAAGGGAGAGGTATATTTTGTCTAAATGTTCCTTTAAAACTTCCCAGTGCATGTGACACTTCAAGCAGGGCCTTGAAGGATGGCAGAGCTAAGGAGGGGTGCATTCTAGGGGAGGGGACAGCATTAGGAAAGTCTTAGAGGTTACCCCATGTCATAATAAAGGTCATTCTTTAGGGATGGCCTGAATACAGGACTGCCAATACCACCACTGGACGCTAGATGTCACAAGTGAAATGAATTCTAGATGGGTTCTACTTTTAAGATAACTTAATGGAACTTCTGATTCACAATACCAGATGCAGATCTCCGTACTCAGGCAAGGTCCGCATACCATGGCCTAAATACCAAAGGTCAGGAAAAAGCAAAAAACAGCAACCTTGTATCTGTTATTTTCCATTTACGTAAGGAGAGATGGGACTTGGCCTCCTCACACAGTAGTGGATTCACCAAGCATAGGATGGGAGTTCAGATTCTGGGAAACAACACCCACCTCCCAACTCTGTGGCCCTCAGTTACAATTCCTAATATTATAGCTGTTCAGAACTGGGATAGACTCCTGTAGTGAACTTGTCATCATTTCTTCATTGTGACTGTTCTAGACGAAACGAGAGGATTAGACTGTTACGTTATATTGAAAGCTGCATATATTTTGACAGGAACTTATTGAATGATCATTTGTTTTGGGCATTACAAATGAATAGTCTCTGTATTAAACGAACTTAGAGTTTAGTGGAAGAGACATTTACCAAACAATAAACAGTAAATCCTTACTTAGAGGATGACTTAGACTTTCTTGTTCCTTCATGTTATTAAGTAGAGCTGCAAGCTAGTCATCGCTGGGATCAAGCAAAAACAAGCTCAGGACTCTGAGACACAGAGTCTGCAAATAAGAATGAGATTAAGCTGTAGAGTGCTGTGATTTATAGGATGGGCTGGAATATGAAGTTACGAAAGTTACACTCAAGGTTGTGGTCACTGAAACTTGGGGGATGGCCGAGATGAAGAAAAAAAGCTTTGAGAGAGAACGGAGGGGTGTGTGCAGGACTTTTGGGATTGTCCTAATCCATGGCACAGGAGGAGAATAAGGATCCAACAAGAAAAACAGGAGCCATATGAGAAGAGATCAGGAAATTGAATTGTCACAACTTCCACTGTGATAATTAGATATCAGAATGAATCATTGTACCAGGCAGGTGGGTTTGACTGTTTAATAGTAATAATGATAATGAAACCCAGTCTGCGATCTCTCCTGTATCAACAATGTATAGCATCAGCTTGAACTCTGAATGAGCCTAATAGCTATACTATTTTTTCTTTAAATAGGGGGAATCTTCTCTCAGAGAAAGAGTGCACCATCCCAATATAGTAGACATTTAACAGCTAACATCCTAGCATGAATTCCTTCCTCCTATTCCCACCAAGAGAATTCTGATTATTCTTTTGTATAATTTCTATTTTCTCAATTTTCAGCCATATGAATTCTTTAAAACTGATGCTACCTTTCATCTCTAGGATATCCCGTCACCCTGGTTACAGTAATTGATTCAAAGATGTGCATGTGATGGAATCTAAGCCAAAGAGATTTTTCACTGGGACAGCTGGAAAAATGGATTTTGTTAACTGCCTCTGTTATAGTCTGAATTGTGTCCTCACCTCCATTGCCCCCCACCCCATATTCATATGTTGAAACCCTAATTCCCAATGTGACTGTATTTGGAGACAGGGCCCTTTAGGTTAAATGAGGTCACAAGGGTGAGGCCTTAATTGATAGGGCTACTGTCCTTATAAGAAGAGGAAGAGACATCAGAGATAGATCCCCTTCCTCTTTATCTCTCCCTCTCTTTTCCCCACTACTCCCAAGTGCGCACAGCGAGAAGGAGGCTGTCTGCAACCCAGGGAGAGAGACTTCACCAGAAACCAACCTTAGTCTTGGACTCCCAGCCTCCAGAACTGTGAGAAAATGTCTGTTATTTAAGCCACCCAATCTGTGGTATTTTGTTACAGTTGCCTGAGCAGATTAATACACCCTCTGTACTTAAACTTTATAACCCAGAGCTTCCAGCTGACAACTTGGGTTCATGAAAGACAAATCTGCTTGGAAGAGAGGGAGCAAAGAGTTCTGGTCATGCCATTTGAGCCCTGCATCAAGCCTCTCATGAAGCTAGAGCTGTCCCTGGACTGTTCAGTTTTTGCTCAAACCACACAGCTTCACTTTGAGTTTTCTGTTTTCTGTTGTTTGCAACATAAAGGTTTTTTGTTGTTGTTTGTTTGTTTTGAGATGGTGTCTTACTCTGTCACCCAAGCTAGAATGCAGTAGTGCGATTTCGGCTCACTACAACCTCTGCCTCCCGGGTTCAAACGATTCTCCTGCCTCAGCCTCCCAAGTAGCTGGGATTACAAGTGTCCCCCACCACGCCTGGCTAATTTTTGTATTTTTAGTAGAGATGGGGTTTTGCCATTTTGGCTAGGCTGGTCTCGAACTCCTGACCTCAAGTGATCTGCCTGCCTTGGCCTCCCAAAGTGCTGGAATTACAGGCGTGAGCCACCGTGGCCAGCCAGCAATGTAAAGGGTTTTAACCAATACACATAGCAATACTTGTGTCTGATCTTGAGTAGACTAACATGTGATGTTTAACCTGTCAAGTTCCCATTCTACACTTAGGCTAAAATGGAAAGTTGCTAATTTCCAGAGACTGGATCTGGCTTCTTTGAGAAAAATGTCTCAGTTGAATGAAAAGAAAACTTATACTAAATAAAAGGGCTTAATCGTTTGTGGAGGAAAATAAAGATTCAAACAGCTTATGTGGAATCCCTTCCTTTGTTCCACTTCAGATTACCGCCACACCTCTAACTAACTTCTTCAGGTGATTTTAGCACCTAAGCCAGTTAGAATTAAGACTGCATGTTTCTATCAGTTATAGTTTTTACTTGCTAAGAAGTGTACTCACTCTGGTTAGTTTAAGATATACATGATATTAAAAACGAGAGTCCTAACTTTTGCAACCATTTAAAAGACTGTAGTTGTTATGGATTCCTCCTTTCTAGCACTCATTACATATCCCTTATATTTTTTGACAGTCCCTCCACTACTTGGAGGCTCTTTATCCAGTAAAGCAACCCAAAACTTCACTGTCCAATAAAACATATTCATTAGCCATGATTTACATTGCTCACCATTTTGTTGGCCCAAATTTATTTGGCCCAAGTCACAGAGGGATAGGATAAAACTTGGGGTCATTTTCTGTCTCTGAGGGCTTGAAACTGTGACACCATACTTTTCTGTTTGTATCTCAATTCAGTTGAAAGAAATGGTTGCTGATATCATAATGTTTAGGTTAATGTATTTTATTTCTAGATCAACCCTTTGAGTCTGGCTTAGCTCAGGCAGAAATTGTAGTCTGCAAAAGAAACTGAGAAGAAGAGGGCAAGGAGAGTGTGGCATCCCAAGACATAAAGACTCAAATCAATGAGAGCAAGCAACTCTGTCAAATTTCACCAGAAGTGAGGACTAAATATTGACTACCGAATTTTGCAAGGTAGGAATCACTGGTAAACCTAACAAGAGCCACTTCATAGTATTGGTTGGGACCAAATCCTGGTTAAAGTGGGAAAAACAAACAAAAGAACAAAAGGTAAGAAAATGGAGATAATGGATGTAAAGATTTTTTTTCCCCAGAAATTTTGTTATAAAGAGAAAATCCATTTGGGATTGCCCAGTGCACACAGTAGACATGGAAATTGATGATCAGCATCCCCAGGTAAGCAACTGGATATACCTCTTCAGAAATACCAGCCCAAAACCCACCTCCTGCCTGTTGCCACTAGGTGACAATCTTTGCAAATATTTTGTTTGAAGGAAGCCTCTTTCTGTAACAGAAATTAGATTCTGTTGGGAAATGTTTCTTTGCTAGTTTCAGTTAGATTTGCCAAGTGCACATATTTGTTATAATCTGTGCTCTTAGTCATTTGAGATTATAGTTATTTCTCATCTGGAACACTCTTTTCCTCCCTTTATTTAATTCACTCGTCTCATCCTGTTCTCTGGAGAGGTACTATAACTAATAGTTAAGCATACAATACATGTTCTGGAGTCAGCATCTGGGTTTAACTGCAGGCTGTGTTACTTCCTAGATGTGTCTACCTTTGACAAGCCACTTGCTCTTTTTGAGTCTCAGTTTCCCCATGCACAAAGTGGCAAAATCAAAGTATCTAATTCAATAGATCATCACTAACACTTTTAAAGCACCTTTAGCATAATGTCAGTAAATGGGAGCTGTTATTATTAAGAGTGCTGTCTTAGCTTAAATGTCACTCCCTCCAGGACTCTTTTTCTGAGTCCCTAGTCTAGGGCACGTCCCTTATATACAATTCCTAACACCCTGTGCTTCTCCTTCAGGCCACTTATAATAGCTTGTAGTAATTTGTGTAATTTATGTCTGCCTCCCTCGCTAAGCTGTATCTCCCAGCAAGTACCATAGTGCCTGAAACATGCCAAGGGCTAAAGTTAAGTTTGATGAATGAATGAAAAAATGCATACTCAAATCACTAGTATAAAATGAAATTCATTGATTTAAGTGGGAAATCTATGAACTCTTTTATATCTGTTAGAGATTAAAGTAACTTGTAGAAGAATTGTTATTCTTAATTCTGAGTGAAAAGCGCTGAGCATTTATTAATCAGTTTACGTGAAATCAAACTGAGTATACCAGTATACCAAATAACTAGTTTGGGATATTTGACACCCTCTGCAAGTTTAATTGCTTCATTCACTTATGACAATGTAGGTTTTCCTCACTTGAACAAGTATTTTTTCACCAAGAATTTATTTATTGATGTAGTATCTGTAATTCAAGCATTTTTAAATGTACTTGGGAATGTGCTGTGTAAAATAATTGAAGAGGCCTGGAAAGTAAAGAATGCTTGGCTGAAGTAAATGTTCACTTTTGTGTAAATACTCAATTTCACGTATTAAGTTATCTTAAAGCAAGAGCTACCCTTGATGAACTTAAAGCTTTAAAACATATATTTCCTAATATTTTATCATGTTATAGACAGATTTTATGTGTATCCTTCAAAACAAATCTGGCCCATGTTGTCATATTAATATTTCAAACTAGAAAATATTAAAAACATTGTATAATTTCAGGAATCTTTAAAGTCCTTTAGTTATGAAATGATCAACTGAGCAAGTAAGAAAGTTCAAAAGTACAGTCACGAGAAATGTTAGGTGTTTGTTTTTAAAAAATAATTTTATGTTTCCAAAGTTTTCTCAAAATATGAAGAATGAGAAGGTTTTGTGGACTTGAAATACCCTAGACAGACAGCAAAATCTCCTTTTCTTCCTACCATGGTGATAAAACCTGAGGTGGCCCTGACAGTAGATGTGTTCCTTTCTTTGTATTAATCGTTGCTTTTCTGGTCTGTTTACCTCTCCACTGCCTGGCAAGATGCTGGGACTCTGGCTTCATCACAAACGAATCCCATCAACTCACCCATGACATACTACACACTGCTAGCAGTATTTGGCCACTTTTGATAAATTGTTTAGTCGTGTGAAATACTTCCCTAAACTGAAGTTCTGGAACTCATCAGGTGTCTTCTCTGACAGTCATATCTTTCTTTGGCTCTCAGATTACCCAAGCAGCTGGGGTAAAGCCCATATCCTCCCACAAAGCATGCTTCTTTGGAAAGTCATATCTATTGGCTTTGGCACTCAAGTAATGTTCTTGCATTCTCTGTCAAGTCAGGGATGAATAATCTCTTGAGGGTGAGTAACGTTTTAAATGTTGGAGGGATCAGTGTGCATTTAGCAATTTGTAAGAAAGGTCAGCATCCCTTATGACCACATTTGCATTAGCAAGGCACAGATTATTCTTCTCCTTCTTTGACTTAGTCTGGAGGTTGGCATCACACTCTTCTCATGTCAATCCATCAGTTTGTGCAATCTTGATATACAAATGAAGTATGGCCTCCGAGTTCCATGGGTGTGTAATCGTTATCATTATATATGACTGAAAGCAGGAGTTGTAGAAGGGTCTTGGGTGACTGTCGTTCTCCCATCTATAAAACTCCTGGCAAAGGGATTAATACGCATCCTATAAAGAGAGCCAGAGTTAAGTTCCTGAAAACAACATCCCATTAATAAGGTTTAAATCTTGAAGTCAACATGGGAAAAATAGGTTTAAAAAGTAATATCTAATTTATTTTTCAATATGGTTGGAAGGTCAGATTTCATTCCTACTCCCACGAAAGTAATTAGAGCTGCTCTCTTCTTAAGAAACAGAGGTATATTAGGGTCACACAGTGTTTTCCACACTTTGTTCTGTATTAGAAAAGCCTGAGGAACTTTCACAAATCCTGATGCCCAGGCTGTACCTAGCACTAATTAAACCGAAATGTCTGGGGTAGGTGCCAGGTGTCAGTGATTTTCAAAAACCTTGGGTGAATCCAATCTGCAGCAAAGTTTAGGAACCTTGAGTTGAAATAGTCATACATTCTCTACCACACTTCAGCTTTTCTTCATTGCCTCTTTAGCTCAGTGCATCTTAACCTGACTGCTCTTTAGAATTAGGGAGCATCTTTAAAAAATTCCATTCTGATTCATTAGGTCTAGGGAAGGGTGCACTCATCAGAAACATTCAGCTTTCCCTAGTGACTAGCGTGCAGCCAGGGTGTAGAATCTCTGGACTAGCCGATCACATAAAGAGGCACATAAGGTGGATCTTTTGGCATTTTTCTGGCAGTTAAGAGCTTCATACATTTTAAAAATTCCCCTTCACTAGCTTTGTTGAATGAATTTTCTTCTTCAATGCACTAGGCTGTAAAGTCCAACCATCTTTCTGAATCTGTTCATAGCAGGGTTACCTGATAAAATACAGGATACCCAGTTAAATTTGATTTCAACTAAATGGATATTTTTAGTATAAGTATGCCTATGTGATATTTGGGATTATAATAAAAATTATTTACTATTATTGGAAACTCAAATTTAACTCGCACCTTGCAATTTTATTTGCTACATCTGGCAACACTAAAGGTGGGAGAGCATGGCTTATTCTTGGGAAAGTCAGCAGCTGAATTCGGGTTGAGGCGAGCACCATCCCTTGAAACTTCAGGGTTTGTGGCCTTTTAGCACTTACTTTCTTGCTGTGAAGGTGGTAAATAAAGAGCCACCAGCAGTATGGGAATTAAAATACTTCTAAAATCCCCCAGTGAGCCAAGAAGACCGAGGAGGTTTACTGTGCAAGAACTAGGATGTGGATAAAGGTGAAGACCTGAATCTGAGTATAGGTTTTGGTTCCAGGAACCCCAGCTCTGTACTCTCTAAGGGATCACTATTTTGCCACTTTGAACTTTTTTGATGATTTCAAGTGCCTCAGACTTGCTCCCATATTCCCCAACCCCCTTCACATTTTTTTTTTACACGTTATTCTTCTTAATCTATCTGAATATCAAATGCTTGCTGCCTTGGCTGAAATTGAGATAGTTTCCAGGTGGAACTGCTCTCATAACTCAGTGAGTCTGAACTAATGGAAACTTTGGAAGTCCTTTGCAGTGTTGTAAGAACCCCCTAATCTCAGGAGGCTTCCCAAGCAGTCTGGATGCTTTTCTGCCTCAGTCTCTAAGGACTGTTCACTACTAGCTGATTCCTGAAATTTCCTTCCTTCCTACCATCCCAAATAGACTTTGAACTGTAAATAAAAGTCGTGGGTGGGTGTATTTCTTAGCCAACAGCAGGTTCTCTACAAAGGGAAAAGGAGTGAGATTTCACGATAATTCCCAGAAAGCAGGTGTTATAATGATTTTACCAAATTGGAGCCTGACGTTTTGATGAATAACTCTTGAGAACCCCTCATAATTTCCCCCGTGGAGGAGATAGGCAAACAGGTAATATGTCAAATCCCCCTTTGCTGGTCCAAGTTTACTAATGGACGGAGGTGAAACAGGTGAAGCACATTAACTTTTAACCTGTTAACATTGATTTTTTTCACTAAGCATTAGCTACTTAAGAGAGAAATGCGCACTGGCAGAAAGGAGACAAGACAAAGGGTGATACAAAGGGGCTGGAAACTGGTCTGCATCTTGGAACATATTTGCAAGCCAGCTGGGCCCACTTTGCACAGATGTTTTTATAGGAACAAGAAGGAGGGAAAAGTGTGCTAGTGTTGGATGCATTAGCACAGCAGTGGAATATCTTTGTTAGCATTGTTCCTCCTTTCTCACTGTGGCTGGACGAGGATGGGGACTTGGTCAGAGGCTTTGGGATAATTTTATTGCCCAACCTTAATTAAAGGAAATTACATACATTGATAATAAGGCTTTTTACCAAGTTCATTTAAAAATGGTTAGTTTGTATTTGTAGGATGTCAACTCTGAAAAGCAAAGAATTGCAAGTTTATTTGCCTGTGGGTAAAACAATCCAATCATCACTAGCTATTTGGAGAAAATATATTCAAAATTTATCTCCTTAGGCATAAATGTTGTGGTTGTTTTATTACAATATAGGTTTACTCTTCCCCTCCACAGATGATTGGTTTGGTCTTCCACTGTTTGGTGTTTCAGTTGCATGTCTATGTGATTAAGGAGGTTGTCTGTAAGAAGGTTGCTTCTCTGTCTCTCTTCTTCCAGAAAATGGAAGAAGTCAGTTTTTCAGTATAAGTTGTAGGTTTGCAAATTAGTGGCCCACCATTGTGCTGTTTGGCCCACACACAGTGCAGAAGAAAAAAAAAATATTTGATTTAAAGCTGGAAACTTGGGAATTTACACACACACACACACACACACACACACACACACACACACATACACACACACACAATGTGGATTTCCAGTGTATTTTGAAAAATCAGATTTGGCTATTTTGTGTCCATACTCCTCATGTCAACAATCCACCAGTTCCTTGGATCTTATACTGGGTATGCTTTTTCCAGTTCACCAAGGCCTGTCACTTTATCATCGGCTTTTCTCAAAAGGGCCAGATATAAGAAGACATTTATATTACCTGTGTGTATGATTCCTGTATGCATTTGAATTTGCCATCCATGCCATGAGGCAAGATTCAATTATATTATCACTCCAATGTCCTCCAATCTGATTATAGGATTCTTCTCCTTTATACAAATGAAGTTCTTAATATTGCAATAGACTATCTGATACTCTGCTTGAGGAAAAATTTGTGTGGTAGCTCTAAAAGTCATTTTTGTCATATTTCAATTTAGTCTGCTTAGCATATGAATAAATTTATGACTAACATAATAACTCTTAAGTTGGTTTACTTCTTTGTGTTCTTACTGATGAAGAATTAAAGTATCATCTGGATAAGCTCATCTAGAAGGAAAAATAAAATTAGTAATTTGAATATTTAGAAGTGATTGCCTATACAGGTAAAATATAGCAAAGAGGTGCTTAACTGTTGACTCTGCTTCAACTGATATCAGACAACTTTAACGCTAGAAGGGACCTTAGGAATAAAATCTGGCCACTTCATTCTGCAGATAAAACTGAACTTAATAGAGGTAAAGTGATTTATTCTTTTTTTTTTTTTTTTTGAGACAGAGTCTTGCTCTGCCACCCAGGCTGGAGTGCAGTGGTATGATCTTGGGTCACTGCAACCTCTGCCTCTTGGGTTCAAGAGATTCTCCTGCTTCAGCCTCCTGAGTAGTTGGGATTGCAGGTGCCCGCCGCCACGCCTGGCTAATTTTTGTATTTTAAGTAGAGACAGTGTTTCACAATGTTGGCCAGGCTGGTCTTGAACTTCTGACCTCAAGTGATCCACCTGCCTCGTTCTCCCAAAGTGCTGGGATTACAGGCATGAGCCACCGCATCCAGTCAAGTAATTTATTCTTGATCACACTATGGGTTAGTGTCAGAGCTGGGGCCCAAATGATATCTCTTTCGACTTTAACCAAGGCCAATTATATTTTAATTACCCTTAATTGCCTGTAATTACATAGATACTGGTTTAGGTTTATTTCTTAGTTTTCATTGTTCTTTATTGTTTATTACAATAAGCATTATTTACAGTGAAAATTATAATGTCATAATTCTATAATTATAAGTATCAGAATTGTGATGAAATTCTAAATTATTTCAAAGGCACTTTTCTTGAAAATATGAAGATGACCCTTAATAATGAAAAATTTATATTTTAAGAAAGGCTTCCAGACGACAGGCAATGCTAACAGTAGTTGTCTTTGCATGTCTTTAGATGGCTTCCTCTGCTTCTTTGCTTTTATTATCTGTATGTACACATTTCCCATAATGAATCCACATCACTTTTAGAATTACTGGAATTTTTAAGCAGCTATGCAAAAGAAACAAAAGCAAATCCAGTCTGATAAAGACATGAAACATTTTTATGAAATTAAAATGTTCTCACACCTCATTCATTCCTATGAGTGGGATATAAAGACCATTTCCCGTGACTTAAATATGCACACGCAAAGAAAAACGATTCGACAGTTTCCCACAGTGAGAGAAAAATGTCTGGCGGCTGTGATTGCAAGGGGGCATGTGCTGAGAGCTGTGACCTAGAGTGCATTCCAGGCTGAGTAGCACCAACTTTAAAATTAAAAACTCAGCAGTTCCAACTCTCTCAACTATGATCCCTTCATAGTATCTGGCTGATATTCTGGTATAGACTTTTGGTTTCTCTGAAATTCTGAAAGCTAAAGAGAATTCAAATTTTGATTTACCTTTGCCTGGTTTGAAGGAACTTAAAGATAGGAAAGTTAGCACCCGCAATCCAACCTCTTTCCCAAAGGCGACAGCTGTGTGGTTTCCAGGGCAAGAGTTTACTTGGATGGCGAGAGAAAATACTTCTTGATAAATAATGTGTTTTTATGACTCCTGTTTCTGGGAAACCTGATACATACAATGCACCTACAAGTATTTGAGGTCAAGTTTCAACTGTGTTTTTATTAAATATTTGACTGTTTTGTGTGTGTGATTGTAATTGACTGAGTTTGAAACCTGAGTGATTAAGGAGCTTGTCTGTAAGAAGGTTGCTTCTCTATCTCTCTTCTTCTTTTTTTCTCTTCTTTCTCTCTCTCTATCTCTCCTTCTATATTTTTATATAATGTTAAGTTTTGTAATTAGCTGATTCTGCTTTCTCATGCTCCTTAATTTTGATTTCTTAGAAAGATGAAGCATTGGAAAGCACTGCATAGCTCCATGTTATCAATCAATTAATGTCTTCAGTCCTTTAATGTCCTCTGGACAGCTGGGATGCTTGGGAGAAGACTGTTGACAAGTCTTGTACGTGTGGAAGACACCATTTTACTTACTTTCCCTTTATTATGGAAGGAACACAAGCCTATCTTACAAAAAGATACATAGGACCCCGGAAGAACGATTTTTATTCTGAATCTCAATAAAATATTCTGTCACTTTGCTTTGTATCAGTAACTAACTCTTAGAGCAAACGTTCTCTTTTTAAGTTTTGGTATGTTTCTAAATAAGTCATGAATCCATTCACACACACACACCCACACACACACACACGCACACACTTCGACTCTGCATCTATAGACCTCTCCGTTGCAGTTGGGATGTGGTGTTGCTGCTGATGGGGTTGGACAAAGGATCCTTTCAGGCAATGCCTAGTGCTATTTCGTATAACATGGGAGTGAAATCCCTCCACTCTGATTTTCCTGCTGAGTATTTTGGTACATTGTCTCTCTTACTTCCTCAGAGTCGGGAGTGACAAGCTACAGCCTCAGGCTGGAGTGGCTGAGGCTCTAACACATAGACAGGAGAGCATTTAGGAGTAGCACAGAGTATCTTCACTCTGAAGGAAGAGTAAATGAAAAATCCCAAGCTGCTCCCAGTTGGTTCTTCTTAGGTCATTCCTGGAAACAAACTTTGATAGCCCAAACTCCCACTTCATGAATCTTCTTGCTTTTCCTCCTACAATGATGATTCTCACCTACAATTCTCACCCTGAACGAAAACGCGCTTGCACTTGCAGATGTTGGTAAGGACAATTCCAAAGGAGAGCTTTACCACAAGATTTAACTTCTTTGGAGAGTCTTAAAAATAATTTTTCAACTAGTTGTTCATTTAAAATGCTACTTAATTTGTAGAACAAGTGAACCTTTCAAATTACCTTACAGTTTATAAAGCACTTACAGATATATTATATATTTAGTAGAAGAAAATAGAGGTGTTCCACCTATGGGAAGTGGGCTGTGGGCCACTTAGTCAGATCCCTACTGACTAAGTGAGCCACTAAGTGGGCCCCTAAGTGGGCCACTTAGTCAGATCCCTACTGAGTGTGCAGTATTAATGTGCAATGTGCAAATTTGGGAAGGGAAATTCAGACAGGCAGTATAGCGAAGGAAAATGACGTGGGAAGCACCAGCTCTGAAAGTCCCAGCCTAGCACCGTGGAGTGGGAGGTCCTGCTGCTGGAGCCATACAGAGCTTGATTCTAATCTCAGCTTTGCTCCTCATAGGGTGGAGGCTTTGAAGCCACATTTCTTGGATCCAAATCAGGCTTTCACTACTTATTTTGTAAACTTGGTCAGCTTTCTGGTGTTTCTTATCTTAGGAATGGAGACAATAATACTACCTGATGCGTAGTATCGTGAGGACTAAATGAGATATGATGTACAATGTTGGGAAGGCGCTGGTGCATTTTATGTCTTCAGTAAATATTAGCTATTATTCTATGAGTGACCTTAGAAATGACCAGTCACATGACTGCCCCCTATTCACTGTCCACACATGTAAAAGGGGAAAAGATAATTGTTACAAGGATTCATAGAGAGCATGTGTTTTGTTAATTTAATTTTAACCTTTTAATTTAAAAAATTACAAATGCATGCAAAAGTAAAAAGACTAATGTAAATAACCCTCATGTGCCCATCATCAAGCTTCAACAATGATCACTTTTTGCCATTTTTCTTTCAATTATTTTCCCACCAGTTTTTGTTTCTGGGATGTTTTCAAGCAAATCACAGATAACATTATTTTAACTATGAATTCTTCAGCATGTAGCTGTGGAAGATTGTTTTCAAGATGACCGCAGTGATTCTTCCATGAGCAGCCCCTTTGCAGTGTGACTTTGCAGCTCATCCCATGAGGAAGTAGTCTGTTTCTCAACAACTTTGAATCTGGGTTGGCCTTGTAATGCACCTTGACTAATGAATGTGGCAAAAATAATGTGGGATTCTAAACCCATGCCTTGTAATTCCTAGGCAAAAGAATCGTCTAGCTGAACCTAATCCATGTTGCTGACATTACCAATTCATAAGTAAATAACACCACTAAATTTTGAGTGGTTTACCGTGCAGTGACAGCTAGCTAACATAGTAATGTGTTTTTTAAAATCCCTAACCTGGATCTTTATATATAACGAACATGAAACTTTTAGCTTCCTGTCCAAAGGACTGAACTCACAAGGCATGAGACATTTTATAACCCTGAGGGTGAGTGTCAGTAGCTGGGGTTTGTGTGGAAGTAGTATTCCATGACATTCATTCTAACCAAGAGCCTTCTGTGGCTGAATTATATATTCCAGCTCAAGTTCTAAAGGATACTGATCCTTGGTCTAAGATGATAGTTCCTAAGCTTTACTGGGTTACAGTCTCCTTTGAGAATCTGATGAAATCTATAAGAATTCTTCCCAGAAAAAATAATGTACATGTACACAGCCCCCTTGCTACACACACACACACACACACACACACGCACACACAGATCTCTATCTACCTATAGATTGTGTGTGTGTGTGTGTGTGTGTGTGAGAGAGAGAGAGAGAGAGAGAGAGAGAGAGAGAGAGGCTTGCTTATATCATAGGGTTTATGGACTAGCCAGTGCATGGATACCAGTTAAGAAACTCTACTGGGTGCTGTGGCTCAAGCCTATAATCCCAGCTACTTGGGAGGCTTAGGTGGGAGGATCACTTGAGCCCAGGGGTTCAAGACCAGCCTGGGCAACATAGCAAGACCCCTTTCCTTAAAAGAAAATTTTTTAATTGGCTGGGTGTGGTGGTGCATGCCTGTAGTCCCGGCTACTTAGGAGGCTGAGGCAGGAGGATTGCTTGGGTCCAGGAGTTCAAGGCTGCAGTGAGCTATGATTGTGGCACTGCACTCCATGTACTCCAGCCTGGGCCACAGAGCAAGACCGTCTCTTAAAAAAAAAAGGAGAAGAAGAGAGGGAGGAGGATGAAGAAAGCAGAAGAAGATGAAGAGGAAGAAGGAGAAGGAAGAGGAAGTAGGAGGAGGAGAAGAAGAAAGAGGAAAGAAGAAGAAAGAAGGAAGAAGTAGGAGGAGGAGAAGAAGAAGGGAAGAAGAAGAAACAAGGAAGTAGAAGAGGAAGAGGAGGAGGAGAGGGAGTGGGAGGAGGAGGGGAGGAAAGGGAAGGAGAAGGAGGAGAATAAACTCTGGTCTTACTTGAGCAGACCTCTACTTGTATACCCAAAATTGCATACTCAACTCTAACTGCCAAATAATCTGTTTGCCAGATATTTATTTCCATTGCTGTTGCTGTTGCAGCTACTTCTGAAAGAGGAGTAACTGTTGGTATGGGTTTCTGGCTGCATTTTAGGTTTAGGGTCTAAAACCTCCTTGAGCAGTGCTTGGTTTAACCAGATTTGGTTCAGGGTCTTTTGAAGCTCTGGGTTCATTCTTCCACCTCCCACCCCTTGACCTTCATTTAACCCAAGCATTGAGCAATATAATGCTCAGGAAGTTAGTTGGCAGCTGCCAGCAGGACCTCCGCAGCTGTACCTTACCATGCTACTGGCGCTGTCCAATGTGCTGGATCCTTCCACCATGTCTTGGCCTGTGTGCTTCTTGAAGATTTCAGTTGATAATTTATTGGCATAGGTAGGCTGTAAATATTGCCTTGGTTCATATTTTATCACTGCTTGATTGCTGTCTAGGCTCTTTATTTACCACACATTAGTTTGTTCATGGTCCTATTGATGGAGAAGGCTAGCCCTTTGGCCACTGAGTCTATACCTTGCTAATACCCCATAGGGCCAGAGGTCTCCAGGAATAGGTGAAGGTGGAAGGAAGCAAGAATATGTTGAGGACAAGAGAGGCAGCCCCAAACTCAGGTGAACTGAGAAGTTGGAATGCCTCTAAGATTGATATTAAAGTAACTTTATTGTTCAAAAAAAGAGACAAATGAAAGTCATAGATTATTAATAAACCTACAGTAGTACCCACCCCACATCACTGTCTTTCCTCTTACTTTGCTTTAGTCTTTGTAATAGCACTTACCACCTTGCATAACAATGCATGTTTTTGTTGTTGTTTGACTTCCTTCATTATAATGTAAGCCCTATTAGACCATGGGCTTAATTCACTGTTCCATCTCCAGAACAGTGGCTGGCACATTGTAGGTGCTCAGTAATTATTTTAATTACTCTTTGAACAAATGGATGAACAATCGAATGAACTGAAGGTACTAAATGGGTATTTTCCAAAGTTTTTTTTTCAAAATTTGTGCATGTAAGAATCTCCTAGAAAGGGCCTTTACAAGATGGAGCTATCTGGGATATATCTTTAAAGACTCATCTTTAGTGTCTGGAGGATTAAATTCCAGAATTGGATATTTAAGCTCTTTGAGTGATGCTGAGGCAAGTGGTCCTAGGAAAGTTGAAAAGTTGACTTATGTGATTCATACCCCCACAAAGATGCATACCAGGAATACTTAGCAAAACAGTAGTCTCATTTTTTCTCCTTGACAATTCAGGGCATGTCAAAATAATAAGTCGAATATAATCAAAATAAAAAATGATCAAATAGATAACTCAGTAACTCATTCTCATTTAAAATAGCTTTCTTCTGTTTTTTTTCCCCACATCTTTTTACTATTCCCTTTTCATAGACTTTTCTAAACAGATGCACATCTCACAAAGGCTGAAAATTCCTCTTAACCAGCTATTTCTTTCAAACTGAGAAAAATTTGGTAGCAGTCATTGAGAATGCAAAAAGAAATGTTTGGAATATTGTCAGACTCCCTTTTGCTGTTGGACTCTTTAATTTAAAGGGCATATAAGTCACCTGACCCCTACAACAAAAAATCCATTAAGCCTCTAAGGACACAATCAAATGATTCATTAAAAATATGAATGATTGGCTGGGTGCAGTGGCTCACGTGTGTAATCCCAGCACTTTGGGAAGTTGAGGCGGGTGGATCACCTGAGGTCAGGAGTTCGAGACCAGCCTGGCCAACATGGTGAAACCCCGTCTCTACTAAAAATACAAAAAAATTAGCCAGGCGTGGTGGTGCATGCCTGTAATCCCAGCTACTCAGGAGGCTGAGGCAGGAGAATCACTTGAATCCGGGAGGCGGAAGTTGCAGTGAGCCGAGACCACACCGTTGCACTCCAGCCTGGGCCACAAGAACCAAACTCCATCTCAATGTATATATGAATGATTAAAAAACACTTAGAAAATTTTAAACCTTTTTACATATTAAAGAAACGTGAATTAAAAGAGTAATGAGAATTCTCACTGCTGGTTTGGCAAAAATTAATGTCTAGAATGGGAAAATAGACCTTCCTTTACCCAAAAACAGGCAATTCCTACATGGCTTTGAACAAGCTTTCTAAAGAGCAGCTTGAAATTAATTGTCAAAATTTAAAGTGTGGATATCCTTTGGCCCAACAATTATATTTGAGGGAATGTATCCTTAGGACATTATTTGACAAGATGTATTTTCAAGGATATTAATGGATGGGCCATTTATCAAATCAAATATTTTAAGATAATTTGAATATCTACCAATTCAAGATTAATAAAATTAGTTGACATATTTCCATACAATAAAACTGGCTGACATTTATAGAGCTCTATTATTTGCCTGTCACTCTACTAAGTGCATTACAAGGATTAACTAGCTTAATTTGCACAACAATCCTGTACATAGATAGTATTATTATCTCATCTTAAATATGACAAAATTGAACCACAAAGAAGTTATGCAGCTGATAAGTGGTCACGTTAGGGGTGACACCCAGATGGTCTGGGGTGATCTGTGTTCTTAACAATGATACTTCATAATGGGATATAACACAGCAACCATATGCAGAGGGAACGAGGATATATTCGGTAGATGAAAGCAGATTTCAGAAGAACTTAGCATAGTTACGGAAAGAACAGAGTGGAGAAAGGAAGAAAATGTGCAGAACGCTTACAAAAAATGTTTTGAAGGGAATATACCAAATATGTAGGGAGTTACTTTTAGATGACTTTCACTTTCTTTTTATGATTCCCTACAATCAAAAATTCTTGTTAAATAAGCTTATATTTCTTTTACAATTAGAAAATATATTTTTTGAAAATCAGCCAACTGCTAGCCTTAATGTATTTTGGCAAACATTGAGGCAGTCTTTCCTGTTTGACTCAGTTGGTACTGGTTTTTCCTGCTAACATTTCCTATAAGCCAGTGCCTTCAAAAATCTCAGTTACTCAATAGTTTAATGTTGGCTCTATGTCCGTATTTTAGTCAAACCCTACCTAGATAACTATCCTGGGAGGTGTAATGAAGGAGATGTGTAGGGATATGAAGATATAATACAGAAATTATTGTGGTAGACATGGTTTCTTGGCTGACCCAAAAACCATAGAAAAGACTGGGATTTCCACAATTCAGGCTGGAGAAGCAAAGTCATAGGCACTTTGGACCTAGAGTTGGTCATATGACACATGAAACCAAAGGAGTTGGCTGCTGCAGGAGCTTCTATAAAATACTTTTTTTTTTCCCCATATAGAAAGATAAACCTGGATGGCACTCCTCCTGCCTCTACTAATCTTCCAGCTCTTCAGTCAGTCATGAGGATATGATTTTTGCAGTTGCGGCAGCCAGTTTGTGAACTTGAGGTGACAAGATAAGGGAAAGATCAAGGGATAGGCAAGGAATAGGCAAGGGATATGCTGACCCTAACATTGTGATGCTGCTGAGCAAAAGCCAGCTAAAGTCTACCTCCAGGCTGCTTGTTACGAGAGAAAAATAAAGCCTTATTTGTTGAAGCCACTGTTTACTTTCTCATTAGTTGCAGCCATGCATATGCCCAATGGATACAGTGCTCAAAATGCTCAGATATTACTCTTTCTTGAATTCAAGCAAATGTTTTATATCTTCCCTTGCAAGGAAATATTGTTTGAATCATTTTTAGGAAATCTAAAAGACTAAAATTCAAATTTAGAGTTCATCTGTTTAACTTTTTTTGACATGCAAAAATTAGTATTTAGGGAGAATAAAGGATTGCCACAGGGTTATAAGACTAGTGGTTATTTTCTCAACAGCAAAATTTTGCATGAGGACACCTTCAGGTGGCTATTTGTGTTGTCTACAAGTCATAAGCCATAAGAGTTATGGTATATGATGTACAAGATGATGGATAAGAACATTCCACAGCATCTCAATAGATAAACTTACTGACAAGAAATATGTCTGCTCCTTACCCTGAGCATGGGAACTGCTGGCTGATGGATTCACAGAAGATATGAGTGTAAGAATGCTTGCCTGGGTGTTCTGGTAGCTGTTCTTCATCATAAGCACTTAAGGAGTCATTTTGTTGGATGATTTTGGTCACTGATAGAGGCTGAGATATGCAAGTCGATGGCAGTCAACAAAGCAATGACCTCATTATTTTTGTCTAAAAGGCCAGCTCAATCCCTGCTGGAACATCTTTTTGGGATTTCTATATCACTTATAGCTAATGGGTCTAGCTTTGCCACTTACATTTTTAAAATGTCATTTTAGAATGAAGCTTAAAAAGGAAGTGGGAGGTAGCTGAGGGTATAATATAGAACCCTATCCACCAGGTGTGTATTCTAATCACTTCATTTAAATGTGCATGAAGGAGCCACATCATAAAATGACCTGAAAAATTAGACCATAGAGCTATATCCTAAACACTGGTGATTCAGGTCTCAGCTCATAAGTTACCTTCATTGGCACATTCCCTGATCTCTCAATCTGATGCAGTCCCACAGTCGCTCTATGACATCACCTATTTTAGTTTCTTCTTGGCTTTTACCATCATCTGGTGATTGTTTTATCGATTCTGTTCTTTGCTCATTGTCTCTCTCCCCTCTAGCACTTGAGAGGTAGCAGGACCCACTTTGTCTTGCTTGCTGTAGCATTCTGAGTGAAGATGTCAGGCCCCAGACTAGAAGTTCCATAAATGTTTGTGGAATGCACAAAAGATGATCATGATATTCTCTGTGACAACTTTGGCTACTTAGGTGACTACGTTGTCTTTTAAGGGTGGGAGGGATGATAGATTACCTCTCTTCATTTTCATTGGTATGTCAGACAAGCACTTGTGCACCTTAGTCCAAAGAGTTACAATATAATTATGTAAAAAAATGTGGGAGCGATTAGAATTGGCACATGCCTCAATCACAAATTCATATTTGCCCATGTGCATGTATGTGTGTGTGTTTATGTACATATACAGCTCAGGTTAATTTGTTTTTGCCTGAGTGGCCAGTGGTCTTGTTTACTGAGAAAAAGATATATATTTAAATTGTACCAGAATTTTATAGATATTTTCACATTTCACTGAGTAATATGTTATACAGATATTTTCACATTTCACTGAGTAATATGTTATACAGATATTTTCACAACCTACAATTGATCCTGTGCTCTACGCATGCATATGTATTGGTCGGTGAGCCCAATATAAAATGCACTGGAAACAAGGCAAGCATTAGCCTAGCTTAGGAAACCTGCAGCACGATTGATTGGAAGGAAACCTAGGCATATATGCAACCACTACATAACTAGAAGAAGAGCTTGACACTGAGCCCAAGAGAAAAGAGCCCATAGAGAGCCCCAGAGCTCCCCACCCCACTCTCAGGATAGAAAGTCATGTGGGACGTGGTGTAGAAAGAGCCTTATTCCGCTCCAAAGAGCAGCTAAGCTGCCAGCAAACTAAACTTTAGGAGTAAGATAAAAACATTAATTACAGATGTCAAGATTAGAGTTTGCTTTTTCTGCAAATTCCATGGGGTCTCTAAGCAACTTGATCTTTGAATCCCTGGGGTACTAAAAATCTACAGAGAAGAGATTGTTATCTTAATGTTGCAAAATCCCCACCTTGAGTGCTGCCAAGTAAAAATCCAGCTTAATGACACAAAGTAGAAGGAATATTTCTTGTCTTTTCTTTCTTTAAAAGAGGACTGACATTCAAACACAATTTAAGCTGACAATTATAACTGTAAAATTCTTCCAAAATTCTATGAGTATACAAAGTGCCTTGCCTGAGCTTAAGGAAACAACTATGTAATCACTAAAATTGGATTTTGATTTTAGAAAGCCTTTCTACATACTACTTTTAAAATGTATCAGTCAACTTAAAAATGTTTGTTACCCCGACAGAGAGGCACTTCCCAGAAGAAGAACTTGACTGCTGGAAGGCAAAAAGCTGAGCCCTCATTATTTGATATTCATAAATGTGAAGTCACCTTCTCTGTTCTCGCCCCAGTCCATTAATGCTGATCACAGGGGATCCCTGGGAAGAGAATACAGATTAAATTACCAGTGTTCAAAGTAGAGAATAAATTACTACTCTCCAAACAATATGTGTTTGCTAGAAAATATTGCTGTGAGTATAGACTCTCATGCCGCAGAAACACGGGTATATAAAAAATGTAATACTCCCTTTTTTTTTCTTAAGCACTGAACTTCATATCAATCCAGAGCCCCCATTCTGTGGAATAAATTTAGTGGAGTGGAATCAAATTAGTCAGTTGTGGGTGAGATCAGTCTTTCCAGATTAAACTCAGTAGTTTGAGCATTTTTTTCTCTCTACCCTTCTTCCTGGAATGGCAGGTAGCATCATGGCGTCAGGGAGAGAAGCCCACTGTCAGCCATTCACTAATTCCTCTGCAGTTTGGGAAATGATGCAAAGCCTTGGGTGATGTGGTTGGCTGCCCTCAGCCCTCTTGGCCCTCAACATCCCATGCAGCCCTCTTTACCTTATTCCTCTGTGCAAGGTTGCTGCCTCCCAAGAATCCAGGTGAGAAGTGGGGTACAAATTCCCTCTACCATCGTTTTCCCAAACATACTCTGGCATGTACTTTTCCTTTTGCAACAAACACTATCAAACACTATCTCCTTTGCTGAGAGTCCCCGACAAGCATCTCACTATTTAGTTTTTCTTTCTGATTCTCTTGTCTCCCATATAAAAAGTGTGTTTAGCTTTGAAAAACCTCAAAAAGTCTTACAACCTTCACAAAAGTTGTAAGACTAATATAATGAACATTTGTATACCTTTTATATAGATACAGCAATGGTTATGATTTTGTCTCATTTGCTTTGTTTCTCTCTATCCTCTCTCTCTCTTTTTTCCCTTTATCAATGGAGTTAGTTACCTACATCATGACATTTCACCCTGAAATACTTCATCATTTGTCTCCATAGAATAAAGCATTTTTCTACCTTATCAAATTTGGGGATTTAGTATCGATGCAATGCTATTACCAATATACATACATATACAACAATTTTCACTTGTCCTAGCAATGCCCTTCTTAGAATGTTTTCTTTCTCATCTAGGATCCTATCTGAAATCATTGACTGCATTCTGTCATCATGGATCTTCACTCTTCTTTAATTGAGAATATCAGCTCCAAGAATGATCTTGTCAGAGTGCAGCAATGGGTGGGGAGGTGAAAGTTGGGAGGGAGAAACTAATTTTATTCTTTAGGTCTGTCTAGTCCTTGGTTTTTAAGGTTTAGAATCCAAGAGATTAATTCTTTTGTCATTATTTGCATTTTTACATTTAGATGCCTAAACTGTGAGCAGTGAGTACCAGCTAAGGAAGACTGAAGGGGGAATAAAGCATGCTAGTTAATATTAATATTACACTTCCAATTATTGTCCTGCCCAATGGATTTGTATCTTTCATTGAAGTGGATTCTTGTACTGTGAGAGTTTTTGAAAGTCCCCCCGTGTCATCTTGTTCTGCCTTACAGAACTCAGTTTCTGGAGGACAATGTTCTTCCCTCTCATCTTGGTCTCTCTCTCCTCTGATTCCCTCCCTACAGGAGTATTATTGCAATTGATGCCAGAGAGCAAATTCTTTTAGCTGGCTTTTGGAAGGACTTTTTGGACATGCCCTAAGTTTTGAAGGACAATTATGTGAATCAAGTATGAAATCAGTGATATTGTGGAGGAAAATTTGAAGGACCCTGGTAATGAAGTGAATTGCTTTCACACAGGCCTAATTTAGCTAAAAGCCGCAGTAGCAGCCTCAAATTAAATATTGCAAGTTAAGAGTGTCTTTGTTTTTTGATAGTCTCTGAAAATGTTTTTTGGAGAATGAGCTCAATTTATTAATTACAGCTGATAACTTATGAACTTTAAATCAGTCACAGGCTTCCAGCTTAACAACGTCACTACTTTTGAGATGCTTGTATTATAAAGCCAACAACTTTATGACAATGAAATAAAAGCCCTTTGTGCTAAACAGTATTTTATTTGACATCAGGGAGATATTGTGTAAATATTCACTGGTGGAAACACAGAACAGTAATTATTCTTTTTCAAATAATAGCATAAACAGTTGAGCTTGGATTCTGGGATTTACTCAATAACTCTCAGAGCACGATTTGCTGCGGCTGAGATGTAGAGAAAAAAAGAAAAGAAAAGCAACAAAGAAAAAAGAAAAGAAAAGAGACCCTTTGAAAGACAAGTCACAGACTGGGAAAAATATTATCTATGTATCTATATGGCAAAGGACTTATATTGAGAATATTGAGAATTAAAAAATGGGCAAAAGGTGTAAACACTTTGGCTAGTAAGTACACAAAAAAGTGCCTAGTAACATTAGTCATCAGGGAAATGTAAACTACAGTGAGATATCACTTCACACCCACTAAAGTTAAAAAGGGTATGATATCCAATGTTAGCAACCCAAATGTCCATCAACATGTGAATGAAGAAACAATTTTTATCATGTTCATGCAATGAGTTTCTAGTCTGCAATACAATAAGCAGGGATGAGGCAACAGCATGCATGGATAAGCCTCAAAATAGTTATGCTGAGTGAAAAAGTTAGGTAAAAATGAGTCCATATTGTATTATTCCTTTCATATAAGATTCTAGAAAATGCAATATCATCTATGGCAACAGAAAGCATACCAGTGGGTGCCTGTGAATGGGGATGGAGAGGAGGCAGGGCGATGGGGGATGGATTACACAGGAACATGAAGAAACTCTTGAGGGGATAATGCATGTGTTCAGCATCTTGATTGTGGTGATGGTTTCATGAGTGTATAGATATGTCAAAACTCATAAAATTGTACACATTATGTATACATACTTGTGCACATAAATATATATAATTTATTATATGTCAATTATACCTCAATAAAGCCATTAAAACAAGAAAAGCATAGGTTGGGAGAAAATATTTGCAATACATAAAACTGATAAAGGACTAATATCCATTATATTAAAGATGAAAAAAAGTTGCTGCAAATCAATAAGGAGAAGAGGCAACTCAATAGGAAAATGGACAAATTTCTCTAATGGAATATATATCTGAACACAGACAGTAACATGAAAGTAAAAAGGCAGGAGAAAGGTAAATAGAGTTAAAATGCTTGCACATCTTTGAGTTTCTTGGGAAGTGGCCAAGATACTCATTTATATTAGACTTGGATACATAAAGAATGAATATTGTGATTTCCAGGAAAACCACTTTAAGGTAAGAATGTATGACTAATGAGACAATAGAGAAAGAAAATTTAATAATAAAAATATTTAATCTAAGAAAGATATAAAAAGAGAAAAGAGAAAATAGAATGGTTGAGAGATTTTAAGACTGACTTAAATTTACAATAAATTATTATTCATTTATAAAACTAGGACATATGTATATTGCTTAGTTTGTTGTGTTTGTGTACAAATTTTTTATACTTTTAAACTATTGCAAAATAAAAAAAAAGTAGACAAAAAAAGACAAATTACTCACAAAGAAACTAAAAACAACACTGACTTCTAAACATAAATGATGGAAGTCAGAAGACAATGGAACTATGTCCGGAAAACATGGAAAGAGAATAACAGTCAATTTATAATAGAGTGTCAAACAAAATTTTATATGAAGACAAAATTAAGACTTTTTATACAAATAAATACTAAAAGAATTTTTGAGCAACAGACTCACTGTAAAAAACATAATAAATTACTCAAGGGGAAGAAAAATGAACCCAGATTGTAGCACAGAGATGAAGGAAGTAGTGAAGAGCAATAGGACAGGAAGTGTGTGTGTGTGTGTGTGTGTGTGTGTGTGTGTGTGTGTGTATAGATCTTTTAGAATAAGTTGCACATGAATTCATTGTAGAAGTTTGGGTTTGCAGTTTGGGTTTCCTGGGATGCCAGCTCTGAGGACTCTGAGACAGTGTGTTGTATAGGATGTGTATTAAAGGGTTCCCTTGGGATAAAAACCTGTGAAAGTGAGGGGAAAGAAGAAAGAGTAGGCACAGAGATTATCTTAAACACACTATTTTGTCATTGTTGAAAGTGTAAATCAAAAAATTTTAAGGGTAGGGATTCTATCTTAAAGGTGGGGAAAGAGTCTTTGTTTTCATGTCCCTTGAGTTATAGTTACAGGGTTATTTAAGGAAGCAAAAATCATAGAGAATTAAAATATCCAATAAAATATTTGTTAATAAGCTGCCCATTTATAAAATTTGTTCTCACTCAGAAACACATTCTATGCTAATTAGCTTGCCAACAACTCTGCCAATCTTTTATAATAGAGAGCTTCTCTAAACATTTAACCAAATAATATAAATACTTAAAAAATGCAAGCATATTAGCTTTCTATTGCTGCATAAGACATCACCACAAACTTAGTGGCTTAAAACAACACACATTTACTCTCTCACAATTTCCATGGGGCAGGAGCCCTGGCATGGATTAGCTGGGTCCTCCGCTCAGGGTTTCATGAATCTCGTGAGTCTGAAATTACAGTGTTAGCTGGGACTCTGATCTCATTTGAGATTTGCAGTTGTCTTTCAAACATACTAGTTGTTGGCAGGATTCAGTTCCTTGTGATTATAGGAATCAAGTCCCCATTTCCTTGCTGGTTGTCAACAGGGATCATTTTCAGCTCCTAGAGGCTACCCTCTTGTCTTTGCACATGACCATCTCCATGGGCAGTTGTCTTAGTCCATTTTTGCATTGCTATAAAGGAATATCTGAGACTGGGTAATTTATAAAGAAAAGAGATTTATTTGGCTCACAGTTTTGCAGGCTGTACTTGTATGGAACCAGCATCTGCTTGGGTTCTGGTGAGGCCTCAGGAAGCCTTACTCATGCTGCAAGGTGAAGGGGAGCAGGCATGTCACATGGCGAGAGAGGGAGCAAGAGAGAAGGAGGAAGAGGTGGCAGGCTCTTTTTAACAATCAGATCTTGGGGTAATGAATAGAGTAAGAACTCATTACTGGGAGAATGGCATCAAGCAATTCATGGGGTATCTGTCTCCATGACCAAAACACGTCCCATTAGGTCCAGCCTTCAACACTGGAGATCAAATTTCAGCATGAGATTTGGAGAGGACAAATACCCAAACTGTATCAGCAGTTCACACATGGCAGATTGCTTCTCCAAGGCCAACAAGAGGAGCTCACGCCAGTTGGCTACAACAGAGACTTACAAAAAGAATAACATATTACAGGTGTGACTATCCTGTCATGTGTACAGTCCCCACTCTCACTCATGAGGAGGAAATTACACAGTTCATGTACACCAGGGGGCAGGAATCTTGGGAGCTGTCTTAGAATTCTACTTACTGCAGCAAAATTTAATGACATCAATGAAAATGATGTTTAGAGAACTGCTTGATTTCTACTCAGATCTATTGATCAGAGGGTAGGCTAGCTAACAAATAAAAAAAACACAGTAATTATAATGTTTCAAAAGAGAATGATTTGGCTATCAAACGATTAAGAGATGTCCTTGGGAAAAAATTGTTAACTGCCCTATTTTTACAAAACACTCAGATAAACTGTCTTGAAATGAAGGCTGTTGTATTCACTTCCATTCAATTTATTAGACAAATTTTGTTTCTCTAAATACAATTAAAAGCTGATTCTTTTTTGTCCTAATAATTCTAAGGCAATTATAACTTAAATTTTGTAAATTATAAAATAAAAACAGAAGTAACTTCATTTTTTAAAAAATTCATTTTCTAAAATAAAACCCCAATCACTTTTCCACCCCCTCTCATTTATTAGGAAATTTTGGTTCCTTTTTATACCACGTCATGTGGCCTTTATCTGGGAACAATTTCCGTTGGGTAATGAATGCCTACACTTGATAAATGCATGATTTGGGGGGAGATGATTCGGTGTGTCATATTCAGGAACTTTTGCCAGCTAGTGGTTAGCTGTCATTCAAAGCTGCCACCCAGTTAAGAGGACTAAAATACCATTTTTAATATCTATAGGTATCAGCTCAGCTAGTAGATTAAGCATGAAACTATTCATTGAACCATAGTTTTAGTTTTTCCCAGGGATAATATTCAAAGTTATTTACAAACAGTAAGGCATGGTTACCGATTAATCAAAATGGATGTCTTCCATAGCCAACCAGTAGGGGCATTCTGGGGCATTTCAGGCAAATATCATCTAGTTTTGGTTATTGCATTTCACACTGGATCAATGTCCTACTGCATTCGTAACCCCAGCTAATTTTACAAATTATTATGCTGATACCACACTAGCTAAAGAAAGAGGGTAAATTTCCTGTCAAAGCATTTAAGAGTCCAAATCTCAGTACTCAAGTACTTTAAAAGACTCATAGAAACTCTTCTCCTGCCCCTAAACAATCTCCTTTTCTCAGAATGACATCCCCAAAGGGAAGACTGAATAAGGAGGGAGAGAGACTTGTTCAGTCTGCATTCTGGGAGACGGTACATGGGATACCTCAGACTTAAACTCCAGATGTTAAAAATAAATTGTTATTATTACTATTTTTGTCTTGTAAAAAGAGGTGAGGAGAGAAAGAAGTCTATGCTATATGGTCAGAGCAAAAGCTTTGTGCAATACTGGCTGCTAAGAAGCAGGTGCTTTGACTTTGGTGACATTTTCAGTGTAAGGTTAGATCAGTGCCAAGCCTAAGGGTTGTGCATGTCATGGCCCTGAAGGTGGGTGCCTGTTAAAGTTTTTCATACTCAGCACCTCATCTGACTCATTGTAGTCCTGTCCTTGTATTAGACCCTTGACCTTAATAAACAGAGAATTCCTACATCTCCTTTCCTTAGAAACAGATTTTTGAAACACTGCAAACATTCACGTGTTCAGACTTCTTTTCACTGTTCTTGTTGATCCTTTACTTATCTACTGATTTTCAAAAATACGTATATTTAAAAGTATATATATATATATATATATGAATGAGTTGTGTTACAAACATATATAGATATATGTTTGTAGATATGTGTATCTGTAGACATATGTTTTACAAACATATAGATGTAGGTTTGTAAAACAACTCCCCAAATGTAGAAATACAGAGAGGAAGAAAGTGAAGATCTCCTTTCAGGTCTTCTGGTCATCAGATTACTCATTCTCTTCTCTAGAGATGATTGTTGCTATTGCCTGGTGCTTCCACACTCTCTTCTATGCATTTGTACACATACAGATGCACATCTGCCTACATGAACTCAAAAAATTAAGAGGATCATCCTTTACGTATTGTTTTGCAGCATTTTATTACCTCACAGTATACTTTAGAAAGTTTTCCATGGGAGGAGCTGTAGTTGGATCCTAGTCTTTTTTTTTTCCCTTCAACTTTTATTTTAAGTTCTGGGATACATGTGTAGGATGTGCAGGTTTGTTATATAGGTAAATGTGTGCCATGGTGGTTTGCTGCACAGATCAACCCATCACCTAGGTATTAAGCCCAGCATCCCTTAGCTGTTCTTCCTAATGCTCTCCTTCCCCTTACCCCACCCTCAATAGGCCCCAATGTGTTGTTCCCACCCATGTTCCTGTCCATGTGTTCTCATCATTTAGCCCCTGCTTATAAGTGAGAACATGCGGTGTTTGGTTAGTTTGCTGAGGATAACGGCTTTCAGCTCCATCCATGTCCCTGCAAAGGACATGATCTCATTCCTTTTTATGGCTGCATAGTATTCCATGGTGTATATATGCCATATTTTCTTTATCCAATCTATCATTGATGGACATTTGGGTTGATCCCATGTCTTTGCTATTGTGAATAGTGCTGTAAGGAACATAAGCATGCATGTATCTTTATAATAGCATGGTTTATATTCCTTTGGCTATATATACCTCATAATGGGATTGCTGGGTCAAATGATATATCTGCCTCTAGATCTTTGAGGAATAGCCACACTGTCTTCTACAATGGTTGAACCAACAGTGTAAAAGCATTCCTTTTTTTCCACAACCTCACCAGCATCTGTTGTTTTTTGACTTTTTAATGATAGCCATTCTGACTGGCATGAAATGGTATCTCATTGTGGTTTTCATTTACATTTCTCTAATGATCAGTGATGTTGAGCTATTTTTCATATGTTTGTTGGCTGCATATGTTGTCTTTTGAGAAGTGTCTTTTCATGTCCTTTGCCCACTTTTTAATGAGGTTGTTTTTTTTCTTGTAAATTTAAGTTCCCTGTAGACTCTGAATATCAAACCTTTGTCAGATGAATAGATTGCAAAATTTTTCTCTCATTCTGCAGGTTGTCTGTTCACCCTGATGATAGTTTCTTTTGCTGTGCAGAAGCTCTTTAGTTTAATTAGATCCCATTTGTCAATTTTTCCTTTTGTTGCAATTGCTTTTGGTGTTTTCATCATGAAATCCTTGCCCATGCCTATGTCCTGAATGGTATTGACTAGATTTTCTTCTACGGTTTTTATAGTTTTGGATTTTACATTCAAGTCTTTAATCCATCTTGAGTTAATTTTTGTATAAGGTGTAAGGAAGGGGTCCAGTTTCAGTTTTCTGCATATGGCTAGTCAGTTCTCCCGGCACCATTTATTAAATAGGGAATCCTTTCCCCATTGCTTGTTTTTGTCAGGTTTGTCGAAGATCAGATGGTTGTACATGTGCAGTCTTATTTCTGAGTTATCTATTCTGTTCCATTGGACTATGTGTCTGTTTTTGTACTAGTACCATGCTGTTTTGGTTACTGTAGCCTCTTAGTATAGTTTGAAGTCAGGTAGTGTAATGCCTTCAGCTTTGTTCTTTTTCCTTAGGATTGTCTTGGCTATGCGGGCTCTTTTTTTGGTTCCATATGAAATTTAAAATAGTTTATTCCAATTCTGTGAAGAAAGTCAATGGTAGCTTGATGGGGATAGCATTGAATCTATAAATTACATTGGGCAGTATGGCCATTTTCATGATATTGATTCTATCCACGTGCATGGAATATTTTTCCACTTGTTTGTGTCCTCTCTGATTTCATTGAGCAGTGGTTTGTAGTTTTCCTTGAAGAGGTCCTTCACTTCCCTTGTAAAAATATGGAATGCTTCATGAATTTGCATGTCATCCTTGTGCAGGGACCATGCTAGTCTTCTCTGTATTGTTTCAGTTTTAATATATGTGCTGCCAAAGCGAGCACCCCTAGTCTTTTTAAATGCTACATGATAGTAGGTTCAAAATAGCAACCATGCTAACATGAATTGTGTACCTGTTATGTCAGGCAGTGTTCTGGCTCTTTAAGAGTGGTACCTCATTTAATTTTCACAGCAAAACTCTACAAAGAAGAAAATCTTATCATCTTCTTTTTACATTTGAGGGAAACAGAATCACTGAGAAGCTAAGCAATTTGACCAAGGTCACACAGCTAGTAAGCAGTGGAACTGAGCTATGAACCCAAGCAGGCGAATTCTGGAGGCTTCGTTCCACTTTGCTCCTAATATAAACATACCATAATTTATTTAATATTCCCTTGTTCTTGGATACTTAAGTTACTCCAATTTGATTATTATAAATAATGTTGCACTGGAAATCTTTGTTTATGGCAAGTGTCCATCTGCAAATATTTCTGTAAGATAGAGCCCTAAAAATGCATTCTCTGGGTCAAAAGACATGCGCATTGCACAGTGTTATCATTCAGGTAAGAGGAGGCCTATTGCATTAGGTTAATTATTTACCTTGACCATGACTGAATTCAGAGCATGGTATAACAGGTATGTCTTCAGGACTTGAGAAATGCCTGAGCCCTCAAACCCAGTTTATCTTTTATACCGTGATCTCATTCTTTGTTTCCCGGACTCTCCAATACTCCTCCCCTGATTTGTCTCTGAGAAGGAGTTTGCTAGTCCAGATGTTGCTATGACCCAAATTACTGTTTATTTCGTTTGTATTTGACTTGTCTTATAATGGTGCAATTAGCATGCCTAGGAAGTCCTTTTGCCCAGGGGATTGGGAGTAGGGACCAGAGTTCTCTCTCACTGGGACCTCCTCAGGTTTTGTTGGTTGAATCCTAATAGTGCTGTTGGTTATGCTTTTTCTTGTGGTCACAAGAACATGAACACATCTTCTCTATCTTATTTTGTTTATTCAAAGATGTCATCAACTTATACTTTTTTTCCTAAAATTTTAAACTTTACTCATTTTGCTTTTACTAGTCTTACTATGTTTTTCCCTTCCACTGCAACATATTCACTTTTTGAGCAATATTGAAACTCAACATAGATGTCATTTGTTCAAGGTCACACATATCTATATTAAGTGCCTCATTTAGATGGGTGCCTTAACTGGGTACAGACAGCTAAAATATCTGAACAGTGAAGTATTTTTATCTTGATTTGCTGTAAATGCAAGCAGAAATTCATATCTGGGTGCCTTAGGCATGGAGTGAAAAGGGGATATGTTACCGAGTGTTATTTAATATGAACACTTCTCTTTCTTGGGAACCAGTTGAGAGTCCTCACCTGGATATACAAAGGGACCATTTTTGTGAGACCCTGACTCCATGATAATTTTCAGAGAAAACAGAATTTGAGCTTGTAGGTAGAATTGTATTCTGCTTTCCTAGAAAATATTCTTTCTATTTATACCTCAATAACAATCTATGCTTTACTGGATCTTTAATGAATATTTGATACTGCATTTTGTTCTTTGTCCTTTAGGCAAACTGATATAGAATGTCTAAATCAGGTGTTTAAGAGAAATTCAGTTACAAGCCTCCTTTCATTTTTACATCCACCCTACAACTTAGTCAAATACATTTTTTCCTGTATTTTAACTCTCCATTGCCTATTTAACTAATGACCTTTCTCACCCTCCACAAAGATGGAAATTAATTCAAAAGTCTTATCACTGAGTTAAAGTCAATTTCTGCAATATAACTTTGACCTCTTTATAGATTCTTGTGAGTCTCCCCCATGAAAATCTTCCCTGCTCATGAGACAAGGGGGTTATGAGGACAAGTCTTCTCACCCGAAGGGGGCTCTGCCAGTGAGCAGTGAGTGCAGTAAAGTGAGTTGCAGTCAGATGTGAACCAGCAGTGGAGATGTTGAGGGGTCTCCCGAAAATAGTATCTTCTGTTATCACCAAGTCTGCCATCACACAGAATAAGCCACTCAGGCATTTCGAGTTCTGGAGCATTTCCCAGATATATTCCATCTCTTCTGCTCTCCTTTTTGGTAGGAAATGCACAAGGTTAAGTAAACAAAGCACAAAGGCAGGCTGCCCGTGGACAATAAACTAGAGGGGGTAAGTGAAAGTTCTTGCATTTGTTGATTAGATTTGAGACACATAATCTGTTTTCTATTAAAATATGATGTCCTAGCAAAAGCATTTCTGGGGAAAAAACACTAGACAAAATACTAACAAAGATGTATCTATTTTAGTTGAAAAGTCTACCTTATACTCTCTTGGCCAACCAGCTGTCGTTAGATTGATTAATTGGAAAAGGTGAAATATGTATATCATCTAGTTTCTATTTAAGTTTCCAACATTTCCCTTTTTACTGATAATTAAAACATCATTTGAGTCTGTACTTTGAACTTATTTACACCTGATTCCTGAGACCTCCTATTTTCCACAGTAATAAGTACCTTGATAAAAGCTAAGTTCACTATCCTCCTCCTGCTCGTTGTCATATGACAGCACATTCTCACTGAGGAAAAGAATGTTTTGATGTTGTAAGCATCTCTGAATTTTCATAGCTCTGCCTTGCAGTTTCCATATGTTCTAAAAATGCATGGAAATTTCCATAGGAGACACTAAACCTGCCCATCACTTTGGTGTAATGGGCAAGTAGACTTTGTGGAAACTGTTTCCTTACAGAATTCATAGTTTGAAAAATATATCTCACTTCCCTGTGGGATTTGATTAAGTGGAAGGAAGGTACAACACATCTCTTACCACTATTGACATCATAAGGTAAATTAATTATATTCATGAGTCACTCTTAGTACAATCTAGCCAAATCACAGAGATGTCTGAATAGTTCTAACTATAGCCACCATGAGGTTTCATTTGAAGTCACTGCTGCATATTTACAAATAAATACATTTTTGCTGGGTTACCTCTGGAAAATATTATTAAATGGGGAAGGAGCTTGTCTGAGATGAATTCCTTTGAGCAGGAGAACATATTGAAACTACTGTGAATTCTGAATTGGTAGTATTTTTTAGGCTAAGGTCCATCTAAACAGAGATTCCTAGTTCATTTAAGTGTGAGATGTTATGATGAAGTTATTGGTTTCTTCGACTATTCTATTGAAAGAAAGGGGAGAATTTAAAACATATATGGAATTGCTTTATTTTTTGAGACTGTGTCTATACTAGAATGAGATTGACTTCATGAGCTCCATATAAAAATCACCTTCAGCTTCCTGCTATTGAATGCAGCACCATCCTGAACTTGAGACAGCACCATCCTGAACTTGAGACAGCACCATCCTGAACTTGAGACACGGCAACTTATTGCTGCCGTGACATTTTGCTGATCCCAGGCTCCCTTGCTCCAGCTGCTGACTAGGAATCCTCCTGGAGTAGCCTGATCCTGTGGGACCATGAGTGAAGAGCCCACCTAACGCTAAGGATCGTCTCTGCCTGGAATGCTAGACAGACAGACTCTACGACCAGACTGGGAACCTTTAGATATTAGTTCAAGCTTGGATCTAGGCTGACTTTCCCACATTCTTTTAGGCTTCCAATATTGGTAGCCTAAAGTAATGAGCCTCTAGTCTTGGAAGCCAGGTCTAGAGTCAGTTAATTCTCTGAGTCCTGGTCCTATCTATCCCCACTTTCCTTTTCTATCTACCAGCCTATGACATTGGCAGACATCACTGGAATTATAACAGACATGTGCTCAGAAAAGGAAAAAAGACAAATGAACTTGAATATGAGATCTCAAACAACTAGATAGGCAAATCTATTTTAATAATCTCCCAAAGTAAATCTAATGAACTATTGTCTAAGTATCATCTTCTGTTAAGAGTTTTATATATTGTCCTCCTTTTTATTTGAAAGGATAATGGAGAGCTGGTTAGATTTCCAGATGTATTACAATGAGTGGTTAAGTTATAAGCCACTGGATGTCACTCTTAGGCTATGCAAGTGTAGCTAGCTGCAGTGGAGATTTTCCAGAGTAAACTGAAGGTAGAGAGTTACAGGAGATAGCCGGGGATAGAAACCAATTGAACTGTTTGGATAGGTACATTTGAAATGTCAGTGAATTACAGCAAAGTTTACCCTTAGGTTCCTATATATTTTCTCTAGACTCATTTCTCAATGGCAGTTAAACAGGACTAATAATCAGAGAAAAATCCCCTTAGCACCAAAAAGCCAAAAAGGCATTCATTTATCCATTCAATACCTCCATTAATCACATGCTATAAGCAGGGTATTGGGCTAATGAACTATGGGATTACAAGAAAAAGTGAATTCATAGCATGCATACATTTAACTTACTGGAATTCAACTATGGCAAAAAAATGAAAGAAAAATAATATAAATATTGTAGGAAATTCTGCCTGTTATTTCACTCAATGAATTTGTGCCTCGGAGTAATTGTACCTACTGTCTGTCTCTCAGCCTTAAGCCCAGGCTTTTATACTCTGCTCTGTGACACTGGAGGCAGGAATCTGCAGACTGCATTTCCCAGACTTTTTTGCTATCTAGCTTCTGGTTAGGTTCTGCCGACTGGAGGCACTGGCAGGAAATCAGAGGGTGATAGGAGGGTAGAAGGATGCTCTTTCTGTTTTCAGTTCTGGTCGAAGTCCTTCCATCAGTAGCACTCAAGTAGGACTCCAGCTTATTTTAGCATTTCCAGCATTAGTTCCACAGTGGCTCCTTCAGAGGTACCAGTAGGAACTGCCACGTTCCCTCTTAGCACTCACCACTGGAGTCCAAGTAGCAATCACGTGACATCTCCTCAGAGGTTGCTGAGCCAGCTGTGCAGTGACACATTGGTGGTTGGAAAATCTGCTCTGTGGAGACCCTTCCCCCAAGAAATGGTGTCCTGGTAACACTATTTACTCTTTTTTAATCTTCCAGCCCTAAGAATCCTAGCTGCTTTCTATACTACAAATACCAGAGGTACCTGAACACCATTTTTTGTTTGTTTTTTTTTCTTTTTCTCTTTCAGCCCTCCAGACTCTGTATAACTGATCTCCTATATTAAATCACCTCTGTTTGAAACACTTGGCATGATTTCTGTTTCTGTTTTCCTGATGGGATCCTGACTGCAGTAAGAATGAGATGAGAGGCCAGGAACACGCCTGTAACCTCAGCACTTTGGGAGGCTGAGGCAGGTGGATCAGTTGAGGTCAGGAGTTTGAGACGAGCCTGGCCAACATGGTGAAACCCTATCTCTACTAAAAATACAAAAATTAGCCAGGTGTGGTGGCATGCACCTGTAGTCCCAGCTACTAGGGAGACAGGCAGGAGAATTGCTGGAACCCAGAAGGCGGAAGTTGCAGTGAGCCAAGATCGCGCCACTGCACTGTATCCAGCCTGGGCAACAGAGTGAGACTCCATCTCAAAAGAAAAAGAAAAAAAAAAAAGCATGAGATGAGAGACAGCAATGTTCTCTTTTCTTATCCAGTATCACACTTTGTGTACCTTTCATGGTTGAGACATCTCGTAACACTCATGTTTATATTTATATTTTCAAACAATATAAGCCTACTCACCAGCCAACTGGTTGTCAACCAAAACCAGTAGAATGTAAAGCTTCATAAAAATAAAGGATTTAATGATACACTGGCCTGTTCCAGCACTGAGAGAAAACTGGCCATGTTGGACTTAATGACCCATGGTTGTCAAATTGCCCCTTTCTAAGAAATTTCCAAGGATGATTTGGCCAGATAAGACTTTTGCCTTATATTGCTTTATAAACTGAAACTTTAATAACGATGTTTCCATAGCATACTCTTGCAAAGATGAGCAAGACCAGAGTTATTTCCTTCAAAAGCTCTCCAACTAGTAGAAGACATAAGGCATGTGCAAACAGAAAATGCATGGCAACATTTGATGGGAGCAAAACACACAAGGACCAACCCATTTGTCACCAGTTAGTAGTGAGAGTTTACGAAATAGGTTGGAAGAGGAGGAAAACATGATGCACTGGTTCTGCTACAGACTTCATTCACTGGCTTGCTCAGAGCAAGAAATGATCATTATTTCAATTTTAAAGACCTATTTGGAAGAAGATGCTTGCCTGATCATGAACCGTTGCTTAATATATAACTTGTCTTCTCCAGGTATATGTCAATGCCATTTTATTTTATTTTTCTCAATGGCCATGGAGAATACAGGTTTACTTCTTCAAGGACTCTCAATAATACACTCTTTAAAGGTTTAATACATTCGTGTTAATTTTTTGTTTTGTGCTGGGTTTCTTTTTCAGTGTGTTTATTTCCTTTCCTCTTCCTAGAAAACGTGATTATATTCCTTAGTTCCAAGTTCTATCAGCCCTAATTCTTCATGTCTCGCTTCTGGAGTTGATGAAATAATCACTCTCTTTTTAGCATAGAACACCAGCATAAGAAAGGCAAGAAAAGGGACCTTCCAGCTATAGTGCTGGGACCATCAGTCCATGGGAGCTTTTGAATCTCAGTATGTTTCATCTTACCAGGTCATCCACCTCTGAAGGTGGTGACTCACTAGGGTGAGAGATGACTTACTGATGAGGCTGTCTTCACAAGTTCTCATTTGAAGTGGCTTTTGAAGAATAAGGAGTAGATGTGGGAGGGGATTAGCAGTCAACTCTTTTCTTCCATTATTAAATATTTTGGAATTCAGCACTTTTTAAAATATATATTTGCCTAAAATTCTTAAGGATTCATTTAAAAGAGAGGAGCAAGAAGAAAAGAAAGAAGTTTGAAGCTGAAGAGAAAATACTTGTTGCCCTTTTTCCTCATGGTTTGAGCTTATTTGAACAGTTTTTGTCCTGCCATGTGACTTAGCTTAAGGAATTTTTTGCTGGTTTAGGACAGTAATGGGGATGTAGAACAAATTTTCCCTGAAAATGCCCCTCCTATTTCTTTGAACTATATCAAAGTACACTCCATCCATAATTCTATGCATTTATTTCCTCTTTTCATGGCAACTCGTTCCAGATGAATGTGACAACCTGATAGGTACCAATACAATGGAAGTAATAAGCTTATTTAAAACGGATTTTACTTTTCCCTAAAACAAAATATCTATGTAACTATAGCTTGCTAAGTAGAATGCAAAGCTTTTTTTTTTTTTGTAAAATGAAGGATCTAATGAGATACTGATATGTTTTGAATATTGGTCCATGAGATTGCTGGAAGAACTTGGCTGCCTTACAACATTACGTTATAGACAAACTTCAGCATGGAGTAATATAATTCATATACACCTTAATGGGAACCTCCTGGCTCTGACTCACAGCAAGAAATAAAGCCAAATACTCCAATCTGTGGTGCTTATTCAAGTTTCTGCATTTAAATCTGGAGTCATATTTAGTTTGTATTTATTTTCTGAAGTGAATGATATTGTGGTGGCCAGGATTCCAGGTATGATTAGGGGATGCCTCACCTTACAAAAAAGGTCAATATTAGATTTTCAGAAGGTAAGCGAGAAGAGAGACTTCATTTTCAGACAGAAAAGACATGGGCAAGAGCCCATAGACAGCAATCCAATGGGGGAGTTTAGCTTTATTTGAAAGTCATCTAAGCAGGGTGTGTGAAGGAGGCAAATGTGAGGTTATAAAAAAAAAAAGCAAAAAATAATTAAGAAGGCTAAATCTTAGCTTGCAGCACCTAGAATATAACTATCTAAAAGAATTGCAGATTTGCCATCAATTAAATAAAAATGTCAAGTCAGCTGTTGTTATCATTTGGGTTAGACAATTGGTTGATTAGTCATTTTGCTATCTTATAAAATGAAACTGGGAGAAAAAGTTTAATGTTAGTCATATCTATGTAATATGGTTAAATTGCTTTAGGACAATGAAATTAATATGCTTTACTATCCCCACAACTGATTGTGTTAAGGGTCGTTTGATCCACAGTGATGCAGCAAAATTCTGTTTTTGAGACAGGCCTCCATGGCTGGTTCAACTGTAGTCATTTTAGTTGTGAAAACACAGTTTCAGTCTCCATGACCTAACTAATACACATGGTTGAGGCAATTGTCCGAGTACTCTAATTCAGAGAAAACATTGGCTTTTCTGGAAATTACCTGGGTCATCTGACATGTGTTTTGCTTAAACTAGTTCAATAATTTTTCCAATTCTCTACTTTGGCCAGAAAGATACAATCTACAATGCCTGGACACAAAATATAAACTATATATGGGGAATTTTCTTAACTATAGGGCTTTAAATAGTTTTTTTTTTTTTTCTGAGCTGACAGGTGCAGTCTCACCTGAAAGTAGAAAAAAAATAGTTGATGTAGTTCTATGTTGCATTGAGGGTGCAGTGGGATGAAACAACAGAGATGTGTAGCTCCTCTGAATCAGGAACCAGAATGCCAGAACAGTAGCTTCGCAGTGAGACTTACAGATACGAGATCTTCCATACCAATGGTTTTCAAACGTTTCACTAACCATTCTATTCAATAATCAGGATTTCACTAATGTAGAAAAAAATCTATTTTCTAAACAGGGACATGTATATGATTAGAGTAGGAATTGCAAACTTAAATGCCGAGACAAGACGGCTAAATTAAATGACTAGGTGTAAGGTAATATGGAGTGGTGGAGACTATGGCAAACAGGAGAATTCATGTCCCATATAAAGGTGACAGCCATTACTCAGCTTCAGCCCAATTGATACCATGTGCAGATATGTCCCAGCCCTGCCAAATAATCCATTTTTTAACATGTCAGAAATCTAGATCTTTATATGAAATTTCCCAATGTTTAAATGCTGGCAGTCTCTTGGAGCTTGAGGCAGCCAATTAATAACAACATCCTCCTTCTCCTCTTTGTTCATTATGAATTAAGAAATGACACAGGAGTAAGACAGATGGAGATCAAGATGTCAGCATTATTACTGATAAAACTGATTGGAGAACAATGCTGCAATCTCTAGCCAAAATATATTTTCTAATTACCGCTCTCAGAAGAAATCTTTGGTATGCAGAACAGCCTTGTCAGGGGAGAAAGGGTAAAAAAAGAGAAATCATCGTGCTCTCAGATTGTTAATAACTTTACCCAATAAAGAAAGGACTAATGAATGTTGGAAATAACCTCCTACCCATCAGGGAGAGAGTTCAGAGAGCTCCTAGAGTAGAAATTCCCCCTACTTCAAACCACCACACTACTACATACACGAGAATAACGCAAAGATTTTGCAGGTTTGGTTACAGACCACTCCAATAAAACAAATATCATAATACAGCATATCACGTGAATTTTTTGATTTCCCAATGCTAATAAAAGTTATGCTTACACTATAATGTAGTCTATTAAGTATGCAATAGCATTATGTCCAAAAAGACAATGTACTTCATTAAAAAATACTTTATTGCTAAAAAATGCTAACGATCATCCAAGCCTTTACTGAGTCATAATCTTTTTCTGCTGGTGGAGGGTCTGGCCTGGATGTTGGCAGCTGCTGACTAATTAAGGTTGTTGTTGCTGAAGGTTGGGGTGACTGAGGCAATTACTTAGGATAACAATGAAGTTTGCTTCTTTTCATGAAAGTTTTCTCTGTAGTATGCAATACTATTTGACAGCATTTTGACCAGAGTAAACTTTCAAAATTGGAGTCAATTCTCTCAAATGCTGCCACTGCGTTATCAACTAAGTTCATGTAATATTCTAAATCATTTGTTGTCATTTCAACAATGCTCACAGCATCTTCACCAGGAGTAGATTCCATCTCAAAAAACCACTTTGCTCATCCATAAGAAACAACTCTCATTTGTTCAAGTTTCATCATGAGATTGCAGCAATTCAGTCACATCTTCAGGCTGCACTTCTAGTTCTCTTGCTATTTCCACCACGTTTGCAGTTACTTCCTCCACTGAAGTCTTGAACCCCTCAAAGTCATCATGAGTGTTGGAATAAATTTCTTCTAAATTCCTGTTAATGTTAATATTTTGACCTCCTTTCATGAATTATGAATGTTCTTAATGGCATCTAGAATGGTGAATCCTTTTCAGAGGTTTTCAATTGATTTTGTCCAGATTCATCAGAGGAATCACTATCTATGGCATTTTTAGCCCTACAAATTGTATTTCTTTCTTTTTTTTTTTTCTGAGATGGAGTCTCACTCTGTTGCCCAGGCTGGAGTGTAATGCCACAATCTCAGCTCACTGCAACCTCTGCCTCCTGGGTTCAAGTGATCCCCCTGCCTCAGCCTCCTGAGTAGCTGGGATTACAGGTGTATGTCACCACACCCAGCTGATTTTTGTATTTTTAGTAGAGATGGGGCTTCACCATGTTGTTCAGGCTGGTCTTGAACTCTTGACCTCGTGATCCACCTGCCTCAGCCTCCCAAAGTGCTGGGATTACAAGCTTGAGCCACTGTGCCTGGCCTACAAAATGTATTTCTTAGATAATAAGACTTGAAAGTCAAAATTATTCCTTGATCCATGGGCTGCAGAATGATGTTGTGATATCAGGCATGAAAATAACATTAATCACATTGTACATCTCCATCAGAATTCTTGGATGACTAGGTGCATTGTCAATGATCAGTAATACCTTGAAAGCAATTTTTTTTTTTTTTTGCAGCAGGTCTCAACAATGGGCTTAAAATATTCAGTAAACTGCTGGATGTGGTGGTGCATGTGTATAATCCCAGGTACTCTGGAGGCTGAGGCAGAAAAACCACTTGAGCCCAGGCATTCAAGACCAGTCTGGGCAACATAATGAGACCCTGTCTCAAAAAAAGAAGGAAAAAAATTCAGTAAATCATACTGGTAAACAGATGTACTTTCATCCAGGCTTTATTGTTCCATTTCTAGGGCTCAGACAGAGTAAATTTAGCATCATTCTTAAGGGCCTTAGGATTTTCAGAAAGGCAAATGAGCATTGGCTTCAACTTACGGTTACCACCTGCATTAGGCCCTGACAAAAGAGTATCCCGTCCATTGAAGTTTTGAAGCCAGGCATTGACTTTTACTTTCTGGCTATGAAAGTCCTGGATGGCATCTTATTCCAATAAAAGGCTGTTTCAGCTATTAATACATTGACAATCTGTTGTGTAGTATAGCCACCTTCATCAATTATCTTCTCTTCCTTTCCTTCAATTATCAGTTGTCCCTTTCACTTTAACACTTAGAGGCAATTGTAGGGTTATTAATTGGCCTTAATTTCAATTTTATTGTTTCTCGGGGAATAGGAAGGCCCAAGGAGAGGAAGAGAGATGGGAGAACAGCCAGTTGGCTGGGCAGAGAGTACACACATTTATCAATTAAGTTTGCTGTCTTATATAGGTGTAGTTTGCAGCATCTCGAAACAATTGCAATAGTAACATTAAAGATCACTGATCACCATAACAGATAACAATAAAAAGTTTGAAATCATAAAAAGTTTGAAATACTGTGAGAATTACCAAAACGTAACATAGAAACCTGAATATGTTGTTGGAAAAAATGGCTCTGATAGACTTGCTTGATGGAGGTTTGCCACAAACCTTCAATTTGTAAAAAAAAAAAAAAAAAAAAAAAAAAAAAAAAGCAATGTCTGTGAAGGTCAATAAAGCAAAGTGCAATAAAATGAGGTATGTCTGTATAAAATGTAAAGCCAAAAGAATGGAAGTTCCATTCTAACTGCAAGTAGTTCTTTTTAAAAAACACTGTTCAAGGCAAGCACAGATAGACTCAGCCCATAGATACCCAAGCTGCAACTTCTGGCTTATAGTCATTCTGTTTTTAATTTGTCAGTTAGTTTCAATTATTAGGACTAAAACTTGCAGTAATGTTGTAGGCATAAACACTAACATTGAAAATTTTCTTTACTCTTATGGAAATTCAGCACACCACTTAGAATACTTTTTGATGGCTTTGTACAATAATCGAGTCTTTCTCAGTAAGACAGGCTTTCCCAACAATGCATGTCAGGAAATAGATTTTAGTTGATGTCCAGCCCTATATTCTTTATTTACCCAACCTCATAAAGAAACGTGGCATGCACTGTTCACAGCCCCAGTTCTGACTTCCCACTTCTCTCCCACTTACGCTTTAGGTTCATGTCTGCTAAGGCTGCTACTCACCTCTCGATTTCTTTCCCTGCCTCACACTTCTATTTTGTTTTCCTGGTGACTATTTTGACTCCCCCATGATTCTGATTCCTCCTTCCCTACCCACTTCCAGCCATCCTCCCTCGAGATATGCTAAGTATACACTCCACCAAGTTCAACAGCGGAGACCCTCCTACACTGTGTGGGTCTCCCATTCAGTTTCCTGTAGACCTTTGAATGGGAAATGGCACTCATAGTTTTTCCATTCTTGGTGGTTCTGCAAATGTTTATTATTAAATGTAGTTTGCAATGAATAGTCTGTAGGCCAGGGCAATGACATTTGCCATAACAGGATCAATTTTGTTATCATGGTTTGGCATTGTAAATGGGTTTCTTATTCAGCAGTGAAAGTAAACAAAGGCCAGGTGCAGTGGCTCACACCTGTAATCCCAGCATTTTGGGAGGCTGAAGCAGGAGAATCACTTCAGCTCAAGAGTTCAAGACCAGCCCAGGGATTGTGGCGAGACCTCTTCTCTAATAAAAATTTTTTACAAAATTAGCTGGGCATGGTGGTACATGCCTGTAGTCCCAGCTACTCAGGAGGCTGAGGGAGGAGGACCACTTGAGCCTGGGAGATGGAGATTGTAGTGAGCTGTGATTGCACCACTGCACTCCAGCCTAGGCAACAGAGTGAGACCCTGTCTCAAAAACAACAACAACAACAACAAAACACAAAACAGTAAACAAAGTCACCCTTGACAGAAATGTCTTAAAAAAAGATTCCCACCCACCCCTACAACATGACTGAATTTCAATAAGTGATTTAAAATCTAGCTTTCATTTAAGAAAACTCCTTTCCTAGAATCATAATTAATTAAAAAGATCTTTTAAATTTTGTTGTAGCAGTGGTCTGGGGCATTTCTGATGTACAGCTCTAGTTTGCTGTTTTTTAGTTTGTTTCTGATTATTCAAAAGCTGTTTTTTAGGCAAATGGCATCCACATATCAAAATGATAATCCTTTCCTTGCATACTATTTCTTGCATTTCCTCATCTGGAGCTTTCTTCCACCAATATTCAAGGGAGGCCTAGAGGGACAGGGTGCTTTGAAGGGGGCACTAAATAAGATGTTGGAATTTATGCCTGTTTTGTCTTTTTGTTGAAAGATGACCCTGTTGGATAGATTTATCTATGTATAAGGGCATGGAGAAAAAAATCTCAGCCCTGGCTTTCTCAGCCTGCTCAGATATGGACCTTGAACTGCAGCACAACCCAAGAGTGAAGTTAATCTCCACCAAGGCAGACAGCCAGCCTAGAGGCTCAGGTCCACCAGCCAGGGCTGGGCAGTGATCCAGGTATAAAGTTGTAGCTTCTAACTAGAGTGAACCCTAGGCACGTGTCATCTACCAAAACTCAGCTACCACATAGCTTCTATTTATTGAGTACCAACCATGGTTTGGAACTGTGCTAAATGTATCTCACACATTATCTTTTTAATTTAATACTTGCTACCTCCATGAGGTAAGGAGCCTCATAGATGAGGAAACCCAGGCTCAGAGTTATTAAAGTCACACAAAATCACACAGCTAGTGAGAAGCAGAGCTAGGATTTTACTCTGGATGTCAGATTTAATGCCTCTCGAACCCGTCCATTGGCCTGTTCCTGCAATTTCAGTTTTACCTAGGCATTTTGATTAGCATTCTAGTTCTCTATTTGGCTAGGAGCCGTGGCATCCTGCCTGGATTTTAATAAGCCCTATCTAGGTGGATGCAGAGCTCCCAGTCTTGAGGTTGACTGTGCATCTCTTACTCTGAACTATCAGGTAGGGACAGTCTTAGTTTGCTGTGTCATCACAAAGTAGCACAGACTGGGTGGTGTAAACAACAAAAACGTATTTACTCACAAATCTGGAGGTTGAAAGTTTAGGATCAAGTGTCAGCAGCTTTGATTTCTTCTGAGGCTTCTCTTCTTGGCTTGCAGATGGCTACCTTCTCACTGTACCCCCACATTACATTTTCTCTCTAGTTGCACATCCCTGGTGTCTCTCCTTCTGTTCTCAGCTCCTCTTCTTATAAGGACACCAGTCCAGATTGGATTAGGGCCCACCTTAATAGTTTCATTTTCATTTAATTACCTCTTAAAGGCTCTGTCTCCAGTTATAGTCATATACTGAGGTTCTGGGGGTTAGGGCTTCAACATGTGCATTTTTGGGGGAGTGGAGAGACAATTTAGCCCATAACAGAGATTGAAGGGCCTGCTGCCAATAAATTGATTACTTGGGTCTCTGGTAATATATCTGACTGCTTTTGACCATCACTCTTGGCCCTGCTAGATTGCACTATTGTCTTGAACTACCTATAGGAGGGGACCCCTTTGAATGTGAAGACAGCTGGAAATTTAAGTCTTGTTTTTATGCCCCATTGCCGCATATTCTGACTTCTACCCTGCTATATAGTCTGAATGTCTGAATCCCCTCAACTTTCATATGTGGGAAGCTAATACCCAATGTGATGGTATAAAGAGGTGGGGCCTTTGGGAAGTGATTAAGTCATGAGGGATCCACCCTCATAAATAGGATCAGTGCCCTTGTAAAAGAAGTTAGAGCAAGCTCCCTGGTGCCTTCCACCACGTGCTTATACATAGAAGGTGCCATCTATGAGATATGGGCACCCACCAGACACCAAGTCTACTGGCATCTTTATCTTGGATTTCCCAGCCTCCAGAACTGTGCACAATACATTTCTGTTGTTTATAAGTTACTCAATCTAAGGCATTTTGCTAGAGAAACCTGAACAGACTAAGACATATTCTTTCCCTACTACCCATCCCGCAGAAAAAGATTTGAAAACACCAGTTTTTGTGCCTGGACTGAACAGACTGATGCTCAAGGCCATGCTAACATTCTCTTAACATAGAAGACTCCAGTTATAATACAGATTAAAGAGGCTCTTTATTTTCCCATTAAGGCCACCTTTTAATCTTTATACCAATAAGGTGACCCAGTGAACTTTATAGCTGGTGTTTAAAAGTATCTTTGGTGGGGGGCGGGTGGCAAGAGGTTCTTAGCAATAAAATATATCAATTAAGCACTCAAGCTCTGGGATATCAGATTGCCTGGGTTAGTATTTGAGTGCCATCTTATTACTGAGTGATCTTGGGCAGTTTTCTTGACCTCTTAATGCCACACTTTCCTCATCTGTTAAAGGAAAAAATAATAACACCTACCTGGTGGATTTGGGGTTAGGATTAAATGAGTTAAAACATACAATGAAGTTAAAACAAGGCCTGACGCATAGTAAGTACTCAATTTCAGCTCTAACCTTTATTATTATTGTGAGAATTTACAGAATTGCCTTTATTTCATCCTTTGCTATTAGTTTATCCTGGGTAATTTTTATAAAATGTACATTCATGTGATTTATTTGTCTATAAAAGATAAAAATTCAACCAAAACTGGCTTAAGTATGGGAAGGAATTTATTGTCTCTTGTAAATCAAGCAATTTAGGAGCATAACAGCATCAGATATGGCTTGGTACAGAGCCCAAGAGAACAAATGATGTCACCAGAACTCAATTTTTTTCTGTACATTTCTCAGCTATGTTGCTTCTATGTTTCTCTATTCTCTGTGATTTATTTCTTATGGTTGAAAGACTACTGTCATGAGCTCTTGGAACTGCATGATTCTAGGTTAAAATCCAGTTGAAAAGTGAGCATCTTTATTCTAGTATTTCCAAAGAAAATGCCACTCTTATTGGAGTAGGTTAGTCCATGTGCTTAGCTTTGGTTTGATTACTGATGCCATAAAAAATCAGGACTTTGATTGGCCAGATCTGGTTCATCCACCCCACTCTTGAGTTAGGGTTAGAGTCAACTCCATTGGAAGCACATGAGTTGAAAGTGGGGAAATTAGGGTATCACTACCAGAAAAAAGGTTACAAGATTCCAGACAGCAAAATAATAGATGTTCACAGCATGATTGTGTTTTAAATAGATTTGGAAGACTTTGGGCATATGTGGGGGCTCTAGCACATATCACAGATTTTTTCTGTTTTACTATGTGTCCAAATCCACAAATTGGATGTGAATTATGTCTGGCATTATATAAAGACAACACTAATGCAATTGAGATAGTGGGTCTCCTAAAGGAAGCAAGAAGACATATGTTAACATATACAATTGTGAGAATATGAAGGATTTTTACATTTTAGTTCTCATTAACTCTACTCTCCTTCATTCCAGCCCCTTTCCTCCACCTGGCAAAAGGGGAATTATGGATAGAGTCAGCCACTTTGGGTGGAGTGAGTCACTGTACAGCATTAAAAGCTCCATTTCCTCTCCTTCTGGGTGGTACACTGGCCTGGTCCTGTTGCACTGGGAGAAGGTCCAGGCATCTCTTTTTGGATGTTTTTCTCCACTAGATCCTAAGAATGCCCAGTTCAGCTTTAGGCACTGAAAGCTTCCCAGGGATAAACATACAACTAGTTAGGCTTTGTTCAGCCAGAATAGTCTTTCCACTTGCTTCTAGTCCATTCAAACCTGTCTTGCTTGACTACAGAAGCTCTCTATGGATTCTAGCCCAGCCAGCTTGAATTCCACTTTGGCTTTTGGGGTCAAAGCCCTTGTACTTTGTCTGCTTTGTTGAATATCTCCCTTGGAGATATTCTGAAAGAAGTAGTGGTGCACCCAAGGCAAGAATTTAGGTAGTGCTAGGGTCCTTAGCTAAAATATCACCATATTATCTTCCTATTACCATTTAATTGCACCTAATTATACATTCCAAACACAACTTTTGAGAATATTTAGTTTAATCTCATTGTCTTTAAGATCCAGAATTAAAGGTCCAAAGAACAAATAAAGGGGAAATCAAAGGCACTTTATATTGCTCATGTGCTTGAAGAATATGGATCAGTAGTCTGAACTTGGCTGTCAAAACTCTTCTTAAGAATAAAAGAATCTGGCTCCGACAGCCAAACTTGAGCAAAACATCTTAATGGAACCAACTGTTTACGAACATGATTTTCATGGGAGGATCTGGCCCTAGCTCAGAAAGATTTTTAATACAAACTAATCTACTAACAGGATTTGTTTTCTTAACCCAAAGCCTGAACACCATATCTGTGAAGTATACCACTGTATATAGTGTAATTGTTGTGTATTCCCCTCATTAGGAGAAAGAGTGGAAAATATCAAATCCTGTCAAATGAAGCAAAGGAAAAAAATTGGTCTTTCATTTGTAGAAGAGAAAATAACACCCCAGGGACTCCAAAGCCTGCTCTGTATTACCCAACATTCTCTAATTGAGCCCTCCTTAAAAAATCCAACTTCACAAGTGATGTCTTAGAAATTCCCTCTAATTTAAAGTACTCTACAGTTCAGCATCTGTGAATGTCCCCTTGTGAGCTAGAAAGACTAATGATCAAAAAGGAACCAGTGAGATATAAAGATATTTAACTTCTCTCATGTAAGTTTAGTGATTTAGAAAAGACTGATATGACAGTTTTTGTCTTATTTTAATGACCTTTCCCGCATGCAGCCTCCCTGATTCCCATAATAACACTTTGTTTATACAGATAATTTTCTTTCCAGCAAGAGCTCTTACATGCTTTCATAACCTTTTTCATAAATCAAGTCAATGCACTGTGAAGTTTGATGGGGCACAGGGGTCAGGAGTCTTCCCCTTGAGTCTGCCAATTGGGACACTGATTGCTTTGTTGCCCTTCCTGGACTTGTAAGTGGGCTGATGCTGGTGCAGGGACCTGGGGGAATGGCTTGATTGGGCAGGAAGGCCACCCCACAGTGGCCTAGGGGTAAGTGCAAACTCTATGAGAAACAGAATGTCTGAGAAGATCCCCCATGAAGAAACCAAACTCCGAATGTGTGTCCAGATTTTGGAAAGCTTAAGTCAGAGATTCTTGGGTTGAGCTTTGGTTATCTCTTAGGAATGCCATAATTTTTTTTTACTCGTGTCCATTTAAAATTAAAAATAACTTCACTGAATGACTCAAGCAGATCAGATGGTATTCTTTTGGTAGCACAAGAAAAAAAAAAGCCAGCCCAAATTGATATATACATATAAGAAAAAATAATGAATGATGTTACTGGGATATGCAAGGAGGACATCAGGTACAGTGTGATCCAGGGGATCAAATGGTATGAAGGAGTTTTTTCTTTCTCTCATCTCTTGCCTTAGGTTCCCACTAGATGTTTTCAGGTAGGCTTTTACACAGACTGAGAAAGATGGGAAAGACGGCAGGTAGCAACCTCCTGTTCTCATCTCATCCAAAGGAAGAGAGGAGCCTCTTTTCTCTTGTCATGTCTCTATCAGACTTCAAGGAGTTCTATGACTCTGTGATTCACGTGTATGGATGGGTTTCCCAAAGATGTAGTAGGAAGGAAAATGCAAAATTTCACTGTACTGACCCATCTTTGTCAGCTCTCTACTCCTCTTTTCTGAAACCTGCCCCGCCCCACCTCAACATGTGTGTGCGTACACACACACACACACCCACCCCTTGCTAAAATATTCTGAAAGGAAACCTCATATGATAAACATAAATAAATATGGCATGACCAACAAATTACGGTCATTTAGGATCTCATCATAACCCCACAGACAGTTGCCTGATGCCCTGATGCCACTTACAATATGTATTTCACAAACACTGTTTTATCTAACATATGTACCATGCACATGATTCTAAGTATTTTACAAGTATTAACTAACTCAGTTCTTTTTTTTTTTTTCTAAGATGGGGTCTCACTCTGTGGCCCAGGCTGGAGTGCAGTGGCACGATTTCGATTCACTGCAGCCTCTGCCTCCTCGGCTCAAGAGATTCTCCTGCCTCAGCCTCCCGAGTAGCTGGGACTATGGGTGTGCATCATCACACCCAGGTAATTTTTCTATTTTTAGTAGAGACGGGGTTTCACCATGTTGATCTAGATGGTCTCAAACTCCTGACCTCAGGTGATCTGCTGGCCTTGGCCTCCCAAACTGCTGGGATTAAAAGTGTGAGCCATTGTGCCTGGCCAACTAACTCAAATCTTTTAACAAACCTATGAGGTAAATACTGTTGTTGGGCCAGGCCCAGTGGCTCACACCTGTAATCTCAGCACTTTGGGAGGCCGAGGTGGGCGAATCACGAGGTCAGGAGTTTGAGACCAGCCTGGCCAACATAGTGAAACCCTGTCTCTACTAAAAATGTAAAAAATTAGCTGGGCATGGTGGTAGGCACCTGTAATCCCAGCTCCTTGGGATGCTGAAGCAGGAGAATCGCTTGAACCTGGGAGGCAGAGGTTGCAGTGAGCCGAGATTGCACCACTGCACTCCAGCCCTGGTTACAGTGTGAGACACTGTCTCAAAAAAAAGAAAAATACTGTTGTTATTCCCATTCTACAGATGAGAAAACTGAGGCTCAGAGTGGCTAAGGCACCTGTACACAGGTGGTAGGTGTCAGAGCCTGGATTTGAATCCAGATGGCCTCGAAACATTTTCTTTGAAAAGAACTTAAATATATTAAATACACTCTCTCCTGTTTATTAGCCCTTGTGCTATTGAAGTTACGGCATTAATGCTTTCTGTGTCCCTCTGCTTGAACCACACTTCAGAGTTACCAGCACACATCCTGTGTTCTCCACTGCTTTCCGATCCATCTCCTCATCAAGTACAGATAGCAAGGCTGGCATTGCTTTTAAGCTAGACAGACCTTAGAGATTCCATGCAAGGAATTTGACACATAGTGGACTCTCAATATGGGTTCATTCCTTCCACCTGTACCCTATTTTTTCCAGCTAATATTAACTTTGCTCATTTATTTATTTATTTATTTATTTATTTATTTATTTATTCATTCATTCATTCTTCTCTCTAGCTTTAATCTTGGAAAATGAGTAGGCTATTGCATCCCATTTGAAAAAGGCAACACCTTGAGCTTTGAGCAGTCAGGAAGAGCTTTGTATTCTATTTTTTCAACTTTTAAGTTCAATGGTACATGTGCAGGATGTGCAGATTTATTACGTAAGTAAATGTGTGCCATAGTGGCTTGCTCACAGATCCGCACAGATCATCCCGTCACCTAGGTATTAAGCCCAGCATCCCTTAGCTATTTTTCCTGATGCTCTCCCTCCCGTCATCCAAGTGCTTTGTATTCTTAGAGAAATGCAAATGCCTCTTTTCTTGGGATCTGCTATCCTATTGACCACTTACTCAGACAGATCATCCAGTGAATGAAGTCTCACTCCAGCCCTGGGCTCCTCCTAGCTTCCAACCCTGCCATAAAAGACTAAAGCCTTTGTACTAGGTTCAACAGTGTCCCCTCCACAATTTTTGTCCACATGGGATCACAGGATTTGACTTTATTTGGAAATAGGTCTTTATTTGGTAGATGCTCATTAGTTAAAATGAGATTATATTAAATTAGAGTGTCTAATAACTGATATCCTTATTAGAAGGCCAGGGGAAGACACGGTCACACAAAAGGAAGATGGCCATGTGGACAGAGGCAGAAATGGGATCAATGTAGCTACAGGCCAACAAATGCCAAGGACTGCCAGCTACCACTAGAAGCCAGAAAAGGCAAGGAAAGATTTTTCTCTACAGCCTCCCGCGGGAGCATGACACTATCAACATCTTGATTTCAGATGTCTGGCCTCAAAAACTGTGAGAGAATAAATTCCAGTTATTTTAAGTCACCTAATTTGAGGTAATTTGTTATGGCAGCCCTAGAAAGTTAGCATACCCTTTGCACTTCTTATTGTCTAATGCTTCAAGTACTCCTTTCTGTGTTCTGCTCCGTGATGCTGTGGCTGGGGCTTTGAAGCCACATTTCTACTTTGCAGCAGCTCCCTTTGCTCTTTGCCAATACAGACACTGGAGGGCTGCTTCGGAGTGGGTCAGAGTCATAGGACGTGCCTCTACCTGTTTGTCCCTCTTCCTTTGTGTATCAACACAACAGTGCTTCTGTAGCTTGAGTAGACAGTTGATCCCAATAGTGGTAGTTGATGATGTTTGCCATCGTGGCTGTGGAATGATGCAACAGCTCCAAATGTCATGGGAAGGGTGAGCATGTGCAATGAAGAAAAGTGAGATGATCCCTCTTAGGGAGTCAATCTTCATACAATCCCCCAAGAGATCCCCCTTAGGTCATATCAATGGGAATTGGGGCACACACCAACACTCCAGGTGGGGAGAGGTGTTGAAAGTGAGCACTTGGCGTTTGTAGTCTCCTATATGAAGGGCAGTCACTACCAGCTTACCAGCTTCCTGCACTTGCCAAGCCCTTCTCCAATCTGAGCCTCGATTTCTTATCTATTTTTTTGTTTGTTTGTTTTTGAGACAGGGTCTCACTTTGTTGCCTAGGCTGGAGTGCAGTTGTGCCATCAGAGGTCACTGCAGTGTCAAACTCCTGGGCTCAAGTGATCCTCCTGCCTCAGCCTCCACCACACCTGGAGTTTTTTTTTTTTTTTTTTTAGAGATGGGATCTTGCTATATTGCTCAGGCTGGTCTCGAACTCCTGGCTTCAAGGAATTCTTCCATCTCAGCTTCCCAAAGTGCTGGGATTACAGATGTGAGCCACCTCACCCAAGCTTCTCTTTTATTAAATAGGACTGGTAATAAGTATTCTTGCAGCAGTTTTGCAAGAATTAAATGAGGTAGGTGGGTAAAAGGTTTCCAGCATAATGTGTGGCATTCAGTGCACATTCAGTAAAAGCAGATCTGTTCTCCTGTTACCTGGCTGCTTGTCCAAGGGTACTGCCCATGCTTCATAACCAGCTGCTCTTGGTTGACTGAGGTATATCTGGGAACTAAGGGCTCAAGTCTCCTGCTCTAGCCTGTAGGTGTTCCATTTATGTGGCACCTTGTCTTTTTTGAAACATTGTCACCTCAGGTATATTCTTTACTCACAAAATCCCTGTGAGGAAGGGATTCACCCTCTTCCAAGTGTGTGAAGCACCAAGAAGGAAAGGGTTGGGATTTCTGTCTCCAACCTGTTCACCAGTATGGGTTTTCTTAAGCCTAGAGCTATGGAAACCATTCCTCCTTTAAGAATGGGTCTATATATCCGTAGTTATTTTGCCAGGAATAACGTAGACACCCTTCTGTGGTAACAGAACTCCTGTTCAAGGTCTCAACCAGTGAATTTTTTCTGAAGATTCCTAGGAGAAATATTTCTGTACACAGTTGCAAATGCATTCACCTACAGCCTGAGAAATATTTCTATCTTTGCACTTTGATTTTGACATCCAATTCCTCCACCTTGTTCATCTACACAGAAGACCCTCTTTAAATTCTGTCTGCTTTTGCTTAATTCACTAGCACATTGGAAGCATCAGGGAGAACATGAGGCTGTTGGATCTGGAGTAATGGGTTCTGAGGAAGGCAGGATGTACAATATGAAATGGCCCCGGGCAGCCTCTGGGACTAAGGGCTTCTCAGCTGGTTTCTAGGGCTTTTTGGGCATCTTCATGTTTCAGCCTTGCAGGATGTTGGGAGAATTACTCCTCTGAAAAATTAGGGATGCTCTGCCTTCTCCTTTCCTGTGTTTTGGCCTGTGTGTCATGCACATATCCCTCCTGGCATGGGCTAAGTGAACAGATTTCTTTACCACAGTGGATCAGTATGCAAAGAATATTCAAACAGATTAAGTGAGAGGTAAATTACCAATCTGCCTTGAATTCTAAGCATCCCTCTGAATTTTTCAGGAGTTTCCTATGGCACTAGTTTCCTTACCCTACCTTTCCCATGTTACTGTCGCCCTACCTCTAGGGAAACATTTTTTCTTTTTAAATCATGGAGACTCTTTTGCAGTGCAGTCACTCTCAAACCACAATGAAGATATTAGGTTCTACCACTTCATGTCTTGAAGGACAGTTTAGATGTGATCTGGTATGTGTGTGCACACACAAACAGCATATGGTGCATTGGAGGGTAGGCAATAAAATGTCACATTCTTCTCTAGGACAATGAGAATTTCTCATTCTCTTGTGTCCTCTGCAGAAAAAAAGCTGAAGTCCTTACAGTGGCTATAAGCATCCTCTTGCCATTTTTAATGGCGCCCCCCGCATGCCTTTCTGCAGTTAGTACTTAAAAGACTGCTTCTAAGTATGTGACTATTCTTGGAAGGGGACAGAGAGGGCAGGAGGTAGAAGGGGTGCAAGTTTATGAAAAGCTTCCCCTTCAGTCTGCAGGAAGCTTCTTGTCTGCTCTGTGGACCTCAGAGCCCAGCCAGCCATCTATAGAATCTGTGGGAAGTGTTATCAGGAAGGAAACTATTGACAAGTGAGGATTAAACTGGTCTTCTGAGTGGTAATTGGCATTCATGTATGCACAGTGATGAGGTTATCAGGTGAACTCGTCAGGGCTCCCTTTCATTTGAAGAAAATGCAAACAATGTCTCTGAAGCCAAATAAAGAAGGGCTCTCAAAGCATTCTGAGAAGTAGTGGAGACAAAACAACAAATAAAAACAAAGCATTTCCTTTTCAGAGAATTGGGAGGAACAGGAAACAGCCTGATTAGGAAGAAAGATTTTTCTCAGGTCTGGGTCCTGGTCTCAACCCTGCTGCTCACCCAGAGATCATGAGCAGGCCACTTAACCTCTTGGGGGATAAGTCTTTTCTTTTGGGAAATTTCAGAAGTGCGGGGGCATCCTGCTGTGAGTTGTGGGGCAAGCTGGCATGAACTTTCTGGTGGCAATTAGAGGAGAAGGGTAGAAATGGGACATCCACTTACAACTACTGAATTTTGTTTTGCAATTTGGAGTATCTAACACTTGGTGTATTTGTACATGTACAACATTATCTTTGTATTGCACGTTAAGCACAGAACAGTCACTCTGAGGGAGCGTTAGATTTTGGAATTCTGTACTTATGTGGCTCATTTGTAAAAAGTCTGAAATGAATTATTCTGTTTACCAAAAATGTTTTGGTGGAAAAGTTCAAACCTCAAATTTCTCTCAGTTCTTCTTCCAAGAAAGAGACCCTTTGGAGTTGAATATGAAGTCAAAATTTCTACACTTTTAAATAGGCTACAAGGGCCAAAAATTAATCTAATAATTTATCAGACTCAACAAATATGGTTCTCTGCACTGGAGACAAACTTTGATGCTCAAAAGATGGGGGGAGGTGAGGGAGATAATCATGGGTCTTAAATCTGCAAGCTTTTCATTTTCCATCAATCTGCCTCTTCTGTCACCTCTGCCACACCTTCCAACCTCTGACAAATGAATTCAGATACCTTCTTGCTAAACTGTGAGGACATCAACCATGTTGATTTCAAGAGTTAGAACTTAGCATTAAAAAACATTTTGTCTAAAGACATGATGCAATCACAAAAGCCACACTCTTGCCTCATACCAGTCCAAATTGTTTTACTATTAATAAGATAGAGAAAACCACTTTTTCATATCTTTTCCTAGGAAAATAACATGTTAACTAGTTCAATAATAGTTCATTCAGAGATAGAGCATATGACTAATCCCCAAGGACAAAAGTACTTCATTACATGCTATTATGAGCAAGGCTTCTATGAACATTCTTGCATTGTCTTCTGGTGCATGTACACAAAAGTTTGTCTGGTGCATGGGCTTAGGAGAGAAATTGTTGGAAGGTAGCAAATGTATTTGTTCAATCTTACAAAACAATGTTTCATTGTTTTCCAAAGTGCTTGTCTTAGTTCATTTTGTGTTGCTATGAAGAAATTTCTGAGGTTATAAAGAAAAGAGGTTTATGTGGCTCACAGTTCTGCAGGTTGTACAAGGGCACCTGCATCTTCTCAGCTTCTGATGAAGCCTCTTGTGCTGTGTCAAAACATGGTGGATAAAGTCAAGAGGGAAGCAGGCACACACAAAGAAGGACCAAATTTGAGAGGCATCTTGACTTTATAACAACCCACTCTTGTAAGAAGTAATCTATTCCCCCAAAAACCAATCCAGCTTCACAAGCATGAGAACTCACTTACTACTGTAAAAACAGCACCAAGTTATTCATCCACCCCCATGACCCAAACACCTCCCACTAAGCCCCACCTTCCAATACCACCATGATATGGTTTGGCTGTGTCCCCACCCAAATCTCAACTTGAATTGTATTTCCCACAATTCCCACGTGTTGTGGGAGGGACCTAGGGGGAGGTAATTTAACCACAAGGAGGGCTGGTCTAGTCTCATGAGATCCGATGGGTTTATCAGGAGTTTCCTCTTTTGCTTCTTCCTCATTTCTCTTGTGGCCACCATATAAGAAGTGCCTTTTACCTCCCCCCATGATTCTAAGACCTCCCAGCCCTGTGGAACTGTAAGTCCAATTAAACCTCTTTTTCTTCCCAGGCTTGGGTATGTCTTTATCTACAGTGTGAAAATGCACTAATACAGTAAATTGGTACCAGTAGAGTGGGGTGTTGCTGAAAAGATACCCGAAAATGTGGAAACGACTTTGAAACTGGGTAACAGGCAGAGGTTGGAACAGTTTAGGGGGCTCGGAAGAAGACAGGAAAATGTGGGAAAGTTTGGAACTTTCTAGAGACTTGTTAAATGGCTTTGCCCAAAATGCTGATAGCGATATGGACAATAAGGTCCAGGCTGAGGTGGTCCCAGATGGAGATGAGGAACTTGTTGGGAACTGGAATAAAGGTGACTCTTGTTATGTTTTAGTAAAGAGACTGGTGGCATTTTGCACCTGCCCTAGGGATTTGTGGAACTTTGAACTTGAGAAAGATGATTTAGGGTATCTGGTGGAAGAAATTTCTAAGCAGCATAGCATTCAAGATGTGACTTGAGTACTGTTAAATGCATTCAGTTTTATAAGGGAAGCAGAGCATAGAAGTTTGGAAAATTTGCAGCCTGACGATGTGATACAAAAGAAAAACCTATTTTCTAGGGAGAAATTCAAGCTGACTGCAGAAATTTGGGATAAGTAGCAAGGAGCCTAATGTTAATCCCCAAGACCATGGGAAAATGTCTCCAGCACATGTCGGAGGTCTTCATGGCAGCCCCTCCTATCACAGGCCTGGAGGCCCAGGAGGAAAACGTGGTTTTGTGGACCAGGCCAGGGGTCCCTGTGCTGTGTGCAGCCTAGGGACTTGGTGCCCTGTGTCCTAGCTGCTCCAGCCATGGCTGAAAGGGGTCAACATACAGCTTGAGCTGTGGCTTCAGAGGGTAGAAGCCCCAGTCCTTGGCAGCTTCCACATGTTTTTGAGCCTGCAAGTGCACAGAAGTCAAGAATTGAAGTTTGGGAACCTCTGCCTAGTTTTCAGAAGATGTATGGAAATGCCTAGATGCCCAGTCAAAAGTTTGCTACAGGGGCAGTGCCCTCATGGAGAACCTGTGCTAGGGCAATGTGGAAGGGAAATGTGGGGTCGGATCCCCCACATAGGGCCCCTACTGGGGCACTGTCTAGTGGAGCTGTGAGAAGAGGGCCACTGTCCTTCAGACTCCAGAATGGTAGATCCACCGACAGCTTGCATTGTGTGCCTGGAAAAGCCACAGACACTCAACACCAGCCCATGAAAGCAGCCAGGAGGGGGGCTGTACCCTGCAAAGCCACAGGGTTGGAGCTGCCCAAGACCATGGGAACTTACTTCTTGCATCAGCATGATCTGCATGTGAGACCTGGAGTCAAAGGAGATCATTTTGGAGCTTTAAAATTTGACTGCCCCACTGGATTTCGGACTTGCATGGGCCCTGTAACCCCTTTGTTTTGGCCAATTTCTCCCATTTGGGATGGCCGTATTTACCCAATACCTGTAGCCCCATTGTATCTAGGAAGTAATTAGCTTGCTTTTGATTTTATGGGTTCATAGGCGTAAGGAACTTGCCTTATCTCAGATGAGACTTTGGACTGTGGACTTTTTGGTTAATACTGAAATGAGTTAAGACTTTGGGACTTTGGGGGACTGTTGAGAAGGTGTGATTGGTTTTGAAATGTGAGGACATGAGATTTGGAGGGACCAAGGGCAGAATGATATGGTTTGGCTCTGTCCTCACTCAAATCTCAACTTGAATTATATCTCCCAGAATTCTCATGTGTTGTGGGAGGGACCTAGGGGGAGGTAATTGAATCATGGGGGCCAGTCTTTCCCATGCTATTCTCCTGATAGTGAATAAGTCTCACAAGATCTGATGGGTTTATCAGGGGTTTCCACTTTTGCTTCTTACTCATTTTCTCATGCTGCCACCATGTAAGAAGTGCCTTTTGCCTCCCACGGTGATTCTGAGGCCTTGCCAGCCATGTGGAACTTAAATCCAATTAAACCTCTTTTTCTTCCCAGTCTCAGGTATGTCTTTATCAACAGCATGAAAATGGATTAATACACACCACACTGGGGATCAAATTTTAGCTTTGGTAAGGACAAACAAACCATATCTAATCCATAGCAGTGCTTATACCAATTTACATTATTACCAGCAGTGCAGGTTGCTCTAAATTCTCACTGATGCTTGGTATTGTCAGACCTGTTAATCTTTGCCTAATACCCATCTACACGTTAAATCAATAATATACTAAAAAGAGTCACAAAAGATGACATAGGTTATATTATTTATATAAAGCTCATTTAAAAATAAAATAATACATTATTTAGGGATACATGCTTAAAACATTTTAAAAAATTAATGATAAGCCTAAAGCCCAACAATGGTTACTTTTGTGAGTGTAGTGGGATAGGATTGAGCAGGACCACGTGAGTATTGATAATGTTCTAGCTTTACTATTGTGATGGTTGATTGCAACTTGACTGGGTTAAGGGATGCCCAGGTAGCTGGTATGACCTTTTATTCTGGGTGTGTCTGTGAGGGTGTTTCTGGAAGAGTTTAGCATTTGAATCAGTAGAAAATCTCCCTTGTGAATGCCACTGAGCATTCAAAATTGAACCGTAGTTCAATCCATTGTGGGTCTGAATAAAACAAAAAGGTAGAGGAAGACAACTGCCGTCTCTGGTTGAGCCAGGACTTATTGGTGGTCCTGGTTCTTGGGCATTTGAATTGAGACCAGGACTTAGGACCAGGGCCATCACACTTCCCTCTCCCCGATTCTCAGGTCTTGGGATTCAGATTGAATCACACAAGCAGCTTTCCTGGTTTTCTAGGTTGCAGAGTGCAGATCACGGGACTTCTCAACTTCTATACCACATGAGCCAATTCCTATAGTACATCTCTTCATTTTATACACATGCACACACACACACACACAAACACATATAGATATATATGTGTGTGTATAAATATATAATCTTCTAATGCTTCTGCCTCTCTGGTGGACCCTTACTAATAAAACTACTATTCTTTGTAACTTACATGTATGTTGCATATATTCTTTTGTGTGCATCTTTCATAATAATTTAAAAGTAAAAAATACGTTTTCTTTCATTGAAGTTGAGATCCTGGAAAGGACTCAGAGGTTTAACTTAATTAGCTTTTTTAAACTTTTATTTTAAGTTCAGGGGTGTGTGTGCAGGTTTGTTATATAGGTAAATTACAGGTCATGGGGGTTTGGTGTACAGATTATTTTGTCACTCACATAATAAGAATAGTACCTGATAGGTAACTTTTAATACAACTAAGAAAAAGTGCAGTGGCAGGGAATGAGGAGCAGGGAAATGGCACTGAAAGGATTTGTGAGGCAGCTCAAATTGGACAGAAAGAAGGCCATTGCCACTTCTGAATTTGCGTCTTGATTCTGTCACTTAATAAGAATGTGGCTTTGGAAAGGTAACTTTACCTCTTGCTATTCCATTCTTCCTCTCTGTAAAATGGGGCTAATGAAGAGCATGCATTTCTTAAAGTTGTTGTGAGGACTAAATGAAAAGATGCAAGTAAAGCCTTTTATTTATAGCTGGCACCTTGAAATATTTTAGTGTTTGTTTTGCAAGAAGAACTCTTGTTGGAGCTTGAAGGCTTAAATAATAGGATGGGTATATTTACATTTGGAACCCAAGCACCTTTTGGAAGGAAAGCATTTGAAACTTTTCTTACTAGACACACACAGCAATTGAACTCCATCAGGATAAGTTGCAGTTGGTCTTTGCTAAGTCCTTGGGGCAGGAATGCATTATTATACCCTGAAGTAAAATTATCTTGGTGGTAGAATGATTTGGGGCCAGCAGACAGGTGGCTAAAAGAGGCTGTGACTTGACAGATGCACCAGAACTTGTCCTGATGCATGCATTGGACTTCAGTCATAGAACACACATGGCAGGAATGAATTGAAACAGTCAGAATCAAACCACCACCATCACACTGTGATAGTGATTTGCAACACTTGCGGTGTCAGCAACACAAACAGGAAACTCTGCCCCAGTCACATTTCTTCACAATGCTGGGTTTCCCTGAATTTTGACCTGGGCAGCAAAAAGTGGTGACATCCCAGGCTCTTATGACCCTGTTTGGATGCCTATTTCTGGAGTGCGCAGGACTCCAATGGGTAACACTCTAGCTCCAACTAAGGCATCTGTGGCAAACAGGCATTTCTTTGGCGGTGGCTGGGAAACCCCAGCCTCAATTGGAGTTCTGAGGAGAGAGCAAGCAGGTCTGGATCCTGGAGCATGATGAGTAAGCACCACACAGTTTGCATTTATGGACATGATAGAGGAAGGGAACCCCATGTGGGGGAAAGACAGGGCTTCCCTGCCAAGTTGGCCATGGGAGGGCTGAGTGGTTGCTGTATTTTGGACTATAACTGGGTAGGGAGTGAGGACCATTCACAACCCAATTTGTAAAACAAGATACTTCAACATGGATTAAAATAAGATGGCATGTCTTTGAGGGACCTGCATTACAGAGGCTGCTGCTGCTTGAGGTAGGTTCTGCAATTATGCTTTGCCATCAGGAAACTGGTATGTGTCCTCTTGCTTAGATATTGTGGGATGGGAGGAAAACTCTTTTCAGATGACGTACACTGGACAACTCAGGACCTAAAGCGGTAGGTTTAAGTCTTCCAAGTTACATTAATAGGTTTTTTAAAAATTACATTTGTATAATTTTAAAAAAAGATAATAATATATCAAACAAAATATAATAATATTCCCACCATATAATATTGTTGAGATTTCTTCTACTTGCTTAATTTTTAAAAAACAAACAAAACATTACAAATAGATCAAGTTTAAGTTCAGTTTGCTCACTCTTTCCATCTCACTTCTCTCCTGCTCTCCCTAAACCCACAGAGGAAACTAACTGATAGTGAAACGGGAAAGGTTCCCTTGCCCCCTCGCAGGGTGTGCAATGGAGTTGTGACTTGCTTCTTCAGTGCCCTGCTGCTCAAACCTCTAGGGGAGCATACAGATGGGCAGGCTGTGGGGCTCTGACCCCACGGCAGTGTCTAGGGGTTTACAGCTAAAGCCTCAGTAGGCGTGTGTTACAGGGTGCTCTTTTAGTTTGCCATCTATAGTTCGCTTGTGTTAGTCAGCTCAATTAGACCCCTGCCTTATTGCAAGGACAGAGGGATTTCTGTGTCCTGGGGTTCCTGCCTTGGTGTACCAGAAGAATTGGATCACACGTGGGCTTGGAGAATGAATGCAAGGTTTTATTGAGTGGAAGTAGCTCTCAGCAAATAGGGGAGCCAGAAGGGAGATGGTTTTCCTGTAGCGTGGGGCCACTCGGTGGCCAGGATCTCCTTTGACTGCCTTGGCCAACCTCCATGTCATTCTGCCAGTTGGTGGTCTGCCAGCATGCCGCTGTGCTCCTATGCCGGTGCATTCCTGTCAACATCCAGCTGTCTGTGTGTCTGCCTACTAGGCTCTCAGGGGTTTTTATAGGCACAGGATAGGGGCATGGCAAGCCAGGGTGGTCTTGGGAAATGCAACATTTGGGCAGGAAAACAAAAATGCCTGTCCTCACCTAGGTCCCTGGGCACAGGCCTGGAGGTGGAGACCTAGCCAGGGACCATGCCCTCCTCTACTCAGCACTTCCCTTCCTCTCTTCCGTAGCATTTAAAGGGACCATGCCCTTCTCTACCCAGCACTTCCGTATCAGTAGCACAATTTGGGAGGTGCTCTCCCCCTCCATGTTTGTATACCTTTACTACACATTGAGGGATCCATAAATATTAGATTTCTGTTCTTTGTTTTTTAAATCATCATCTGTGCATTTTCTTAAATTTTCCTTTTTCACACATTTTTTCTTTTTCGTTTTTTTGTTTTTGTTTTTGTTTTATGAAATGAGGTCCTGCTCTGCAGTGCAGTGGTGTCATCTCAGCTCACTGTGGCCGTGAACTCCTGTACTCAAGTGATCCTCCCAACTCAGCTTCCCAAAGTGCTGGGATTACAGATGCACACTGCACGCCTGGCCCATTTTGTTTTTGAGACTATCCATGTTGATGTATATAGAGCTAGTTAATGCATTATCACTGTGGCATAAAATGAATTCCATAATACAAATATACAATATTTTATTTATTGATTCTTTTATCACTGGATATTTAGATATATATTTTTAAATCTTCACAATTATAAACAAGGCTGTAATGAATATCCTCTTTAAAGACCTGCCTACTTTACAGGAATACATAGACTACTGTAGCATCAACATTAATATCAAGGACAACCAACTGCTTCTGTGATCACACTGTGCTATGCTGAGGTCAGCTTGTTTGGTCTGCAAGAGGTAATTAAAATTTCAAAAATGTTGTGAGCCAGTTACTAACACAGACATTATGAAAAATAAAATTTTGTAAATGTACAATGGAATAATTTATATTTTAAAAGATAATAATGACTCGAACCCCATCATTTCTCCTCCTCCTATTTTATAATTCTTTAAAAATGGGAAAGAAATAAAAAAAAAAATCAGCTAATGAACTTTCCAAAACTAGGAGCCCATGAGCTGTAACTGGCTAAGCCCTAGTGATAGAGAGAATGTTAATAATGCAGATTTAACTTAAAAGTGGTTGTGGGCTGGATGCAGTGGCTCACGCCTGTAATCCCAGCACTTTGGGAGGCCGAGGCAGGTGAATCACCCAAGGTCAGGAGTTCAAGACCAGCCTGACCAATATGGTGAAACCCCGAATCTAGTAAAAATACAAAATTTAGCTGGGCGTGGTGGCACACGCACCTGTAGTCCCAGCTGCTCAGGAGGCTGAAGCAGGAGAATAGTGTGAACCCGGCAGGTGGAGCTTGCAGTGAGCCAAGATCCTGCCACTGCACTCCAGCCTGGGCGACAGAGCGAGACTCCGTCTCAAATAATAATAATAATAATAATGAAATAAAATAAAAATTAGCCGGGCGCGGTAGTGTGCACCTATAGTCCCAGCTACTCCAGCGGCTTAAACTCGGAAGGCAGAGATTGCAGTAAGCTGAGATTGAGACTCCGTCTAAGTGGGGGGGGGGTGGGGGAGCGGGGAAAGTGGTTGCGTATATAGTTTTTACATTGTAAATAGCAGAAAAGCCTGAGGAAATATTCTTCCAATGTTTGAAAACTATTGCCCAGTTCAGCAAAAAAGTTACTCAGATCCTTCAAAAACAAACGAAGTTTTGACATATATTTTCATTACATATTTCACTTTCATCTTACTCATTAGTGTAAATGAAAATATCAACCAACATTCATCAGCAACTACACCTGGAAATCTAGTTGTTAAACATTCATCAACATCACATCCATTAAATTTATGCAGAGAAGAAGCCCTCATTCATCTAATTGAGATGTCGTATTACACTTAAATTGCATCTTTTCCCTCGCTCACATACACACACCACTCACATGGTTGCCAAATCTTCTTCTGTCTTATGTGTAGTCTTCTTATTTTTTACTTAAAACTGTATTCAAATGATGTTTATTATTAATATTATATCATCATTAGCAGCAGCATCACCATTTTACATCCTAAACCCCCACTAGACCATGAACTGCTCAAAAGTAGGGCCCATGGTGCAGTTATTCCCTTTGTACCTCAGTGTTCTCATCAGAAAAATGGGCTCAATAATAATAACTACCTCAGAAATTTCTTATGAGAATTCAATGATATAATATATGTAAAGTGCTTATAATGGTCCCTGGCATATAGTAAGCACTCATTACTGTTAGCTATTATAACCATTACTAACTGTAGAAGTATTAGTATTATCATCATCCTCAATATTATGTAGCTTTAAATCTCTGAATAATTCCTGGCCTATAGCAGGCACATTGCAATATGAAATTCATGTAGGTGACCTCTTTTTAGCATGTAGAATGTGACAATCAGAAAAAATAAATCAAACTAAACCACTTCTCATGTCTCTAGGACAGGGTGCTTGATGAGGTAGTGGTACTTAACTGAATAGGACATAAATGTCACTTGCCCCTACAACAGCAATCTACTAGGGAGGCTGACCACCCTAAACAGTAGAAGGAAAGAACCAGCAGAATGGAAGAGGCTCTAAGAGCCAGGGAAGCCAGTGGGGTGTTAAAGTCTCCCACTATAATAATTAATAAGTTCTGGCCAGGGCAATCAGGGAAGAGAAAGAAATAAAGAGTATTCAAATAGGAAAAGAGGAAGTCAAATTGCCTCTGTCTGCAGATGACATGATGACATGATTGTCAGATGACATGATTGTATATTTAGAAAACCCCACCATCTCAGCCCAAAATCTCCTTAAGCTGATAAGCAACTTCAGCAAAGTCTCAGGATACAAAATCAATGTGCAAAAATCACAAGCATTCCTATACACCAATAACAGAGAGCCAAATCATGAGTGAACTCCCATTCACAATTGCTACTAAAAGAATAAAATACCTAGGAATACAACTTACAAGGGATGTGAAGGACCTCTTCAAGGAGAACTACAAACCACTGCTCAAGGAAATAAGAGAGGACACAAATAAATGGAAAGACGTTCCATGCTCAGGGATAGGAAGAATCAATATTGTAAAAACGGCCATACTGCCCAAAATAATTTATAGATTCAATGCTATCCCCATCAAGCTACCATTGACTTTCTTCGCAGAATTAGAAATAACTGCTTTAAACTTCATATGGAGCCAAAAAAGAGCCCACATAGCCAAAACAATCTTAAGCAAAAAGAACAAAGCTGGAGGCATCAGGCTACCTGACTTCAAACTATACTACAAAGCTACAGTAACCAAAACAGCATGGTACTGGTACCAAAACATATATAGACCAATGGAACAGAACAGAGGCCTCAGAAATAATGGCACACATCTACAACCATCTGATCTTTGACAAACCTGCCAAAAACAAGCAATGAGGAAAGTATTCCCTATTTAATAAATGGTGTTGGGAAAACTGGCTAGCCATATGCAGAAAACTGAAACTGGACCCCTTCCTTATCCCTTATACAAAAATTAACTCAAGATGGATTAAAGACTTAAACATAGGACCTAAAACCATGAAAATACTAGAAGAAAACCTAGGCAATACCATTCAGGACATAGGGGCAAATACTTCATGTCTAAAACACCAAAAGCAATGGCAACAAAAGTCAAAATTGACAAATGGGATCTATTAAACTAAAGAGCTTCTGCACAGCTAAAGAAACTGTCATCAGAGTGAACAGGGAACCTACAGAATGGGAGAAAGTTTTTGCAATCTATCCATCAGACAAATGGCTAATATTCAGAATCTACAAAGAACTTAAACAAATTTACAACAAAAAGCAAACAACCCCATCCAAAAGTGGGTGAAGGATATGAACAGACACTTCTCAAAAGAAGACATTTATGCAGCCAACAAACATGAAAAAAAGCTCATCATCACTGGTCATTAGAGAAATGCAAATCAAAACCACAATGAGATACCATCTCATGCCAGTTAGAATGGTGATCATTAAAAAGTCAGGAACAACAGATGCTGGAGAGGTTGTGGAGAAATAGGAACACTTTTACACTGTTGGTGGGAGCCTAAATTAGTTCAACCATTGTGGAAGACAGTGTGGCGATTCCTCAAGGATCTAGAACTGGAAATACCATTTGACCCAGCAATCCCATTACTGGGTATATACCCAAAGGATGATAAATCATTTTTCTATAAAGACACACGCACAGGTATGTTTACTGCAGCACTATTCACAATAGCAAAGACTTGGAACCAACCCAAATGTCCATCAATGATAGACTGGATAAAGAAAATATGGCACATATACACCGTGGAATACTATGCAGCCATAAAAAAGGATGAGTTCATGTCGTTTGCAGGGACATGGATGAAGCTGGAAACCCTCATTCTCAGCAAACTAACACAAGAACAGAAAACCAAACACTGCTTGTTCTTACTCATAAGTGGGAGTCGAAGAATGAGAACACATGGTCACAGTGAGGGGAACATCGCATGCCGGGGCCTGTCAGGGGGTGGGGGGATGGGGGAGGGATAGCATTAGGAGAAATACCTAATGTAGGTGACGGGCTGATGGGTGCAGCAAACCACCATTGCATGTGTATACCTATGTTGCAAAACTGCACATTCTGCACATGTACCCCAGAACTTAAAGTATAATAAAAAAGTCAAATAAATTAAAAATAAAAATAAAAAATAAGTGCCCAAGCAAATACATAATCACAAGTCTTAATACATTGTATGAAGCAATCCAGCAAAAACCTGAGATAAAGAATAATGGGAGGCATTTAGTCATTTATTTAGTTAGTGAAGAAGAAGGAAAGGAGGGTCTCTTTAGAGAGGTGCATTCAAGCTGAGTCCTAGAGAGTAAGAAGACAAAGGTGGGAAGGGAGTAGATAGGATAACAGGGGTGTGAAGAGCTTTTTCTAGGCTATCTATAGGATTGACTGTTTGTTGGAGACAGAGAAAGCAGCCTAAACCACCCAATAGGGACTGGCCTGTTGGTTTTCTCTCTTTACGCAATGCTGACAGATTGGTAGTGGCTTCCCAGATTGTTGTGTTGAAAAGAATTTTGAGATCCTTAATGGCTTACTAGAAAAGTGGTCCATAAAAATTGGTCATGTATGCCATGGGAGTGGAGGGTTCCAGGGGCATATTTACTCTTCTGGCTCTATTTGTCCATTGGCCAGAAGTCCAATAAGTGAGCTGGGAAGACAATGGGGATGATGTCCAAGCCCTCTGCTATCCACCTTCATCCTTTAACAGCAGAAGGGTCAACAACTCATTCAGAAAACAATTAGCCATGAGCCTCAGGTTTGAATATACCTGACCCCATCTTACTATTCTGTGTCACTATTCCATAGCTCTCCTATGCGTCACTCACAGCAGATAGACAAATCCCTAGAGAAGAGAGAGATGAGGAATGAGACCTGCTTTCCCATTTTTAGAATCTTCTCATGTCTCTACCGTATAGAAAGCTGGGTGGGCTGTTCCTATGAGGTTGGAGAGATGCTGAGAAGTGCTTTGCAGCACTGGAGCTTCGGGAACTACTACCTCTTAAATTAAATGGGATTTGCCTCATTTAATAAAATACCCATTGACAAATGGGATCCCATCTCATGTGGAATGTGTGCAAACCTGCATACTCACAAACCATTTGGATTTATGTTTCCAAAACAGTGATATGCCTACCAAGGGTGATACAGAAGATAATGTTAGTTGGTATGAAAACTTTTAAATTTTCATGATTATTTTAATGCATATTGGAAAAGCATTGGCTTACCATTCATACAACAGATAAAGCTACCTTTTAACATAAATCTATTTTATGAAAACAAGGTGATGTATAAATATTAAAGGTGAGTCATGTGCATGGTGTGTGAATAGAGGAAATGTGTGATGATGATACATAAATGGCTGAAATTTGGGAAACACTGGTTTAAAGTTTGTTGTAGGTTGAACCATGCCTCCCTCCTCGCCCAAATTCATGCATTGCAGTCCTAACCCTCAGTTCCTCAAAATGTAATCTTATTTGGGTTGGAGTAATCAAGTTAAAATGAGGTCATTAGGGTGGGCCCTAATAATCCAATAGAACTAGTGTCCTTAGAAAATGGGGAAATTCAGACACAGAGACAGACACACATCAAAAGAAGACAGTGTGGAGACACAGGAAGAACACAGCCAACAACAAGCCAAAAAGAGGGCCCTGGAACAGAGCTTTCCCTCACAGCCCTCAGAAGGAACCAACCATGTTAACAACTTGATTGAGAACCTCCAGTGTCCAGAACTGTGAGACACTCATTTCTGTTGCTTAAGCCACTCAGTTTATGGTACTTTGTTACAGAGGCCTGAGGAAGCTAATAAAGAATTTATTTTCTTTGGTTCATGCCTGTAATCCCAGCACTTTGGGAGGCTGAGGCGGGCGGATCACAAGGTCAGGAGATCGAGACCATCCTGGCTAACATGGTGAAACCCTGTCTCTACTAAAAATACAAAAAACTAGCCGAGCGTAGTGGCGGGCAACTGTAGTCCCAGCTACTCAGGAGGCTGAGGCAGGAGAATTGGCGTGAACCTGTGGGACGGAGGTTGCAGTGAGCTGAGGTTGCGCCACTGCAGTCCAGACTGGGCGACAGAGCAAGACTCCATTTCAAAAAAAAAAAAAAAAGAATTTATTTTCTATGCTTGAAGCCAGTTGCCTGGTGGACAACTATTGCTATCCATGAGATGTGGGCTTCTAGTGAATGGGACCCTCTAAGTGCCTCTAATGCTCAGCAGCAGGTGCAGAAGATGGATTAATAAATCCTGTTTTCACAGAATGTCAATACTTCATCAAGTGTGGAAAATGGCAAAATGTGCCTCAGTGTCCAAGCCAGATAGTAGAAACGGCATGGGCTTTGGAATCTGAAGACCTAGGCTCAAGTTCTTACTCTGTCGTAGACTGTGGGGTCTTGAACAGGTTCTCTCCCTTGTAAGCCCTTCATAGCAGGGAGGTCATATGGTCCCCACTTAGTTCTTCCCCTCTCCTGCTTTAAGACTCCATGCTGAGAAGGTACACGTCCCTCAGGATTCCAGAATGTCAGTCATCTCCACAGCTGGAGGGAGGGAGGCAAAGGGCAGGGCTCATGGGAGATGTAAAGAGGTTTGCCTAGCTGTCTAGACAGATGGCCTCAATGTTTAAACTTGACTGCACATCTGTTAATTATCCAAGATGCTTCTGATGCTACACTGGCCTGCAGACAGTCACCAGGGGGCTGGCCACCAAAGATGTCATGTGATTGTGGAAACTCAGGGGCCACAGGATAGTTAGTGGGAAAGACACTACCTACAGCCTACTGAGAACCCAGATCCTAAGTGACAACTAGGAATTTGCCCGAGCTACTAGCTCTGGTCTACCACGAATGAAACTCAATTTTCCTTCTGACTGACAGGATTCCAGGCCCCAAATGCCTCATCACCAACTGTTTAGTCTGGATATAACAAAGTGGGTAAATTTTATCCTCAAAAAGTAAGTTATTTAGATTGGAAACAGTATCTCCTCCTCTAGTCTTTCCTTGGAGAGATGCCCCTTCCTCTCCAGCCACTCCCAACTTATTCTGAAATTGGATATTATCTCCTGATTCCTGGTTGTTCTCTCCCCCTTGGATGTGGCAGAATTGGGGGTGAAAATAAGAAAGGAATTTGCAAATCAATCAGATGAAATCAAATTAATCAAATTAAATGGTATCAATCAAATCAAAGCAAGTGTATAGCATGCTGCTTTGCGGGCCCCATCTTGGGGAGCAAGAATCAGACCAAAGCTCTAGTTTGGTTGATGTGGGTTAATTCCTATCTCCCCATACCATGACACTTACTGAAGCAGCATAGAAAAACAGGATCATTAGGTGGGAAAGAAAGAGGCTGTCCCTTAGCAATGTATTCAGCTGGCTTCAAATAAGGGGGGAAGGTGATCTGGGGAGGATGAAGTCCCTTTTTCAATACCACAATATCAATAACAGCAATACATATTTTCTGAAGCACCATGTTAGGAGTTGGGGAGTTACTGATTAGTAAATGCAGCAATGGTCCCTGCCCTCTTGGAATTTCAGGTCCAGTGTGTCAGGAGGGGAACCCAATGTTTGTAGAGCTCTCCAGATGTGCTAGTATGTGATGTGGATTATCTTATTAAATACTCCTAATGACCCTGTGGGGGGCATATTATGATCCCTGTTTTGTAGTTGGGAAACTGAGGGTGCAAATGGTTTAGCTTTGCTTATATTCACAAATCACAGATGTGGTGATGGTGGCATTTGGTTTTCAGGTACTCTAAGGCAGAAGGTAGTTCACCTAACCATCCTGTTACCCCACCTCCCAATGTGGTCTCATAGACAGAGTTAGATATCTTACCTCTGCCCTGTTTCTGTGTGTGCTGGTGCCAGGAAAGCCAGGACACACATCTAGAAGGCTTTAGCTGACTCATGGACATCTGCCCTCTCCCTGTAGGTCCTGGAGTTCAGGCTCGGCATTCTGGTTGGAACTCAGCTCTGTACCTTGAAAAGCTCAATTGTGGAAATGTTATTTCAGTTTTGCCATACAATTTTCCTCCTTCTCTCCACTGACCCTCTTGTTCTCTCACCACTAGTAACAATTTGATGAAGAGAGGTTATGCCTGAACCTGGGCTTTATTTCTTCCATAGTTTGGTTCTGTATTTGAGGTTTGAGGATGCCAATTATCCATTTATTTTCTCTTCTGGGTTCTTTATTAGCAGCCAGCAGAGGTTGAAGATAATCAAATTCCAGGATCAGTATCAACTTTATGAACTCCAAATTTGGGGCTGGATAAGAACTTGACATTTGAAGTCCTAATTGGGCTTCCCAATTCAAGTCCCAATTCGTCTACTTCCTCTTTTCTATGCCCCAAGTTTAAAATTTTGGTATGCTCTCAGTGTCTGCACAGCCGATATTTAGCCAGACAGTTATCTGGAAGGCTGTAGCAAGAACTACCTGGTGATTGGTGGGACAGGAAACTGAGGAGGGGGCTAAGACTCCAGGTCTTCCCTTGGAGGCAGATCCACAGCTGGCCTGGCATGCTTTCTGCCTGGCAACAGGAGCAGAGGGTGCAACACAGGCCACTTGCCGGCAGGTGGGATGTAGAGAGAGTGGACTGTGTACCACTGTGGTAGAGCATCTCCACTCATTAGATCCAGGACCTGGCTTTTCTGAGAATTCACTGGGCAGCGGGGTAGTGACCACATTAGAGGGTGGAGAGAAGAGAAGCATGGGCAGACGTCCCCTCTTTTCTGAAAGAGAGAAGGTGAGAGGAATAAGCATTTCCTTCAACACTCAGATGTGTGACATGTGATTTCTCCAGGTAGTAATAGACTGTAAAACTCTTCTTTCTGGATAGGAAAAAGAACCAGAGAAACAGAGGTGCAAGAGGCAAAGTCTTCATGTGGCTGATGAGAAAACTGAGAACCTTGGTGACTTGCCCAAGGTCACATGTCTGCTTAGGAACTGCATCAAGAGACCCAGAAGCCCCTCCTTCTAGCACCATGCCCCTTCCCTGAGAACATCCACACTCCTGCACAGGGTTTCAGCTTGCTCTTGATAGCCTCACTTAATAGCTGAGGTATCTTTGTTCAAGAGCTTTGATCAAGTGGCCTGAGGCAGTACACGGCTCATCTCATTCCCGATTCAATATGCTCTGTCTGTTGACTGTCACCTTCTTCCCAGCAGCTTTTTGTTTTATACGAGGAACCCTAAGGGCACAGCTGGAAAATCAAAGAGCCTTCTTGGTAGGTGCCATGCCACTCTGGACCAGAAGGGGACTGAGGAAGATGCCTCATTACCCTTCTTCCTTATCCCCTCCTGCTTCAGGAAGTTTTAGTATGAATTTCTATTTACTGTACAAATAATATGAGGACTAGAAAGAAAAGATGGTTTTTTATCACTCCAGAGAGGGATACAGGCAAAGGTCAGGCTTTGAATCAAAGAGGCCTAGATGCAAATTCCAGCTGTGCTACTATATCAACTTGCAACACTGAGCAATTGACTAAATTTCTTTGAACCACAGTTTCTTCATCTCTAAGTGGCAATAATAACAACTTCCTGTTTGTATGTGTGTGTGTGGAGTGGGGGGTTGGGGGTGGTAAAGAAATAATTTATTATATAAGGTCCTGGACTTGTAAGTTTAATAAATTTAGTTCTTTCTCACTCTCCTTCCTCAATGTAACTTTTAAATTTTGTTGTTCTCCATACAAGTTCTTATCCAAATGCAAAGATACTTTCACATATTGTGGATGTAATTTTGCTTTCTGTATTTTTCATGTAACATTAACCATCATCCCTTTTCCTCTGTTACTCTTAAGGTGAATGGGATAAAATTGCTGATACGCAACTATTTTGAGCTAGAAAGAACAATTTCATGATTCCACCTAATACATAGTTTTGAGAATCACCATAGTAAAGGAACAAATAATATTCTTTGGAGTTGATGTACCATGATTTATGCAAGAACTTCTTATTGTTGACCATTTTGGTTATTTTTCATTTTTCCCTATTAAAAATAGTTCTGTAATAACAATCTTCACATATGTAAATTATTTTCTTTCTTTGAATTATTTTTCTGGGATAGATTTCCAAAAGAAGCTCCACTTTTATTTTGAGGCCCAAGGTACTGTATTCATTTTGCCCATATTAATCACTTCCATAATCTGTTCCTTAGGTCTGGCTGGGAGTTAAATGTGTTGACAGAACCAACTCAGAAAACAATGGGAATTCTAGAAACCAGAACCTGGTGCTTGTCACAGCTGAGGCAGAGGGGCAAAGAGCAAAGATATGGCAGGAATTCTTCTCTGGAGGCCTGTTAAATTTCAGCAAGAATTAAAAAAAAAAAGACATTTCATTCATATTGACCTGTCAAGGAAGTCACAAAAAAAGAAATGCACAGAAAGGAGAACCTAGGGAGTCACTTACATGTCCATCAATGGACTAAATCTACATATAGCAATGTAAAAATTCTAAAAAGGAATGAATTTAAAAAATCAAGTCATAGTATCACATAGTATACCATTTATGTAAGCTGAAAAACCACACACAACAATATTTTGTATTTTTCATGGATATCAACACACTCATTTAAAATATTCAAAATACCTCTGGCTTTGTTCTTTTGGCTTAGGATTGACTTGGCGATGCGGGCTCTTTTTTGATTCCATATGAACTTTAAAGTAGTTTTTTCCAATTCTGTGAAGAAAGTCATTGGTAGCTTGATGGGGATGGCATTGAATCTATAAATTACCTTGGGCAGTATGGCCATTTTCACGATATTGATTCTTCCTACCCATGAGCATGGAATGTTCTTCCATTTCTTTGTATCCTCTTTTATTTCATTGAGCAGTGGTTTGTAGTTCTCCTTGAAGAGGTCCTTCACATCCCTTGTAAGTTGGATTCCTAGGTATTTTATTCTCTTTGAAGCAATTGTGAATGGGAGTTCACTCATGATTTGGCTCTCTGTATGTCTGTTATTGATGTATAAGAATGCTTGTGATTTTTGTACATTGATTTTGTATCCTGAGACTTTGCTGAAGTTGCTTATCAGCTTAAGGAGATTTTGGGCTGAGACGATGGGGTTTTCTAGATATATAATCATGTCGTCTGCAAACAGGGACAATTTGACTTCCTCTTTTCCTAATTGAATACCCTTTATTTCCTTCTCCTGCCTAATTGCCCTGGCCAGAACTTCCAACACTATGTTGAAGAGGAGTAGTGAGAGAGGACATCCCTGTCTTGTGCCAGTTTTCAAAGGGAATGCTTCCAGTTTTTGCCCATTCAGTATGATATTGGCTGTGGGTTTGTCATAGATAGCTCTTATTATTTTGAGATACGTCCCATCAATACCTAATTTATTGAGAGTTTTTAGCATGAAGGGTTGTTGAATTTTGTCAAAGGCCTTTTCTGCATCTATTGAGATAATCATGTGGTTTTTGTCTTTGGTTCTGTTTATATGCTGGATTACATTTATTGATTTGCGTATGTTGAACCAGCCTTGCATCCCAGGGGCAAAGCTTTATCATTTTATCCACAATGATAAAAGCTTATCATGGTGGATAAGCTTTTTGATGTGCTGCTGGATTTGGTTTGCCAGTATTTTATTGAGGATTTTTGCATCAATGTTCATCAAGGATATTGCTCTAAAATTCTCTTTTTTGGTTGTGTCTCTGCCAGGCTTTGGTATCAGGATGATGCTGGCCTCATAAAATGAGTTAGGGAGGATTCCCTCTTTTTCTATTGATTGGAATAGTTTCAGAAGGAATGGTACCAGCTCCTCTTTGTACCTCTGGTAGAATTCGGCTGTGAATCCATCTGGTCCTGGACTTTTTTTGGTTGGTAAGCTATTGATTATTGCCACAATTTCAGAGCCTGTTATTGGTCTATTCAGAGATTCACCTTCTTCCTGGTTTAGTCTTGGGAGGGTGTATGTGTCGAGGAATTTATCCATTTCTTCTAGATTTTCTAGTTTATTTGCATAGAGGTGTTTGTAGTATTCTCTGATCGTAGTTTGAATTTCTGTGGGATCGGTGGTGATATCCCCTTTGTCATTTTTTATTGCGTGTATTTGATTCTTCTCTCTTTTCTTCTTTATTAGTTTTGCTAGTGGTCTATCTGACTTCAAACTATACTGCAAGGCTACAGTAGCCAAAACAGCATGGTACTGGTACCGAAACAGACATATAGATCAATGGAGCAGAACAGAGCCCTCAGAAATAATGCTGCATATCTACAACCATCTGATCTTTGATAAACCTGACAAAAACAAGCAATGGGGAAAGGATTCCCTATTTAATAAATGGTGCTGGGAAAACTGGCTAGCCATATGTAGAAAGCTGAAACTGGATCCCTTCCTTACACCTTATACAAAAATTAATTCAAGATGGATTAAAGACTTACATGTTAGCCCTAAAACCATAAAAACCCTAGAAGAAAACCTAGGCAATACCATTCAGGACATAGGCATGGGCAAGGACTTCATGTCTAAAACACCAAAAGCAATGGCAACAAAAGCCAAAATTGACAAATGGGATCTATTAAACTAAAGAGCTTCTGCACAGCAAAAGAAACTGCAATCAGAGTGAACAGGCAACCTACAAAATGGGAGAAAATGTTCGCAAGCTACTCATCTGACAAAGGGCTAATATCCAGAATCTACAATGAACTCAAACAAATTTACAAGAAAAAACAAACAACCCCATCAAAAAGTGGGCAAAGGATATGAACAGACACTTCTCAAAAGAAGACATTTATGCAGCCAAAAAACACATGAAAAAATGCTCATCATCACTGGCCATCAGAGAAATGCAAATCAAAACCACAATGAGATACCATCTCACACCAGTTAGAATGGCGATCATTAAAAAGTCAGGAAACAACAGGTGCTGGAGAGGATGTGGAGAAATAGGAACACTTTTACACTGTTGGTGGGACTGTAAACTAGTTCAATCATTGTGGAAGTCAGTGTGGCGATTCCTCAGGGATCTAGAACTAGAAATACCATTTGACCTAGCCATCCCATTACTGGGTATATACCCAAAGGATTATAAATCATGCTGCTATAAAGACACATGCACACGTATGTTTATTGCGGCACTATTCACAATAGCAAAGACTTGGAACCAACCCAAATGTCCAACAACGATAGACTGGATTAAGAAAATGTGGCACATATACACCATGGACTACTATGCAGCCATAAAAAATGAAGAGTTCATGTCCTTTGTAGGGACATGGATGAAGCTGGAAACCATCATTCTCAGCAAACTATCTCAAGGACAAAAAACCAAACACCACATGTTCTCGCTTATAGGTGGGAATTGAACAATGAGAACACATAGACACAGGAAGAGGAACATCACACTCCGGGGACTGTTGTGGGGTGGGGGGAGGGGGGAGGGATAGCATTAGGAGATATACCTAATGCTAAATGACGAGTTACTGGGTGCAGCACACCAACATGGCACATGTATACATATGTAACAAACTGACACATTGTGTACATGTACCCTAAAACTTAAAGTATAATAATAATAAAAAAAATTCAAAATACACTGGGAAGATACATATTAAGATTATGATCCCCTTTGCCCATGGAAAGTGGCAATGGAGGAGATTTGAATTTTTCTGTACTATTTTTCACTTTTTAAACAAAACTACAAAAGGAAATATGACAAAAAAGTTAACAACCTATAAATGTTTGTTTATTATTTTTGGCTCTTTTCTGCATTTGTTAAATGTCTCAAATCATCATCAGTGTCAACAACAACAACTCCAGAGCATCTAAACATGAGAAATAGCATGGGTGGCAGATTGGAGGAAAGGACTATCCCAATGGAAGCAGCAGCCCTCCAAGGCAGCCATGAATTGGCAGGCTAGTACAGTCCCTTTGCTGCCCTATGTTAAGTCAGTTTTTCTTTCCACATTAAGTTGGCTCTATGCTGTTGTTGGCTTCTCAACATTTCCAAGTCTTTGGTCAGCTGGTGTTTCCAGGAAATGCTGAAACCCCAAAGATATCTTGCCAGTCTTGTTTCAAATGGACCACGGATGCTGACTCTCCTGGGAAGCCCTTCACTGGAGATTGCAGTGAAAAATTATTTGATGGGTCAGTTACTTATTTGATTCCAGAGCAAGTGCTGATGATTTGGACACTGACCAGTTACTGGTCCAGCTAATAAACAGTTTTTGATTCTTTCTTTTTGATAAGTGGAATAAGAAACTGCAAGGAAGGGAGGATTTGTGAAGGAGCAGATTTTTGATCTACAAGGGAATGTGAAGTCAGATTAAGCATGTAGGACATCATTGCCAGAAAATAGAATGATCCCAGGTAGAGCTGAGTGTCAAGCACAGAGGTTAAGATTAAAAAGTCAATAGCTCCTGTTGTCATGCTACCCAACTGTAGTGGATGATACTATGGTAGATTATCAGACTCTGCCTTTAGGAACAAGGCACTCATTCCCCCAGCTGCTAGGTGTGTTGGCTCCTGACAGCTGACAGCTGAATCCCTCCTATGGAATTATCGAAAGCAGTTGTCTTGCTCAAAATTGTTTCCTTTCCCCAGGTACACCCCACATCCAAAGAGTGGTCTTAGTGGACATAAAAAGACCTGGTTTCTTTGCTTCAATTGAGACAATTTGATGATCATGCCAGGACCAGAGCTCCCTATGAGACTGAATGAAGTCTGTTAAAACTACATCACAAATCAACTTCTTACTTCCTTCTCTGCCTCATCCTTCATCTCTTGTCTGTCATCCTCCAGAGGTGTTGATCCCAAGAGTGGTAACTTTCTGAATGCATATCTCAGAATCTCAAAACATCATCATCATCATTAATAACAACAACAACAACAACAAAAATCTCAGAATCTCATGATCTATTTTCCAAGAAATCTGGTCTATAACACCTACCAACCTTGAAATCCAACCTTTTCTTATACTTTACTTATTGCCATTTCAATAGTGTAAATTAGTCTTATAAATTGACATCTCTGGTTCCCATCATCCCTAGTAGCCAATCAACTACTGTGCTTGCAAGAAGAAGAATCAGATACAAGTCCTGATCTTCAGGAACTTGAAGTCCAGACTGAAAACCAAGATTTCAAAAAAAAATTAGCTAACCTCCTTTCAATTAAAATAACAATATAAAATTCTAGCTGAAGGAATACTACAAATTTCTTTGCCTAGTGAGTGGAACAGACATATTCTGTGACTTCAAAAGAGAGAACATGTAGTGGATTAGGGATGTTAGCAAAGAGATTGGAAAGATAGCAACAAATTTTTAAAGAATTAGGAAATTGACAAAGAATCAGAAAGTTTACAGATTATAGATTTAACAATGAATTTGATGGTTGAGGGGAGAATGGAGGTAATTTCATATTGGAGTTTGGATAGAAGCAGGAAATAGAGGCCTAGATGGAAGAATTGTCAGAAAAATGATAAGAAAAGTATGCTAGGAGACATAACTGAAAGCAGTTTAATTTCAGATTCTGAAGAGGGTTGACTATTAGGCTAAGGATCTTGGTTTTACCCTGAAAGCAATAAGGTAGGCATAGAGGTGAGGGTAGAGATGGGGGGAACAGACAAGCACTGAATACTTAGAGGCAGGCTAGAGATAAGAGGGCAGCAGTGTTGGAAAAGGCTGACCTGGGGGAGGGTGTGCAGGATGTACTAGAAGGGATGAACCCAAAGGTAGCCTGAGGCTTGTGCAGAAGCCCACCTAAAGGTATAAGGCACAGGATAATGATGGTGGGAAGCCAGTCACAGCACTGACCACTGAAAATTAGTGCAGGATGTTCAGTGCAACATATGTCACAATCATATCTACCTCTCTGCTTTTGATGCTGTTTCCCCAGTAACCTCCTCCTCTATCTGCTCATCTATATTCTACTTGTCCAACACTGCCCAGGACAAGTCATGCCTCCATGAAGTCCTGCCTGCTCCTTCAGTTCACAGTGATCTCTCACTCTTTGAACTTCTAGACAACCTGTTTAATGATTTGTTCTAAGTTTAACCTAAGTTAGCACTGTCTTACAAAATATTGTATTATAAGTCTAGAAAAGTGCTAGGATCTGACTTGGTACCTCCGTGCTGACTGATTTTTAATTCTTAAGCAGTTGGTGAGCTGCTCTTCTTCACCATCATCCCTAAAATATTCTTTTCATTTATCTTTTCATCTTCTGATTAACCAAAGACTTGTGTTTGGCACATAAGAGAGAGAATTTAAATTCATTAAGAACTTATCATATATTGAAACGCTGTTCTAAGTGTTTTGCATCTATAACTCTCTAACTCTCACAGCAATCCTAAGAGGTAAGTCTTGTCATTATCCCCATTTTGCAGATAGGAAAAGTGAGGTCCAAGAGGTTAAACAACTCTCTGAAATTTGCACAGCTAGTGAATAATAGAGTCAGAGTTTCAAATTAGGTGACCTGATTGCGGAACACCCATTTGACTTCCACCTTATTCAATAAAGGTCTCAAAAAAAGTACTTGACGTATGTATGGATGCATGAGGAATGAATTCAGCAAATGACACGTCCAAGTCTTGCTGCACAGTGAGAGATGAGGTCCTCGAATACTCTATGAATGTTTGCAAGGGAAGAAACTGCTACTGGTTTTGGGTATTCCCATAGTGAATCTAATGTGGTATATATGATCTGCTGCTGACCTCTTAGGCCCTGTCAAGTTCCTAAAGATTAAGAGATTGTAAAACCTGCTTTCAGGAAGGGTATTGAGACTTTGGGAATTCTACAAAGTGTGATTGACTTAGAGGTGTGTTTACATATAAGGTGCTAATTCACAAACTCTTTAAAGTATTGGTCATCTTCAGCTGTAGCTTCAAATCCTCATAAACCTTTCCAGATACTAGATAGGGCTATAGGGTTTGGGATTCCTCTGGGGGTCAGTTAATTTAAAAAGACTGAGGCAAATGCCAGCCCGGGTGTTTATCACCAACGCTCATCATTGTTTCCCACTTTCCTCTTTCTTATCAGAAGTCAAAAGCAACATGTAAGATATGTGGCTATCAGAGGGTTATCGCTTGTTGCCAAGTGAAAAAGCACAGCTGAGTTCGGTTTAGCTTGATGGCCCCTCTGTTGAAATTCAGGATCTCTTATCTTTGCTTCCACTTCTCCTGTCTAGACACTTGACAATGATTTGCAGGAAATTGAGGCACTTACCCCTGCTGAGAAGCCAGAGCTAAAACATTTCTAAATATAATTTTACTGTGTATGTGTGCGTGTGTTTAATGTGAGTTAATGTTAATTCAAAAGGAAAACATGTTTTTTTTTTTCTCTCTGGGAATGGGATTAGCTGACCCCCACTCAGGCAGAGCTATGTGATTTTTCAGTCTAGACTTCCTAGGCTAGTAAGCTTGTCTAGTTATTTAGGACACAAAACACCAGGCTCTCTTCTCTGACAAAAAATATTGTAGGATCTAACATTCTTGTATTCAAACACCTTTTCTTTTATTTGCTTTCTTTTTATTTTCCTTCTCTCATATAGATGGAGAAATAATTTTAGTCTCTCAACACTTGATATCAGAATCTCTTATTTGAAACATTGGCTTTTGTTGAGAAAATGCTCTGATAAATTCACTTTAAGATCTCAGGGCCTTGGTATTATCATCTGGTATCCAAGTTCTAAAAGAGTAAAAGAGAGGCTTTGCTACTAAACAGAGGAGAGGAGGACTGGGGATTTAACTTTCCTGGGGGCAGCCAGAAGGGATGCCTTCAGGGTGAAGCCTGCTGGGGAAAGAGAAGAGTAATGACTTTCAAAGTTGCCAAATTTAAGAAAAAAAATGGAGAGAGAAGAAAAAGGCTTTAAGATTTTCTCTGCAAGATGACTAGTGTAAAGTACTTCCAGTTCATTCCCCATCTCTCCTGTGAAACCTTCCAATTCAGGGGCTGGGGGGAGAGAAAGGGGAGCTAAGTCATATGTTCATGTTGATGACCAAAAATGCTTCCCTAGTTTCAAGAGCCAGAGTGTGGAGTGGGGGAAGCAGCTGCTTGGACCATGTTTTAGGGCTATTTAAAGGATTGATTTTTGCACAACATACCCAAATGGCCTCAGGTTGATCTGATTCAGTTAAGATATTTGGGGCCTCAATGACATTAGCTTTCATTCCAAAACACACTCAGGAAGGAGGAATTAAGGGCAAGCCAGCCATTTGTAAAATATAAATGAAACATTCCACATATAGTTTTATCTTGTGCAAATTGGTAAGTATATTAGTTTGTTAGGGCTACCACAACAAATACCACAAACTGGCTTAAACAACAGAAGTTTACTTCCTTACACCCCTGGAGGCTAGACATACAAAATCAAAGTGTTGGCAGGGTTGACTTTATTCTGAGGCCTCTTTCCTTGGCTGCCATCTCCCTTTTCTTGATGTGGTCTTCCCCTGGTCTGTTTTCTATGTGTCCTAATCACCTCTTCTTATAAGGACACTAAGTTCTATAGGAATAGGGCCCACCCACGTGACCTCATTTTACCTTAATTGCTCCTTTAAAGGGTCTATCTCCAAATACAGTCACATTCAGAGGTACTGAGGGTGACAATGAACATATGAATTTTGGCGGGGGACATAATTCAGCCCATATCAGTAAGGCATCTGCAGTTTGGGCAAATTTCTACACACATATACACACATTTAAATGCACCATCTACATCTGAAGACATACATGTTTTTAGCTGTTGCATTAAAAAGACACATACATCTTCATGAAGCTTGAAGGAGTTCTGCCATTGCTGGAGGCATGGTGGTGGGGGACATCCAGTAAATTCTACCTAATACAGCACAGTGTAGCCCACTAGAAATGTCTCCTCTTTTGCAGCACTCTTTGCAGTCACACTGGGGCTTCTTTCCCCATGTCTGTAAAATCCAAATGGTACTACTTTAAGTAATGTTACACTTGTGAAACTCAGACCTTGACTTTGTCTCCTGCAAGAGCCAGTGCTTTTTTTGCTTGTTTCAACCCAGTTCCCAGATTTCCTTAGTGCTTCTACAATTGCTCAAGCAGGACACTTATTCTAGTACCTATCAATGAAATTAGCAAGTCCTTTAAATCTCCAGCTTCCCATCTTGCTTTTCCAAGAAACCCATCAACTGTGACTGTGCCTAAAGATGTTCCATTTGTAGCTAGAGATGAAGTTAGCCATAGTGTGGCATATTTTCTTGTCAGAGTCCAGATTTGGTTTGGATGCCTCTTTTTGTGGCCATATGCTTGAGAAAGAGGGGACCCTGCTCTTGGGGAGCCTGTGTGAATCCTGATTTCCTTAAAGCTGTTGTGATACTTTCCATTGCTCTTACTAGTGATTAATTGGACCATGGAACCTTAGAGAAAGTCTGCTGGGTGGCTTCCGGAAAGGAGAAGCACACAGGAGACAGCACCCCTTCTCTTTATTACTGGTTCTCTTTTGGTTTGCATTTGGTACTTGGCATTGTTGCAGACCCTTGTGATGATGAAGGGCCTCTACCCACCTCGATATAATGGTATCTATTTCATAGGAGTGTTGAGAGGACCAACTAAATTAATGATTGTAAAACATTTAGAATTGTCTGGAATATAGCAGGCATTCAATAAGTATTATTATGAAAACAAGGGATAATATTATCAGCTATGTTGAAGATAGATAGCGTGGTTAAATGAGGGAAATCATCTCCTATGATGATATTGCTGAGTTGCTGAATTAACCCTAACCTAGCCCTGCAGTTGCCTAGCCACTGGAGATCTTGTTTTGTGAGATAATACATACCCTCCTTATTGATGACAATACTTTTATTGGGGCTTATGTAGCAAAAATCATCCTTACTGTTAACATAATTACTGATATCAATAGACTCTTTTGAGTAGAGACATGATATCCATAGAAGCTTCCATTGTTACCAGTGTTACTAACTGTGCTTGAGAAATTAGCCATTTGTTAAAGGTTAACCATATTAAGGGAAGCATTTTTAGTCTCCCAAGTTAATCATGCCAGGTACTCTGGGATTTCAAAAGCAGTTGGCTGGGTGCTCACACCTTTAATCTCAGTACTTTGAGAGGCCAAGGTGGGAGGATCATCTGAGCCCAGGAGTTCAAGACCAGTCTGGGCAACTTAGTGAGACCTGTCTCTACAAAAAATTAAAAAAATTAGCTGGGCATGGTGGCGCATGCCTATGGTCCCAGCTACTTGGGAGGCTGAGGTGGGAGGATCACTTAAGCCCAAGAGGTTGAGGCTGCAGAGGTCGAGGTGTGGTTGTGTCACTTCACTTCAGCTTGGGCAACAGAATGAGACCTTGTGTCCCCCCTCGCAAAAAAGCAATAAAGTCTGTGTTTCTTGAAGGCTGTAACAGTGTAGTAAAAAGGGCATGATATTTGTAGTCTAAAATAAATAGGTTTAAGTACCTAATGTGCCACTTACTGGTCTGTAACATTGGGCAATTTGATTAATATGTATGTGTCTCAGTTTCTTTATCTGTAAGATGGAAATAAATAATCTTCATGTATCAAGGTTAGTGAGAGGACTACATAAAATTACACATGTAGTATAATATTGAGGTTTTCCTATGTACCTCCAGTCACTTTATTAGAACAGACATTTTTTTCCCATTCGTGAATCTGCCTAAAACTGTATTAAATATTTTATCAAAGCAGGGTTCCATTTTACCCATAGATGTTTCAACTACCCTGAATGAAATTCTTGACACTGGGGCTCTTGAGCATTGGATTGAAACCAGTTATAGAAGAGCCTCTTTGTAGTTTATTGCAATTTGTGACATATTTGGAAATGGACATTTGGTTTTCAATGATGTGCTGAGAAATGAATTTTCCTCCCACTTGACATGAGTGCCTTAAAATTATCTCTCTAGTTTTGCTGTATCAGAAAGGCACTTATTTGATTTCAACATCCTTGAGAATGCTGCCAACTAAAAGGCTGTGGGTCAGAAAAGTTTGGATTGAACAAGGTCCTAAGCAGGCTAAAGGAAGGCTTGCCAAACACAGTTTACCTGGGAAAAACGTGTGTGAGGACTGGCTCACTGTCAGACACTCATGTAACTGCTGCGTTTTGAGTTCAGGTAAAGTGAGTGACAATGTTTCCATTAGGTTGGCCATTATTCCTTAAAATACTTTATAAATGAGTTCTGATTTTCATGTTCTTCTATTTAGGCAGAAAACAGTATGCTTTTCTTATATATAAGCTCATAATGAAGTTTACTTTTTATGCCTTAGATACCAGAAATCCCAGTGTTAGAATTTCCCAGTTAAAATTTCAATAGCAAATACATGGAATCAACCTCAATGCCCATCAATGGTCGACCAAAGACAATATGGCACATATATACCATGTAATTCTATGCAGCCATAGAAAAGAATGTGATCATGTCCTTTGTGCAACATGGATGGAACTGGAGGCCATTATCCTAAGCAAACTAACATAGGAACAGAAAACTGAATATTGCATGTTCTCACTTATAAGTGGGGGCCAAACATTGAGTACACATGGATTACAAAGGAGGGAACAACAGACACTGGAATCTACTTGAGGGTGGAGGGTAAAGGGTGGAAGGAGGGGGATGATAAAAAACAATTACCTATCAGGTACTATGTTTATTACCTGGTCGATGAAATAATCTGTACACCAAACCCCTGTAATACACAATTTACTGGCATAACAAATCTGCATATGAACTCCTGAACCTAAAATAAAATAAAAGGTAGCTCTTTTAAAAAAATTGTTTTTAATAGTGGTAAGCAGATTCAAGAAAGGGTTATGAGCAAATTATATTTCCCTTCTCCACCATTACATGGATCTTAATCAAATGTCCTTAAAATAGTCCGTGTATACTTTATGGTGAGTCACCTCAAATCTTCTTCTGGAAGTAGCTATTATTTGTGCATTTATTCACTCACCCAACTACCCAACAAATATTTATGGGTGTACATTATGTACTGTGCTATTTGCAGAAAAATCAGAAGTAAATAAGACCCTCTCCCTCTATTTTCATGATTCTCATAATCCACTGGATATTAAATAATATTACAGATAATTTTTTAAATTACCGAAAAAGGAGAAGGTACTATGAGAACGTGAAATAGGATTTATGGGAATTCATGGTCTTCACACGCACATTCTCTAACAAGGCTTCTAGTACTCCATGAATCTGAGTTGTAGATATCACTAAGCTCTTTGGCTGATTCATATAGACACAGATTGAAGGAGATGCTTTACACATTAAGAATTGGAACCTGGCCAGGCATGGCGGCTCACTCCTGTGATCCCAGCACTTTGGGAGGTCAAGGAGGGAAAATTGCTTGAGCCCGGGAGTTGAAGACCAGCCTGGGCAACACAGCAAGACCCCATTTCCGTAAGTTTTTTTTTTTAAAGAATTGTATCCTGATCATTATTTGGCATTTAAAAAATTTATTTATGTTTAGTTCATGACCGTCATCAACAAATATAATCTTTGAAACCCCAAAACCATAATATATACTTGAAAAAAATTTAGTTGGCATGCATTTTCTAAACACCTGGGTTCTGCTATTGTGATCCCTTTTCCCTTTATCTGCTAATCACTTGGAATGAAGTATAAGTTCCCAGCCGGAGGGTTCCACAGCTTCCTCCATCATTTTGCATCATGTAGTGCACCCGGTATGTGAGCTTGTTTCAAATAGGCATTTTGATCATTTTATTTTGAGATATATTTTCTCTACCAAGTCTTTGGAGACATGGTGGGCAGAAATCACAGCCAAGCATGTATGTTGACAGAGGCATAGGGAAAATTATCCAATAATTGAGAAATGTAAAATTTCAGAATTGGAAGGACCGAAAATATTATCAAGACCTAACCCCTCATTTGCATCTGGGGAAACTGTGTCCAGATAGGAGAAGTGACATAACCAAGAACACATTCTCTCTCAGGGTACTGCTTATGTCTTATTCCTGGTAGACTCCAAATTTCTTACCACTTATGATCAGTTTTACTCAAGTTGTTGAACTGACAAAGGGGTGACGGCAAAAGCATTCCAATATTAGGCCATGAAGAAGGTTGCATTTGATTGCAGTATTTAACTTCTTTTCTGAGCAGCATCTTGCTCTTTATCCATATATAAATCAGCATGCAATAGATTGAGTACAAAATGTAAAAAATGAAGGTTTGTACAAGGAAATACATTTATAGGAAAAGCTCAAGGAATCATTTTATGTTTTGGTTTTGTCTGGATACACATGGTTAGAGCACAATTTATGTGGAGAAAATAAAATGTGACATTGTTAGTTTTGAGGAAGGATGTGCCCTCTAAATCCAAGACAGTGAACTGATTATTACTTTTTTTAAAAAAAACCTATTTAGCCTGACCGAGAAACCTGCTGTTTCTTGCTACCCTTTGCAAAATTGCTGTTTAAATGTAACCTAATAGAAAATTTCATTGTTTTGCATCAATAATTTCTGTGGCCTTTTGTCTAACAGAAAGTCAAGGTCATAAAACGCTTTAAGTTATTACTTCGAAATAACTTAAGTTTCTGAAGCACAATGGCTGCCTAAGATGTCCTTTCAGGTGGCTTTGTCATTTTTTATGGAAAGGAGAAAAATGGGGCACCATGATATGAAATTTGCACCAGATGGTTATTTTGGATGGGAATTTTAAAGCAGTAGTTCTCACTTCTGGCTGAACGTTCCAATAATCTAGGGATCCTTTAAAATACTGTAAGTTCCCAGTCCTTCTGATTTAACTGGTCAGGGGTGAGATGGGGTCAGAATTATAATGGACACAAGCTTTGTGTACCTTCTAAGCTTCCCTTGATCTCTCCCATCTTTCTGAAGTCTCTTCCTGGCTGTCTGACCATGTCCTACTGCTTCTGTCTTTGCTGACCCTTACTGACCACTCCCCACCCCTCCAACCCCCACCTCCCATGAGTTGGCTGGAGCTCAAGGCAAAATCCTAGGAGCACAGCTCAAGACCCATATTCTGAGCTCATGGTACACCAAGTCATGTATCTTTTGATGTAGATTTTGATAAGTGTCATATTTCAAGGCAGGGGATCTGACTTTCTGAGAGCAGCCATTAGCTAGATGAGGCAGGGAGCAGCTCACTTTGACTGAAGAGAAAGTGGGGACAGGAGAGAACTGGGTGATAGATTCCCCTCTCTTTCTCTTCTGTGGACTGTCCCGAGGTGTGGCTTCTCCTTGTATATATCTGGACAAGTCCTGTTGAGCAAATGCTGTGTCTCTGCTCTGTCTCTTTAGTACTTTTTATAAAGTGTTGGCCAGCAAAGAAATACCACATAACAAAATGTAGCATCTTTCCTGGCCCACGTATTTCCTTGTCTTTATTACCCTTGCCTTATGCCACCCAAACAAAGTGTCAGCATTTTAATCCTTGCCTCAGGGTTGCTTCTACAGTACCTGAGTTAAGATAGGCTTTTTTCTTTATTCCCCTAGTGATTCTACAATATAGCCAGAATTGAGAAACACTGCTTCTGAAAAATACCTGAACTCCCATTTCTTTAACATCACATACAACAAAATTTTTCTTGCTGTCATTTTCTTTTATTTACTTTTCAAAACAAGTATAGAATAAAACTTAAAACTCTCATTTTTCCCATTCCCCTTTCTGACCATTTCCTATCCATTCACTTGCTCAGAGTTCCAGAGTTAACCACAGTAAACAGCTCAATGTGCTGCCTTGCAAAGATGCATTTCATACATAGACATAGAATCTCAAGGTTCTTTTATGTTTTGCGTGAGCATGATCATCTATCTATCTTGCTTTGTATTGGCTTTTGTCATTTAGCAATGTCTGTCAGAGATTATATATTACAAAGGGTTTCTTTATTCTTTTCAGTGTCACATGGTATTTCATAATGTGGATGCACTGGAAATAATTTCCTCTTAACCTTACTAATAGAGATTTAGATTACCTGCAACTTTTTGACATTAAAAACAATGCTGACTTGAGGCCAGGCACGGTGGCTCAAGCCTGTAATCCCAGCACTTTGGGAGGCCGAGGTGGGAGGATCACGAGGTCAGGAGATCAAGACCATCCTGGCTAACACGGTAAAACCCCATCTCTACTAAAAGTACAACAAATTAGCCAGGCGTGGTGGTGGGCGCCTGTAGTCTACTACTCGGCAGGCTGAGGCAGGAGAATGGCGTGAACCGGAGAGGCGGAGCTTGCAGTGAGCCGAGATCACGCCACTGCACTCCAGCCTGGGCAACAGGGCAAGACTCCGTCTCAAAAAAAAAAAAAAAAAATGCTGACTTGAACATCTTTACATGTGTATCTTTGTACACATATGAAAGTGGTTATCAAGGACAGATAGCTAGAACTGGAATTGTTAGGTTGAAAGGCACACACTCCCATTAGGTTTTGACAGATACTTCTAAAATTCCCTTAAAAATGGTGCCCCAAATTATATTCCTACTAACAGTATATGAGAATTATTGTTTCTCCATGCCTTTTGCCAACACTGGATATTATCCATTTTAAAGCTTGACAATTTGGGCAAATGATGCTGTCTCATAGTTGCTTTAATGTATTAAATAGCGTTTTAGAATCTTTATTTTAAGCCACTTTTGACCTTATATCTCCAGTTTGGAAGAACCTATTAAACTTTATTAGACTAGGATGTGAGTACCATGTAGCTGCTGAGAAGTTGGACTGTTCTTTATAGCTAATAGTCTTCTAAGCCGGGCCTCATTACTTCACACTCTCTATAATGCTGGGTCTTGGAATTTGGAGGGCTGAACCATTCCAGCTCTTCTCTGAGAGGAACCAGACCTGGGCACCAGACAAGATGATTGAAAAGACTTTCTAATATTTGGGTTACTGAAAGAAGCCTTCACACCTGCCTGGCCTGCTCGCCAAATCCCCTGTTGATTCTAACTCCACCCAGTCAGTTTGAACAGAAGCAGAACATGCTGAGAATTTTCCCCAAAGACAGACAGACATACTCTGCCAGGGAGTTTGTGTCCAGAGGAGCTGGGCCAAGATTTCCCTGGCAAACAAGCTTTAGGCAAAGCTGAATTAGATTTGCCAGTGTGGAACAGCCTAGCTCCTCAGTGTGATGGGAGCAGGATTGTTACATGAATAGGGAAAGTGTGGTGAAATTAGGCTTATGACCAGCTGTGGCTGCAGACCTCAAGCCTGCCCTGCATCGTCACTTCTTGCATAGATAATCAATATTCATGGGCACTACCTTTCCCCGGGAGAAAGAGTCATGGTCCTTATCCTTGGGATGCACCTGGTCTCTTAAGAAAGACATGGTCCTTGCTCCTAAAGTCTTTCCAAACTACCGAGAAAATGGGTGTTGTTATGTCTAGTTGGAATTTATAATATGATTGATGATATGAAACATCTTTGCCTAAAATGACTCAAAGACACTTCAAAAAGCAATGTGTAATGCATTTGGTATAAGCACATTCAGCACAGAAGGGAGCAATAAAAGTGGTTAATTTGGACACAGTTCTAAGCAGCAATGTTTATCACTTGGGAGCCCAGAAAGTTGGCATCCTTCCATTCTTTACACTTAATTTTCTATCCTTGCTTATTCCGAGGTATCTCCTTCACAGTGGCCAGAAACAGGAAGTCAGACAGTGCCCTGCACTGGATCTGCTTTCTAATCCATCCTTTCAGGAACAAGGCAGGTCCTGTTCAGTGTGATAAAGTTTCACTTAAATTATTTCTCTCTCCTCTCTCTGACAATTTGCCTTGTATGTAGGATTTAATTTAATTAAACATATTCATTGAGAAGCTCTTTAGTTCAGGAGTTGTGCTAGGTGCTAAAAAATGATAAAAACATAATCTCTGCTAACAATCTAAAGACAAAAAATATTTTAAAAAATGCAAATAGTGTGATGAATGCTACAGGGAGATTTAAACACGGGGATGATAGAAACTTGTAGGGTGGGGTGCTATTTATTTTCTACATATTGAGTTCAAGCAGCTTATGGGAATCTAGAAAAATATGACTAGTAAGTCATTGAATAAATAGGTCTAGGAATTAAGATAGACTGAGATGATAATGGAAATTTGAGATTCAACATATGGGTTTGTTTGAAACTTTGGAATAAGATCTCTTAGGGAGAAAGAGATGAGGTGAGGAATGGTTGCATGGAAAACATGAAGTTTTAAAGAGTGAACAGGAGCAATATCCATGAAAAACTGAGGAGGCACAGCCTTAATTGAAATCCTATAATCGGGAACATCCATGTTCACTTAATGGAGGATAAATGTGACCAAATTTGCCCTCCCACGTGAAACATCAGCATAAACAAAACAGAAAAATATTATAAAACAAAATTTAGAGACAGTATCAGGCAACAAAGGATGATGATGCATGTGGGATAGAAAACAAATGAAGCAAATCCTAAAATTGCACCAAGTTCCTGCCTTGAGAAAGTTTCTAGGGCTTCCGCCCAGAGGAGGGACCTCTGGAGGGACCTCTGGAGACCCTGGCAGTGCCCTCTGGAGTCTATGGGTTAAATAGACGGAGTGGAGAGTCTGGGAGATGAGGCAGATAGGACAGGATACCAGAGGAAGAGAACCGCACAGAAAAAAGAACTTTAGAGGGTGCCCCTTGAGTATTCAGAAGGGCACTAATCAATGCATGTGAGAAAACTACCCCCAAACCAAGGAAAAAAAATGACCTGACACCAGGGCTCATATATACAGGGCTGGAAGTAGTGTCAGGACTACCAACCAGGGTGAAAAGCTCATACTTAATTGTGTATTAATATAAGGGAGAGTACTCAGAAGGAGTTTAGCTAGTAGTACGGTAAATTAGCCCTACGATCAATGCTGATCTGTTTTCACCTAATACATATTTTTTCAATTCTTTCTTTTTTTTTTTTTTTTTTTTTTTTTAGTTTTCATACGGGCATGCAATGTGTAATAATCAGATCATGTAAAGTGAGATAGTCATCCCCTTAAGTATTTATCCTTTGTGTTACAAACAATCCAATTATACTCTTTTAGTTATTTTTCAAAGTACAATTAAATTACTACTGACTATAGTCACCTTGTTGTGCTATCAAAAACTAGGTCTTATTCATTGTTTCTACAATTTTTTGTACCCATTAACCATCCCCACCTCCAACCCCTTACTACTCTTTCCAGCCTCTGGTAACCATCCTTCTGCCCTCTGTCTTCATGAGTTCAATTGCTTTGATTTTTAGATCCCACAAATAAGTAAGAACATGCAATGTTTGTCTTTCTGTGCCTGGCTTATTTCACGTAGCATAATGACTTCCAGTTCCATCCATGTTGTTGCAAATTACAGGATCTCATTCTTTTTTATGGCTGAATAGTATTCCATTGTGTATAAGTACCATATTTTCTGTGTCCATTCATCTGTTGTTGAACACTTAGGTTGTTTCCAAATCTTTGCTATTGTGAAGCAGTGGTGCAACAAACATAAGAGTGCAGATATCTCTTCAATATACTGATTAAGTTTCTTTTGGATTTGTACCCAACAGTGGGATTGCTGTATCATACAGTAGCTCTATTTTTAGTTTTCTGAGGAACTTCCAAACTGTTATCCATAGTGGTTGTAATAATTTACATTCCCACTAACAGTGTACGAGGTTTCCCTTTTCTCCACATCCTCGCTAGTATTTGTTATTGCCTGTCTTTTTGATAAAAGCCATTTTAACTGGGGTGATATGATATCTCATTGTAGTTTTGATTTGCATTTCTCTGATGATCAGAGATGTTGAGCACCTTTTCAAATGCCTCTTTGCCATTTGTGTGTATTCTTTTGAGAAATGTCTATTTAAGTCTTTTGCCCATTTTTAAATTGGATTATTAGATGTTTTCCTATAGAGTTATTTGAGCTCCTGATATATTCTGATTATTAACCCTTTGTCAGATGGGTAGCTTGCAAATACTTTCTCCCATTCTGTGGGTTACCTCTTCACTTTGTTATTCACTTCATTTTATTTATTTATTTATTTTTATTTTTATTTTTTTCCTTTTGAGATGGAGTTTTGCTCTTGTTCCCCAGGCTGGAGTGCAATGGCACGATCTCGGCTCACTGCAACCTCTGCCCCACCGGGTGCAAGCGATTCTCCTGCCTCAGCCTCCAAAGCAGCTGGGATTACACCACCACACCCAGCTAATTTTTGTATTTTTAGTAGAGACGGGGCTTCACAATGTTGGCCAGGCTGGTCTAGAACTCCTGACCTCAAGTGATCTGCCTACCTTGGCCTCCCAAAGTGCTGGGAATACAGGCATAAGCCATGTTCCACCCGGTCCACTTCATTTTATTTATTGTTTCCTTTGCTGTGAAGAAGCTTTTTAACTTGCTATGATCCCATTTGTCCATTTTTGCTTTGGTTGCCTGTGCTTGTGGGCTAATGCTCAATAAATTTTTGCCCATACCAATGTCCTGGAGAGCTTCCCTGATGTTTTCCTGTAGCAGTTTCATAATTTGAGATCTTAGACTTTTTTTTTTTTTTTTTTTTGAGACAGAGTCTCGGTCCATTGCCCAGGCTGGAGTGCAATGGCACTATCTCGGCTCACTGCAACCTCTGCCTCCCGGGTTCAAGCAATTCTCCTGCCTCGGCCTCCCAAGTAGCTGGGATTATAGGCACCTGCCACCATGCCCAGCTATTTTTTTTTTTTTGTACTTTTAGTAGAGATGGGGTTTTGCCATGTTGGCCAGCCTGGTCTTGAACTTCTGACCTCAGGTGATCCACCCACCTTGGCCTCCCAAAGTGGGATTACAGGTATGAGTGACTGCACCCAGCCGGTGGTCTTAGATTTTAAGACTTTAATCCATTTTGATTTTATTTTTGTATATGGCAAGAGAGAGGGGTCTAGTTTCATTCTTCTGCATATGGATACCCAGTTTTCCAAGCACAATTTACTGAAAAGACTGTCCTTTCCCCAGTGTATGTTCTTTAAACCTTTGTCTAAAATGAGTTCACTGTACATGTATAGATTCATTTTTGGGTTCTCTGTTCTATTCCATTCATCTATGTGTCTGTTTTTATGCCAGTACCATGCCATTTTAGTTACTATTGCTCTGTAGTATAAATTGAAGTCAGGTAATGTGATTCTTGTTTTATTCACTTTGCTTAGGATAGGGTTGGCTATTCTGGGTCTTTTGTGGTTCCACATACATTTTAGGATTGTTTTTTCTATTTCTGTGATTGTCATTGGTATTTTGATAGGGATTGCATTGAATCCGTAGATTGCTTTGGGTAGTATGGATATTTTAACAATGCTGATCATTCCAATCCATAAACATGGATTTTCTTTCTATTTTTTGGCATCCTTTTCAATTTCTTTCACCAATGTTTTGTAGTTTTCATTATAGAGGTCTTTCACTTCTTTGGTTAAGTTGATTCCTAGGTATTTAATTGTTTTTGTGGTTATTACAAATGGGATTACCTTACTGATTTCGTTTTCAGGTTGTTCACTGTTGGCATATATAAATGCTACTGATTATTGTATGCTGATTTTGTATCCTGCAACTTTACTAAATGTGTTTATTAGTTCTAATAGTTTTTGCTGGTGGAATCTAGGTTTTTCCAATTACAATATTATATCATCGCAAACTAGGATAATTTGACTTCTTCCTTTCCAATTTAAATGCCCTTTATTTTTTTCTCATCTGATTGCTGTAGCTAGTTCTTCCAGTACTATGTTGAACAACAGTGGTGAAAGTGAGCGTCCTTGTTGTGTTCCAGATCTTAGAGAAAGGGCTTTCAGATTTTCCTCATTCAGTATGATACTAGCTGTGGGTCTGTTGTATATGGCTTTTATTATTTTGAAGTAGGCTTCTTCTATACCCAGTTTTTTTTAGGGTTTTTTAATAAGGGGATATTGAATTTTATCAAATGCTTTTTCAGCATCAATTGAAATGATCATATGGTTTTTGTCCTTCATTCTGTTGATGTGATGTGTCATATTGATTTCCATATGTTGAACCCTCCTTGCATTCCAGGGATAAATCTCACTTGGCCATGATGAATGATCTTTTTAATATATTGCTGAATTTGGGTTGCTAGTATTTTGTTGAGGCTTTTTGTATCAATATTCGTCAGAGATATTGGCCTGTAGTTTTCTTTTTTTCATTTTTGGTTGTGTCTTTTCTGGTTTTGGTATCAGGGTAACACTGGCCTTGTAGAATGAGTTTGGAAGTATTCCCTCCTTTATTTTTTTTGGAATAGTTTGAGTAAGATTGGAATAGTTCTTCTTTAAATGTTTGGTATAATGCAGCAGTGAAGCCACTAGGTCCCAGGCTTTTCTTTACTGAGAGACTTTACTACAGCTTCAATATTGTTACTTGTAATTGGTCTGTTCAGGATTTGGATTTCTTCATGGTTAAATCTTGGTAGGTTGTATGTTTCTAGGAATTTGCCCATTTCTTCAAGATTTTTCAATTTATTAGCATATAGTTGCTCATAGCAGCCACTAATGATCGTTCAAATTTCTGTGATATCAGTTTGTAATGACTCCATTTTCATCTCTGATTTTATTTATTTGGATTTTCTCTCTTCGTTTCTATTGGCATGAAATATCTTTTTTCTTTTCTTTAAGTCTATATTTATTTTTATAGATGAAGTGTATTTCTTGTAGGTAATAGACAATTGAGTCTTTTTTCATCATCCATTCAGCCATTCCATATCTTTTTACTGGAGTGTTTAGTCCATTTACATTCAACGTTATTATTGATAAATAGGGACCTACTTCTGCCATTTTGATATTGGTTTTCTGGTTATTTTGTGGTCTTCTCTTCCTTCTTTATTTACTACCTCTCTTCCTTTTAGTAAAGGTGATTTTCTCTGATGATGTGATTTAATTTATTGCTTTTTATTTTTTGCGTGTCTGTTGTATGTTTTTTGGTTTGAGGTTACCATGAGGCTTGCAAATACTATCTTATAACTCATTATTTTAAGCAGATGACAACTTAACACTGTTTAAACAAAGAAACCAGCAAAAAGAAAACAAATACTCTATGCCTTCATTTAATACCCCACTTTAAACTTTTTGTTATTTCGATTTATATCTTATCGTACTGTCTATGTCTTGAAAACTTGTTGTAGTTGTTGTTTATCATGTAGTCTTTCTACTTAAGATAAGATAAATTTACAGACCACAGTTACAGTGTTATAATATTTGGTGTTTTTCTGTGTACTTAGTGTTATAATATTTGGTGTTTTTCTGTGTACTTACTATTATCAGTTAGTTTTGTACCTTCAGATGAGTTCTTATTTCTCACTAATGTTCTTTTCTTTCTGATTGAGTATTCCCCTTAGCATTTCTTGTAGGATGGGTTTGATGATAAAATCCCTCAGCTTTTGTTTGTCTGAGAAAGTCTTTATTTCTCCTTCATGTTTGAAGTATATGTTTGCCGGATCTACTCTTATAGGGTAGAAGTTTTTTTCTTTCAGCACTTTAAATATGTCATGCCACTCTCTCCTGGGCTCTAAGGTTTCCATTGAAAAGTCTGCTGCCAAATGTATTGGAGCTCCATTGTATGTTATTTGTTTATTTTCTCTTGCTGCTTTTAGGATCCCTTCTTTATCCTTGACATTTTTTTCTTTTTCTTTTTCTTTTTTTTTTAATAGAGACAGAGTCTCACTATGTTGCCCTGGCTGGCTTGGAATTCCTGAGCTCAAGCAATCCTCCTGCTTCAGCTTCCCAAAGTGCTAGCATTACAAGTATGAGCCACATGCCTAGCCTAGTTTTGACGTTTGGAAATTTGATTATTAAATGCCATGAGGTAGTCTTCTTTGGGTTAAATCTGCTTGGTGTTCTACTACCTTTTTGTACTTGAATATTGATATCTTTCTCTAAGTTGGGGAAGTTCTCTGTTATTATTGCTTTGAATAAACTTTATGCCCCTGTCTCTTTCTCTACTTCCTCTTTAAGGCCAATACCTCTTAGGTTTGCCCTTTTGAGGCTATTTTCTAGATGCTTTAGGCATGCTTCATTGTTTTTTATTGTTTTTTTCTTTTGTCTTCTCTGACTGTGTATTTTCAAATAGGCTGTCTTCAAGACCACTAATTCTTTTTTCTGCTTAATTCTGCTATTAAAAGACTGATGCATTCTTTGGTATGTTGATTGCATTTTTCGGCTCCAGAATTTCTGCTTGATTCTTTTAAATAATTTCAATCGTTTTGTTACATTTATCCAATAGAATTCTGAACTCCTTCTGTGTTATCTTGAATTTCTTTGAGTTTCCTCAACATAGCTATTTTGAATTACCTGTCTGAAAGGGCACATATCTCTGTTTCTCCAAGATTCATCTCTGGTGCCTTGTTTAGTTCATTTGGCGAGGTCATGTTTTCTTGGATAGTGTTGATGCTTGTAGATGTTCTTCAGTGTCTGGGCATTGAAGAGTTAGATATTTATTGTAGGTTTCTCAATCTGGGCTTATTTGTACACCTGTCCTCCTTGGGAACACTTTCCGTATATTCAAAAGGACTTGGGTGTTGTGATCTAAACTGTATCTGTTTTGGGGGAACCCCAAGCCCAGTAATGCTGTGATTCTGGCAGACTTGAAGAGTTACTGCCTTGATGATCTTGGACAAGATCCAGAAGGATTCTCTGGATTATCAGGCAGAGACTCTTGTATTCTTCCCTTACTTTCTCCCCAGTAAATGATGGCTCTGTTCTGTTCTGAGCCACCTGGAGCTGGGTGTGGTATGACAGAAGCACCCCTGTGGCCACAACCACTAGAACTGTGCTGGATCAGATCTGAAGCTAGCCACAGCACTAGGTCTCACCCGAGCCCTGCTATAACCACGCCCTGGCTATAGCCTATGTTCACTCAAGGCCTTGGGGCTCTACAGTCAGCAGGTGGCAAAGCCAGGCAGGCCTGTGTCCTTCCCTTCAGAATAGTGAGATCCCCCAGGCCCTGGGCATGTCCAGGGGTGCTGTCTGTGAGCCAGGGACTAGAGTCAAAACGCTTAGAAGTCTATCTGGTGTTCTGTTACATTGTGGCGAAGCTGGCACTCAAACCACAAGATATAGTCCTTTCCCTCCCCTTTCCAAAGCCTGAGGAGCCTCATCCCATGGCCATCACCACCCCAGGCCAATGTGGAGTACTGCCAGACTGTGACCAATGTTCCTGTAAGGCCCAGTGGCTCTTCAATCAGCTGTGGTGAAGGCTGCCTGGCCTGAGACTTACCCTTCAGAGCAATGAGCTGCCTTCTGGCCCAGGGAAAGTCCAGAAATTCCATCCAAGAGCCAAGTCCTGGAATTGGGGGCCCCTAGAGCCCGCTTATCGCTCTGACCTCTGTGGCTTTGCTGGTACTTGAAGCCAGCAAGTCTCAAGAGTCTTATCCAAGGCCCTAGATATAGTATCTGGGCATTGCTGCTGGTTATTCAGGTCCCAAAGGCTCTTCAGTTGGCAGGTGATGAATGCTGCCAGGGCTGGGTCCTTTCCTTCAAGGCAACAGGTTCCCTTTTGGCCCAGAATGTGTCTAGAAATGTCATCTAGGAGCTTGGGCCTGGAAAGAGGGCCTCGCAACTCAACTAGTGTCCTATCCTGCTGTGACTGAGCCAGTATCCAAGATGTAAGACAAAGTTCTTCCCACTCTTCCCTATTCTCTCCTCAAGCAAAAGAGAGGGCTCTCTTTTGGAGCTACAAGCTGTGAAGCCTGGGGTTATGAGTGAGGTGATGCCAGCACTCCCATAGCCACCCCAGCTGGTGCCTCAGTATGTCACATGCACCCCTCAGTCCACTGTCTCTGGGCCCAGTTCAGCACTAGGCCTTGCCTAAGGGTTGCAGTCCTTAAGGCCTAGATTGCCTTAAGGGTGGGCATCAGCTCAGCTGAGTTTGGTCTAGTTTTCCTTTCTGCTCTAACAGGACAGCACTGATTTCAATACCTCACAATTGTTGTGTTTTCCCTCCCCCGAGGACCAGAGAAGCTTTCTGCATCATGTTGCTGGGGGTGGGGAGGGGTGGCATTGGCAATTTAAGACTCTTTTTTATACCTCTTCAGTGCCTCTTTCAGAGATATGAAATTAAAACCAGGTAGTGTGGTACTGTGAGTACTCACCTGATATTTGGTTCTTATGAAGGTACTTTTTGTGTGTATAGATAGTTGTTAAACTGGTGTCCTTGTAGGAAGGACAGTCAGTGGAGCCTTCTATTCCACCATCTTGCCCCGCCTTCTGAGCCTTCACATTATAAATCTTAAAACCAAGATTAAAAGGATCAAACTCTTTTCAATTAACCTAAGAATTCCACGGAAGAAAGCTCAAGAGTATTTATAGGAATACAGAAATATCCAGTAGCCCATAAGGTTAAATTCTCAATGTTTTGTATTCAACCAAAATTACCAGCTAACCAATTGAAATTGCTTCAGAACTGACACAGATGATAACAATAGTAGACAAGGACATTAAAACATTGTTATAACTGTATCCTGTATGTTCACAAATCTAGAGGTAAGATTGAACACATTAGCTGGTTAGTCATAGAAGATATTTTTAAAAGCCAACTCAGATGTTTAGAGATAAAAACTACATTATCTGAGATGAAAATACAATGTATAGGATTAATGTCACATTAGACATTGTAGAAGAAAATACTAGTGAACTCAAAGACATAGCAATAGAAATTATCCAAAATGAAACACTAGGCGAAAAAGAATTTTTAAAAATAAAGGGAATATCAGTGAGCTGTGGAAAAAGTATAAGAAGCCAGCATACATGTACTTCAAGTCTCTGAAGGAGAACAGGAAATATCTTTTTAAGAGTTAATTAGTGGCTAAAACTTTTTGAATTTTGATGAAAACTATAAACCCATACATCATGAACTTTAATGAACTCAAATATAAAGATATGCAAAAAATGATATCTAAGCACAACATAATTAAATTGCTCAAAACTGATAAAAAATGCTAAAAGCAGCTAGAGAGAAGCACATTATATACAGAGAGACATGGATAAGGATGACAACAGGCTTCTTACTTAAAAATGTAATAATGAAGACAGTAGGATAATCTCTCTAAGCACTGAAAGAAAAAACAGAAACTTTTAAAGCCATAATTATATACCCAATAAAAATATCTTTCAAAACTAAAGATATAATGAAGACATTTTCAAACATATAAGAACTGAAAGAATTCATCAACAGAATACCTGCACTACAGGAAATTTTAGAGAAAATAACTTAGGATAAAAATGATACCAGATGGAAATTTTTGCACAAAGACATGAGAAGAATCAGATATAGATTCTAATGGATAATTATATACCATTTTTCTTACTAAGTAAGTGTCACTAAAAAAAAAGTACTCTTTAAACAATGATAATAGCCATGTATTCTTGGATTTATTACATAGCTATAGGTAAAATATATGACCAAAATAGAAAAAAATGTGTAAGAACAGAAAGAAGTATACTATTGTAAAGTCTTATATTATGCATAAGGAATTATAATGTCAGTTTAAGGTAGACTGTAATAAATTAAACCTGTATATTATAACCCTAAAGCAACAGATAATTAAGAAAAGAAATGTAGCTAATAAGCCAACCAAAAATAAAAATGAAACAAATACAAATTATAAAAATATTTAATCTAAAAGAAGCATAAAGAAAAGGAAAAGGGGAACAAGGAACAAGTTAAACAAATATAATAAAAAACAAGTAGCAAGGAGCAAGGTGATAGACTTAAGCCTGACTGTATCACTAACACCATTAAATGTAAATGATCTAAACACACCATTTAAAAGGCAGAGATTTTTAGATTCAGTAAAACACAACTAGATACTGTCTATAAGAAACATACTTTAACTATAAAGACAAAAATGCATTAAAAGTAAAGGACTAGGAAAGATATACCATGCTAACACCAGTCAAAAGAGTGACTATATTATTGTTAGACAAGGTAGAATTCAGAGAAGATAATTTTACCAGAGATAAAATGGTCATTTTATAATGATAAAGGGACCAATAATTTAGAGGCTATAACAATTCTCCGGGTATATACCCGTAATAATAGAACTTCAAAATAGATGAAGCTGGCTAGGTACAGTGGCTCACACCTGTAGTCCCAGCACTTTGGGAGGCCAAGACAGGCATATCACTTGAGGTCAGGAGTAAAGGCCAGCCTGACCAACATGGTGAAATCCCATCTCTACTAAAATTACAAAAATTAGCCAGCTGTGGTGGTGCGTGCCTGTAGTCCCAGCTACTTGGGAGGCTGAGGCAGGAGAATCACTTGAACCTTGGGGGCAGAGGTTGCAGTGAGCCAAGATCATGCCACTGCACTCCAGCCTGGGAGTGTGACTCTGTCTCAAAAAAAAAAAAAAAAATGCGTGAAGCAAAACTGATTAAAAATACTAAGAAAAATTTTAAAAACTCCCAATTACACTGAGAAAAATCACTCAATCTCAGTAATTTTAGAACAAGTAGACAGAAAGCAAGCAAGTGTATAGTAGACTTGAATAACACTATAAACCAACTTGTCCTAATTGACTTTTATAGAACACTCCACTCAACAACAGCACAATGTATATTCTTTCCAAGTGTTCACAGAACATTTATGAAGTTAGGCCATATTCTAGGCTATAAAACAAGTCAATAAATTTAAAAGCATTCAAGTCATATGTAGTATGTTCTTTGACCACAGTGAAATTAAATTAGTTACCAATAATCAAAAGGTAAGTGAAAAATCTCCAAATATTTTGAAACTAAATAGCACTATTCTAAATAACCTGTGAGAGACAAAGAATAAATAAAAGGAAAAATTAAAACCTATTTTGAACTGAAGGAAAATGAAAACACAACATAGCACTTGTGGGATGCATTAAAAGAAGTATTTAGGAGAAAATTTATAGCAACAAATTACTACATTAGAAAAGAAAAAAGTCTCAAATCAGTGCATTCAGCTTCTTCCATTAGAAACTTGAAAAATAAGAGCAAGTTAAAACCAAAGTAAGGATAGAAAGGAAATAATAAGGATTCAAGCAGAAATCAATGAAATAAATAATAAATGGAATAAACAATGGAGAAAATAAATGAAAACAAATTTTTTGAGATGAATAAAATTGATAAATTGTAGCCAAATTGCTCAGGAAAAAAAAATCACAAATTACCAAATATCAGGAACCACTGAGGTAATATTACTATAGATTCTACAGATATTCAAAAGATTATAAAAGGGATATGATGAACAACATTATGCTGTACATTGAATGAACTAGAAAACTTGGACAACTTTTATTAAAAGACTCAAACTACCACAGTAGTTTCAATCAAGAAGCAATGGACAACCTTAATATCTGAAATATATTTAGAAAATTGAATTTGTAATTAAAAATTTTCCCATAATGAAGCCATCCAGACCCAGATGACTTTATTGATGAATTCTACCCAACATTTCAGGAAGAAAAATAATTACAGTTCTACACAAACTCTTCAAGAAAAATAAAGGAGAGGGAATACTTCCCTGCTAATTCTTTGATGCCATTCTTACCCTGACCCCAGAGTAAGATACAGACATCATAAGAAAAGAAAACTAAAGCTTGATAAGTTCGACTTCATGAACATTAAAAAACCTCTGCTGTTAACAGAATGAAAAGACAGGCCAAAAGCTGGGAGAAAATATTTACAAAGCATATATTTGATAAGTTACCTGCATTTAGATCATAGAACTCTCATAACTCAAGAACTCTCATAACTAAAAAAAATCAACCCATTTAATAAATGGGTAAAGATTTGAAAGGACATTTCATCACAGAAGATATCCAAATGGCAAATAAGCACATGAATAAAATGCTCAATGTTATTAATCATGAGAGAAATGCAAATTAAACCCATAATGATATACCCCTATTAGAATGACTAAAATTAAGAAGACTAAACCTTGTTAAGTGTTGCCAAGAATGTAGAGGAACTGGAACTGTCACACACTCTTGTTGCAAAATGCAAAATGCTACAATCACTTCAGGAAAACATTTGGCATGTTCTTAAAAAGTCAAATATATAACTTAAATATTAAGCTATTTTATTCCTAAGTTTTTCCCCAAGACATAAAAGCATATGTTCATATAAGGACCTGAACATGAATGTTCATAGCAGCTTCATTTGTAATATCCCCAAACTGGAAACAGCCCCAAAGTTCATCAACAGGTGGATGGATAAACAAATTGTCATATGTACATACAGTGGAATACTAATTATCAATAAATGGGAGTAAACTATTGATACAGGAAACAGTACTGATAGGTTTCAAAATAGCTGTGCTGAGTAAAAAAAGCAAGACTAGAAAATAAGTACCTTGCATGTTTCCATTTATACAAAACTCCTGAAAATGCAAACTAATCTACAGTGATAGGAAACAGATGAGTGGTTACCTGAGCGTGAGGGGTCAGGAGGGTAACAGGGAAGGATTACAATGCAGCATAAAGAAATATTTGCGAGATGGGAGAAAAATGGCAGATAAGAGGCAGGACTAGATTGCAGCTCCCACTCGAACAGACAGAGCAGTGTGTGGAGACTCTCATTGTGAACTTTTGCTCCAGAACTACTGCAGGAACATACCAAGAAAGCCAAGAGAACCCACAGACCCTCTGAAGGAAGCAGATTGCACCTGCTGGACCCGGGAGATGACCCAAATACTGTGAGTGCCCAAGCTGTGAAAGTGGGAAAGGGGGATTATCTGCCCCCAAACACACACCCTCACTGGGAAACATGACGATCTAGATCACAGGAGAAGGATTTGACCTTAACTGGGGCTGAGTCAATTTAGAGAGCCAAGCTAAATACAGGGGTAGAGGAAGCAGTGGGAAAAGCCCTGTGGGCTCTCTGGGTCCCCAGGACAGCCATTTCAGACTTGTCTCACAGGGGTCTTTGGGGAGGGCTGCCAGAGGTACATGCAAGGTACAGGGAGAAGGAAACCTCCAGCTGAACTTTGTAACAATTCCAACTGAATGCCAAGTCTCCTGGCCAGAATTTGGGGGAGAGTGTGAATCCAGTGTGCAGACTTGACAAGCAGGGAGGCGCAAAAGCCCTGCTTGCTTTCACAGCTGGGAGGTCTGTATACTGGGGCAAGTTCTCAGCCCTGCTCACCCACTGCCTGGAAACAAACTCAGTGCTGTTGTTGGAGGGCACAGTGGGAGTGAGACCAGCCTTTTGGATTGTATGGGAGCTGGAGGAGACCTGTAACTGCTGGCTTTCCTCCACTTCCCTGACAACCTGCATGACACAACAGAGGCAGCCATAATCCTCCTGAGGATATAACTCTATTGACCTGGGAACTCTCCCCCATCTCCCACAGCAGCCACACCAAGCCCCACCTAAGAAGAGTCTGAGCTCAGACACGCCTAACCCTGTCCCCACCTGATGGTCCTTCCTTATCCACCCTGGTAGCTGAAGACAAAGGGTATATTCTCTTGGGAGTTCCAGGACCCACCTACTGCCTGAACCTCCCTATACTAACACAGCTAATGCTCTCTTGAAATCCCCACCTCCTGGCAGGAGGCCAACCAGCATAAAAATAGTGCATTAAACAACCAAAACTAAGGACCCTGACAGAGTCCACTTCACCCTGTGCCATCTCCGCTAGAGCAGGTGCTGGTAGCCATGGCTGAGACACCTGCAGACAGTTCACATCTCAGGACTCTGTGCAGACAACCCGTAGTACTGGCCTAGAACCTGGTAGTCCTGCTAGGTGGCTAGATCCAGAAGAGAAATAACAATCACTACAGCTCGACTCTCAGGAAGCCACATCCCTAGGAAAAGGGGGATAGTACTACATCAAGGGAATACCCAGTGGGACAAAAGAATCTGAACAGCAGCCTTGAGCCCCAGATCGTCCCTCTGATATAGCTTACCCAAGTGAGAAGGAACCAGAAAAACAATTCTGGTAATATGGCAAAACAAAATTCTTTAACACCCTCCAAAAATCACACTAGCTTACTAGCAATGCATCCAAACCAAGAAGAAATCCCTGATTTACCTGAAAAAGAATTCATAAGGTCAATTATTAAGCTAATCAAATAGGCACCAGAGAAAAGTGAAGTCCAATTTAAGCAAATTTTAAAAAATGATACAAGAAATGAGGAGAGAAATCTTCAGTGAAATAGATAGCACAAATAAAAAACAATCATAACTTCAGGAAATAAAGGACACACTTAGAGAAATGCAAAATGTTCTGGAAAGTCTCAGCAATAGAATGCAACAAGCGGAGGAAAGAACTTCAAAGCTCGAAGACAAGTTTTTTGAGTTAACCCAATCTAAAAAAGGCAAAGAAAAAAGAATTTTAAAAGATGAACAAAGCCTCCAAGAAGTTTAGGATTATGTTAAATGACCAAACCTAAGAATAATTGGTGTTCCTGAGAAAGAATAGAAATCTAAAAGTTTGGAAAATAATACAAGAAGCTCAAAGAAAACTGGGAAATTCATTGTAAAAAGATCACCACCTAGGCAAATTGTCATCAGGTTATCTAAAAACAAGACAAAGGAAAGAATCTTAAGAGCTGTGAGGCAAAAGCACCAAGTAACCTCTAACAGAAAACCTATCAGATTAACAGCATATTCCTCAGGAGAAACTTTACAAGCTAGAAGGAACTGGGGCCCTATCTTCAGCCCCCTTAAACAAAACAATTATCAGCTAAGAATTTTGTATCCAGCAAAACTAAGCTTCATAAATGAAGGAAAGATACGGTCTTTTTCAGGCAAACGAATGCTGACAGAATTTGCCACTACCAAGCCAGCACTACAAGAACTACTAAAAGAAGCTCTAAATCTTGAAATAATTGCTGGAAATACATCAAAATAGAACCTCTTCAAAGCATAAATCTCACAGGACCTATAAAACAAAAATACAATTAAAAAACCCCAAGGTATACAGGCAACAAATAGCACGATGAATGGAATAGTATGTCACATCTCAATACTAATGTTGAATCTAAATGGCCTAAATGCTCCACTCAGATGATACAGAATTGCACAATGGATAAGAATTCACCAACCAAGGATCTGCTGCATTCAGAATACTCACCTAACACATAAGGACTCACATAAACTTAAGGTAAAGGGGTAGAAAAAGATATTCCATGCAAATGGACACCAAAAGCAAGCAGCTGATATAAGCAATTCTTATATCAGACAAAGCAAACTAAAGCAACAGCAGTTAAAAAAGCCAAAGAAGGACATTATATAATGATAAAATCTTTGTCCAACAGGAAAATATCACAATCCTAAGTATATATGCACCTAACACTGGAGATCCCAAATTTATAAAACAATTACTAGACCTAAGAAATGAGATAGACAGCAACACAATAATAATGAAGGAATTCAGTACTCCACTGACAGCAATAGACAGGTCATCAAGAAAGAAAATCAACAAAGAAACAATGGATTTAAACTATACCCTGAAATAAATGGACTTAACAGATATTTACAGAACATTCTACCCAACAACTTCAGAATGTAAATTCTATTCATCAGTGCATGGAACTTTTTCCAAGATAGACCATATGATAGGCCACAAAACAAGTCTCAATAAATTTAAGAAAATTGAAATTATATCAAGTACTCCCTCAGATCATAGTTGAATAAAACTGGAAATCCACTCCAAAAGGGACCTCAAAACCTTGCAGATACATGGAAATTAAATACCTGCTCCTGAATGATAATTAAGTATACAATGAAACCAAGATGGAACTTTAAAAATTCTTTAAACTGAATGGTAATAGTGACACAATCTATCAAAACCTCTGGGATACAGCAAAAGTGGTGCTAAAAGGAAAGTTCGTAGTCTTAAAGGCCTACATCAAGAAGTAAAAGAGCACAAATAGACAATCTAAGGTCACACCTCAAGGAACTAGAGAAACAAGAACAAACCAAACCCCAAACCAGCAGAAGAAAGGAAATAGCCAAGATCAGAGCAGAAATAAATGAAATTGAAACAAACAAATACAAAAGATAAGTGAAACAAAAAGCTGCTTCTTTGAAAAAATAAATAAAACTGAAAGACTATTAGCAAGATTTACCAAGAAGAGAGAAGATCCAAATAAGCTCAATTAGAAATGAAACAGGAGATATTACAACCGACACCGCAGAAATACAAAAGATCATTCAAGCCTCTTATGAACTCCTTTACATGCATAAACTAGAAAACCTAGAGGAGATGGATAAATTCCTGGAAACATACAACCCTCTTAGCTTAAATCAGGAAGAATTAGAAACCCTGAACAGACCAATAACAAGCAGCAAGATTGAAATGGTAATTGAAAAAATTACCAACAAAAAGAAGTCCAGGACCAGATGGATTTACAACTGAATTCTACCAGACATTCAAAGAAGAATTGATACCAATCCTATTGACACTATTCCACAAGTTAGAGAAAGAAGGAATCCTCCCTAAATCATTCTATGAAGCCAGTATCACCCTAATACCAAAACCAGGAAAGGACATAGGCAAAAAATAAAACTACAGACCAATATCCTTGATGAATATAGATGCAAAAATCCTTAACAAAATAGTAGCTAACTGAATCCAACAGCATATCAAAAAGATAATCCACCATGATCAAGTGGATTTCATACCAGGGACACAGGGATGGTTTAACATATGCAAGTCAATAAATGTGATACACGACATAAGCAGAATTAAAAACTAAAATCGCATGATCATCTCAATAGATGCAGAAAAAGCATTTGACACAATTCAGCATCCCTTTATGATGAAAACCCTTGGCAAAACTGGCATACAAGGGACCTACCACAATGCAATAAAAGCCATCTATGACAAACCTGTAGCCAACATAACACTAAACAGGGAAAAGTTGAAAGCATTTCCTCTGAAAACTGGAAGAAGACAAGGATGCTGCCCACTCTCACCACTTCTATTCAACATAGTACCGGAAGTCCTAGCCAGAGCAATCAGACAAGAGAAGGAAATAAAGGACATTGAAATCAGTGAAGAGGAAGTGAAACTGTTGCTATTTGCTGATGATATGATTGTATACCTATAAAACCCTAAAATTTCTCCAGAAAGCTCCTAGAACTGATAAAAGAATTCAGCAAAGTTTCAGGATACAAAATTAATTTGCATAAATCAGCAGCTCTTCTATACACCAACAGTGACCAAGCTGAGAATCAAATCAAGAACTTAACTCCTTTTGCAATAGCTGCAAAAAACCCCAAAATACTTTGTACCTAACCAAGGAGGTGAAAGACCTCTACAAGGAAAACTACAAAACACTGCTGAAACAAATCATAGACAACACAAACAAATGGAAACACATCCCATGCTCATGGATGGGTAAAATCAATATTGTGAAAATGACCATACTGCCAAAAGCAATCTACAAATTCAGTGCAGTTCCCATCAAAATACCACCATCATTCTTCACAGAACTAGAAAAACCAATCCTAAAATCCATATGAAACCAAAAAGAGCCTGCATAGCCAAAGCAAGACTAAGCAAAAATAAAAAATAAAAAACAAAAAAAAAAACCCAACCAACCAAACAAACAAAACAAATCTGGGGGTATCACATTACCTGATTTCAAACTAAACTACAAGGCTATAGTCACCAATGCAGCATGGCACTGGTATAACAATAGGCACATAGACCAATGGAAAAGAATAGAGAACCCAGAAATAAACCAATTTGTCAAATGATTTTTGGCAAAACAAACAAAAACAGAAAGTGGGAAAAGGACACCCTATTCAACAAATCATACTGGGATAATTGGCAAGCCACATGTAGGGGAATTAAACTGGATCCTTATCTCTCACCTTATACAAAAATCAACTCAAGGTCAATGAAGGACTTAAATCTATGACCTGAAACTATACAAATTCTAAAAACTAACATAAGGAAAACCCTTCTAGGCATTGGCTTAGGTAAGGATTTCATGATCAAGAACCCAAAAGCAAATGCAATAAAAACAAAGATAAATATCTGGGACCTAATTAAACTAAAGAGCTTTTGCACAGCAAAAGGAACAGTCAGTGGAGTAAACAGACAACCCACAGAGTGGGAAAAAATCTTCACAATCTATACATCCAACAAAGGACTAATATTCAGAATCTACAATGAACTCAAGCAAATTAGCAAGAAAAAACAAAACAATCACATCAAAAAGTGGGCTAAGGACATGAATAGACAATGCTCAAAAGAGGATATATAAATGGCCAAGAAACACATGAAAAAATGCTCAACATCACTAATGATCAGGGAAATGCAAATCAAAATCACAATGCAATACCACCTTACTCCCGCAAGAATGGCCGTAATCAAAACATAAAAAAATAGTAGATGTTGGTGCAGATGAGATGAAAAAGGAACACTTCTACACTGTTTGTGGGAATGTAAACTAGTGCAACCACTATGGAAAACAGTGTGGAAATTCCTTAAAGAACTAAAAGTAGAACTACCATTTGATCCCAGCAATCCCACTCCTATGTATCTACCCAGAGGAAAAGAAGTCATCATATGAAAAAGATACTTGCACATGCATGTTTATAGCAACACAATTTGCAATTTCAAAAATGTGGAACCAGCCCAAATGCCCATCAATCAGTGAGTGGATAAAAAAACTGGCGCATATATATATATATGATGGAATACCACTCAGCCATAAAAACGTATGAATTAATGGCATTTGCAGTAACCTGGATGGGATTGGAAACCCCAACCTGGATGGGATTGGAGACTATTATTCTAAGTGAAGTAACTCAGGAATGGAAAACCAAACGTTATTCTCACTCATAAGTGGAAGCTAAACAATGAGGATGCCAGGGCATAAGAATGACACAATGGACTCTGTGGATGTGGGAAGAAAGCGGGGGAAGGAGATGGGGGATAAAAGACTACAATTTGGGTTCAGTGTATACTGCTCGGGTGATGGATGCACCAAAATCTCACAAATCACCACTAAAGAACTTACTCGTGTAACCAAATACCACCTGTTCCTCACCAAACCTATGGAAATAAAAAATTTTAAAAAATTGTTTTTAAAAAAGAAATATTTGGGGATGGTGGATATACTGACTGTTTTGATAATGGTAATAGTTCCATGGGTGTAAAAATGTGTCAAAATGTATTAAATTGTAAATTAGTAGTTTATTAATAATGGATAGTTGACTGTATATCAAATCTTAATGAAGCAGTTTTACAAAACATTATAATCACTTTTCTGGATTTCTATAGGTAACATTCCTGCCCCATGTGAAATGTTGGATGAGGAAATCTTTAAGGTGAATTACAATTCTACATGCCCTTCTGTCCAACCACCATCGCAAATCAAAACAACCCACCATTTGACCATGATGTCTAAAATACCTTCAGTAGGTAACAGAGCCAATATTCCAACTTAGATAAGGCTTAAAGCTTCCAGGGGTACTTTGTGATTTCCCACAGATGTGCCATATGAGAGGAACCTCCTTTCTGTGTTTAGTAGATGTAACTTGGGATGGTATAAAATAGTGAGCAAATAAGAGCACTGGAAAGAGATTCTTTTCTTTGCTAGTAACTAGCTGTGGAACTTCAGGCAAGTCACTTTACTCTCTGTGCCTTTCTTAAGCTTTAAAATAAAGGAGTTGGACAAGATGGTTTCTAAGGCTCTTTTGGGCTGCAAAATTAAATTCTTAACTCGCCCTACCATCACAGAGAGGTCTTTAACACTGTTTCCAGCATGTGGAGTAATAATTTCACCTGTTATTCTTTAATAACATGATGATCCCACAGTTAGGTGGATTTACTGCTTACTGCAGCCACCTCCTGGCGTATTGCAGTGCAACGCAGGGCACATGAGCATATCAAGGCCTCTGGGGTGTCCTGCAGAGAAACAATGAATTTAATTGTATTAGCTCTCTCTTCCCAGGTTTTGACCACAGAAAACTTGTGGTCAAAGTTTTGACCACAGAATCATATGTTTCACTGAACACTTAATAAATATCTCATGATCCAGGGAACACTGATGTTGCAGGTTGTCTTCTAGAGAGCAAGAATTAATGTGGGGAGGGTGCTCTTGGAGGGCTGCTGGTATGCCAGCCATTTGGGACCAGGAAAGGGAGAAGTTGAAAAGGACGTGCATGAGAGTGACCAAGGATGTGGAAAGGGACAGCTGAAGGATCCCAAAAATGAGTAGACATTTTCGACTAGGCTGTTGGGGAAGGAGGGAAAGTGACTTCCTCCGGGGTGCGTATTCTGAGACCTTCAGAGTTGCCTTCATTACCTGCCCTCCCCAGCTCCATGCAGAGCTGCTGCAAAGTAGTTTCTGCACATCCATCAGTCTGCATGTTCTACTTGGCTTTGAATCTCTCTAATTGGATTAATATCAGATGGGAGTTTTTCTATTGCTTTGGCTCACTATCTCCTATTGTGTACAGAAGAAGAGTGTTTGGCGGGAGGGGGTTCTAGTCAGTACAAAGTTCCTCTGAGGCTGCTACTGCCGTCTCTCACAGACCTTTCAGATCCAGTGCTTCAGATACTTGAGGGAGCTCAGGTCTCACACCCCACTAAAATTGATGATTTTCACCAATGAAACAAACTTTGTTGCTTTTTCCTGTACATAAATTTGCTTTTTTATTTATTTATGTATTTATTTATTTATTTTTGAGGCAGAGTGCTGCTCGGTTACCCAGGCTGGAGTGTAGTGGCTCAATCACGGCTCACTGCAGCTTCAATCTCCTGGGCTCAAGGGATCCTCCCACCTTAGCCTCCTGAGTAGCTGGGATTACAGGCATGCACCACCACATCCAGCTAAGGTTTTTATTTTTTTTTTTGTAGAGCTGAGGTCTTGATACGTTGCCTAGGCTGGTCTCAAACTCCTGGGCAAAATAGCAAGCAATTCTCCCACCTCAGCCTCCCAAAGTGCTGGGATTGCAGATGTGATCCACTGCGCTTGGCCAGATTTACAAATATTCAAACAGATAAAACACTGCATAAAATTTTGAGAAAAACATGAAGTGAATTGACTTCTACTCCCTGTGAGAACCACTATCATTTTGATGACTTATCTTCCACTTTATCACTTTGTTACTTTACATATATATACATGCATTTCCTCTTTGTCACTTTATGTATCTATGCATCCACATTTGCACAAATGGGATCATAATGTATAAAAGGTGGAATAATGGCAACCTTAATTTCATCTGCTACTTTAACCCCCCTCACCATGAAATTTAACATCTTCATAGGTTCTGGGACAGGGACATCCTAATGTCATCCTGATGACATCACTGTCCTAATCTCCAGAACCTGTGAATATGTTACATTGCCAGGCAAAAATGTAATCACCTGGATCTTTAAATGTGGAAGAGGGAGGCAGAAGAGTCGATATCAGAGTGATGTGAGTTGACTAGCGAGTGCTGGCTTTGAAGATGGAAGGGCCAGGAGTTATGGAATGTGGGCAGCCTCTAAATGCTGAAAATCCATAGAACTCTATACATACCGTAAATACCGTTATTATCAACAACTTCTCCTCTCCTGAGTCTTTCGCCCTCCTTTCCTGGTCTTTACTTCCCCACCCCTGGTAAACAATGTTAATGACCTGGTATGTATCTTTTCCTGCATTTTCATGCATATACAGTCACACACATACATGCACATATTAACACATATACACACACAGATAGATGATTTTAAGATTATTTTATAGAAATGGAAGCACAATTCTCATTTTCATCATACTTGCACTTTTTAGATTACTTTCATAACTAAATACAGCTGCAAGTGACAAAACTGGGGTGGGAGTCTACCTGCCTTACAGTGATTTTCTCAGTGGTCTGAATGGGGCGCAGGGATGAAGCTAATACCATAGAAGGTGAAAGGAGAGATGCAAGGTTCTAAGCTGTTGGTGACCGTTTTTCAGCTTTTGGATTAAGCTTTGCTGTCTGTATGTGAGAGTCACCTTGGGACTTTTCAAGTACCTGGGCCAATATATTTCACTAATTTTTCAGCTGTTTTGAATTTTTTTTTTTGGTAACTTGGCAATACATTGCTTTGCTTTAGATATCCTAAAAGTCTCTTCCTCTTTGGCTACCATATTTTACAAGGTTTAGGAGGCTAGATGGCTTAATAGCTCCTTCCCTGCCACACCACCACATTTCAAATGCTGGCCACTAGTCAAACAACAGAAGCCCAATTCAAACAATTTTCCATATTCAAAAAGGAAGATTTATTAGCTCATGTACCCACGAAATGGAGAATCAGGAAACCACAGAAGTCATCCTCTCAGCTTGTTATCTTTCCATTTTCTCTGACCAGCTGCCTTCAGTGGACTAGAATGGTGGCTGCAAGCAGTGCTCAACTTATGGTACAACCAAAAAAGAAGGTACACTTTTCAATCCCAGCTTTGAAAAACCTAGGGAAAGGATTCTGATTGGCTGGCTTGGGTCTTGTGCTCTCCCACTGACCTAACTTCTGTGGACAGGTGATAAGCTCTGACTGGCTTAGCCTAGGGCACCCATCCACCCCTATGGCTATGGGCCGGGTCAGGGTCTGTTCCCAGATAAAGGAAACAAAACACAGACATTTCCACAGAGGATTGTCATTAGTCCATTACAGGGAATTGAGAGGTAAAAGGAGATAGAATCAAAGAAAGGTAAATCAGAGAACTCTCAGAGTTTCAGATTCTGTCCCTCTTGGGTCTCTGGGGTTTCTTGCTAAAATATGAGTAAATAGGACAAAATGAGGTATTTATGATGCACCACTGAGTGAGAGAAACAAGATGCATACAAGTGACATAAAATGCATGATTTGTCTCCTACATTTAACTCCTGGAAAGGTAGGCTGAGGCCAGTGGCTAATGAGGAAGATCCCTCTTGCCTCATGAAACATTCCCTAATAGGCCGGTAATTTTCAGAGGTCACAGCCTCACCTGTGGGCAGAAACACCTCACAGATGCTCACGTTCCTAGAGCTCTTCTGGCATGAGGGCTCTGGCTGTCGTGTTTTCTGTCCCTCTCTGCTGGATAAGTCCTCATGCTTCCCCTGGCAGCCAGACTGGATGGCATTTTGAGTCAAGCTGTCTCTTGGAAGCTGAAACCATTATGAGAGCCTGGGTTGGGATGGAGGGACAACTGGCATTCGGCTGAGTGGGAGGACAGGGAACAGCTTACCAGCTGCTGAGGAGCTTGTTTGCAAAGTATGAGAGAGGGGAGTGGGGAGAGAGAGAGAGAGAAGAAAAACTGTGTGTGTGTGTGTCTGTGTGTGTATGTCTGGGTGTGTCCATGTAACATTCAATTTATTATTACAAATACTTTGTTCTTTCATAACAGACTCTTTTGTCTTCTGAATGTTTCTAGAACATATGCTGACTTCCTTAAGATTATTCTCTCATCCAAGCCTGGGAAGGAAAAATGGCATGGGAGGCTCAAACCTGTCAGGGATGGAGTAGGGTCTCTAGGGGCTATGAGGCCAATGCCTACCTTACCTCCTGGGATAGGCTGTTTTGCATTGCTATAAAGAAATACTTGAGGCTGGGTAATTTATAAAGAAAAGAGATTTTATTTTGGCTCATGGTTCTGCAGACTGTGCAAGAAGCATGAGTCCAGCATCTTCTGGTGAGAGCCTCAGGAAGCTTTTACTCATGGCAGAAGGTGAAGGGGGAGGCACTGGGGGAGAAGCGTGTCACATGGCAAGTAGGAGCAAGAGAGAGAGAGAGAGGGAGGAAGTGCCACACTCTTTTAAACAACCAGGTTTTACATGAACTCAGAGCAAGAACTCACTCTCACAAGGAGGGCAACGAGCTATTCATGAGGGATCTGTCCCCAAGACCTAAACACCTCCCACCAGGCCCCACTTCCAACACTGGAGACTACATTTCAACATGGGATTTGGAGGGGACACCCATCCAAACCATGTCACCTCCATTGTCTGTGGAGGACTCAGTGCTCCTCCCTCATTTGCATTCCTGACGTGGGTACGTTCAGCTGTTTTGTGGGTTGGTCCTGGTGAAAGGTCCCTTCCATTCACTTCAGCTACCAGCCATCACGATGATATAACAGACCCTCTTTATTGAGCTCTTGTTATGTCTCAGTCGTTTTAAATCAGAGAGGTCATGGAGTGCAGTGGTTGGGAGTGTGGACTGTGCAGTCAGATGCCTTGACTTCAAGGCCTTCAAGGAGCTGGCCTTTCCAGCTCCTAACTTGGAAGCATCTCTTAAATGCTCTGTTTCTGATTTCTCACCTGGGACCCGGGGCTAAAAAAGTAGTACCCATTCCCATAGAGATGCTTGGAGCAGTTAATACGATAATAGGTGGAAAGAACTTAGAAAAAGTGTTTAGAAAACACGCAAAGTATGTTAGCAGTTGATGCTAATCCTCATAACCTTCTTGGAAAGGAGGTATCTTATCTGCATTTTGGAAATGAGAGAAGTTATTCTCTGGGACCAAAATAATAACTAGTCTGGATCACAAGAAATCTAAGTGATAGAGCCAGAATTCATATTCTTCCTTCCAAATGGCAAAGCTGACCCAAAAAAGGGGGGACCTCTTAACATTCATGAGCTTTTGGGAAGGCTCATTCCTAGCTACAAGACTTTGAGCAAAATATCATACATAACCTCTCTGACTCTGTTTCCTCATTTGTGTGAAATGGATGATAATACTTTTGCATACTGTTACGATGGCTAAATGAAATAATGTAGTGGAGATAGTAAATATTCATCTCTTTTCAGCTTCCTTTCTTGCTTTTTTATTGAAACAGGGTCTCACTTTGTCACCCAGGCTGGAGTGCAGTGGCACCATCTCAGCTCGCTGCAGCCTCAACCTTCTGGGCTCCTGAGTAGCTGGGACTACAGGTCTGCACCACCACACCCAGATAATTTTGGTATTTTTTTATAGAGACGGGGTTTTGGCATGATGGCCAGTTTGGTCTCAAACTTCTGAGCTCAAGTGATCCACCCGCCTTGGCCTCCCAAAGTGCTAGGATTACAGGCATGAGCCACCGCACCCAGCTTTTTCTTACTTTTTATTAAAACAATAAAATATGATGGACAAGGTAGATTTCTTACCTGAGAATTTGTTCTCAAACGTTAAATGAATCCTTTTTGGTTTATTCAGTGTTGGAGGTCATCTGCAGTCCCACTCTCTTTGTGCTGACAGAGTTAGCAGCTAAGGATCATCATTTTCTGCCCAAACAGCCTCTTTCCTCCCTGGAAGGACATGGGATATGTGTGCAGTAGTAGGTGGCACAGGGCAGTGACAAGCATTGGACAGGGAGCCAGAATATTGGAGCCCCAGCCTGGCTGCAATCACCCATCATGTGTGACCTTGCCAGTCACTGAATATTGTTTAGATCCCATTTCCAATTATAAAATGTTAGCAATGATGTGTACTCTGATGGCCTCACACGGTTATTATGAAAGACCTACGAAAGGATGAGGATGAAATATTAGTATTGAATATGATATTTTATCCTCAAAATCAAAATAAGTAACATGCTATACAAATCCAGGGATCTTGATTAATGTCAGACCCAAGCCTATCACTCTTCTTGGGAACTTCAGGTAGTCCCCACTTTCTCCTCAGTAGCCTCATAGTCAAGCCTGGCCCTAAATGGAGTTGGGCCCTGGAGGTCAGGCCATTTGGAGATTCATAAGGCCTCAGGTGATGGCCATCTGGCAGCCCCTCTGTGGTCCCTAGGAAAGTGCACAGAGAGAATGGTGAGCTGCTGGTGTGAAATTTAAACAGGCTGGACCCTCTTTAGTCTGGGAATGGAATTCACAACTGCCAGAAAGAGCAGGCAGGAAAGTGAGAAATGCAGAACGTGATAACAAGTGCTCGTTCCCAACAAAGCTGGGCTTGGCATCTACACACCACAGTTCAAATCTTAGCTGCAGGACTCAGCAAGCCACATCTCTTCTCTGGACTCACATTTCCTTCTCTGTGAAAATAGAATCATCACCCCTGCTCTGCCTACCAAAAGATTTGGCATGAAGATCAAGTGAGATCATGCATGTGAGTTTTACAAACTGTGTGACATCATATAAACTGTACAGCACCCAAAACAGGGAGTCATATGAATTCTTTTTTTATGTGAACAAGAAGGCTTCTGGTTTTTCTTCTCACCCTCAAAACTTTACAGTGACCCTGCCCCATTCCCCCGCTCTCTCCCAGCCTGTCCATCACCTCCATGCCCACACAATCCCCTCTAGCTATGATCGTTTTGAGTATAGGGCAGTGAGAGCATGGGACCAAAGGCAAGTTAACGACTGACATCAGACTGACCTGGTGACTGTTGTTCTCAGACCATCAGATGCTCAACCAGTGACAGTTAGGAGTGAACAAAGAGAGGAAGACTAGGGAGAATGGCAACCTCATTCCCAGGCTGCAGAATAAGGATTTCTGCACAGGGGTGATATTTAAAATATTTTACAACCTATAGGGCAGGAAGATTGGCCAATGCCCACTTGGTACTGGAGGAGGCCCCGGGAGCTCCCTGCAGTATTAGGCATACTCTTTTGGTTGCAGGGTGGTGTGGACGTCTTGGTCATGGGGGATGGACCAAGCCCCCAGTGTGATGGGTGGGAGCAATGGATACTAACCAACCAGTGTGCAAATCTTTCAGTATTTTCAGTTTACAACTATTTCAGTACTGACTTAACTGAGACTATCAGATGAGTATCAGACTAGCTTTGTTTATTCAGACAAGCGAACAAACGTTAACTTTATCTCCAAGGAGTTGGGCAAGGTGCCTGGAGCTGCCTTCACTTCCTTCTCCTCCTTCACTTTTCCTCCTCTCTCTCTTATTCATCCCTTTCTCTTTCTCTACCCTTCCCTTCATCTTTCTCTCCCTCCACACTTTTAACACAGTATATAAGAAAAAGTATGAAAAATAGTGGGTGCTTTCATGCACATTCAGACCTCATCAGACTTTGGCTCTCTCCCTTCTCAGTCATTATATTGAAATAATTTAATTCTCTCTTTAGCCTTAAAAAAATTGTTTATATTTCAGCCACAGGGTTAAGTAAACAATTGATTCAAACAGGAACAAGGCCCCTCCTTTTCTCCCCCAGCCTTCCTCTTAGAGCCAGACTTGAAGGTTTTCTTTTTAGAGAGGGATTTGTGATTGCCAGAGAGAATAATGGGGGAACCAAAGAGACGATTAATTAGGTCCTGCGTCAAGGCCAGGATGCAATAAAGAGCATTCATGGAACAAATTCATATACATTTACATGAAAACAATTTGTATGTAAAACTGTTTTTGTAACACAAATAGTGCTGCTTGTTGGTTTCTTCAAGAAAAGAGAAGCTGATTTGTGAACTAAAAGGTTATGTAAAGAAATTCCAGGGTGTGTGGACCCTGGGCTGGTCTATCTGAATCCTGCTCTACCCTTTACTGATTGTGTTAACTTAGGCAAGTAACTTAATAGCCCTGTTTCTCAGTTTTCTCGTATGTAAAATGTGAAAGAGGAAATAGTCCCTACCTCAGAGTTGATGTGAGGATCACATGAGATTGTACAAGAAAGCACTTAGAGCATTTTCTGGCATATAGTAATTGCTCAATACAAGTTGATTTTTTTCATGTGCTCTCATTCCTCACTGTGGTAGAGACAATACTCTGTGCCCATCAAAACCATGTTTTCTTTCCTCTTGGGTACACAGCTGGATGTTAATACTCAACTTTTTTTTAAGTTTGGTTCAGACATATGACTGAGTTCTGCCAATGAAATCTGAGTGGAAGTGATGTGAACCTCCAAACCAAGGTGATTAAGAGAGGGTTACTTTGTCTATGTCCTCTGCAGTGCTCCAGAATCTTAGGCAACTATGTGCAAGGAGGCTGGGTCCCTGAATGACTGCGTGGAGCAGAGCTCTTCCTTCCACCACCATTCTGTTTTTGAACTGTGACACAAGCAAGAAATAAACTGTTGGTGTGTTTTCTACAGATATTTGGGTGTTTATTTGTTATAGCAGTTAATGTACCCTGACTAATACAAAGTAAGCCTCTTTGCTTAAAATTTATGTGGGAATCACAGCTTTGTTTTCCCTTCTTCTTTCCTGAAGGAAAATAAGTTTTCTTTTTCTCACATGTCTGTTTTCTTAATTTTTTTTTTACAAGGAAACGCTTTCTGAAGAGTAGGCACAAGTTTAAGAAAATGCAAGGATGCATCTAATAGGCATTGGCTGTGATTCATGCTATCTGGGTCTTTCCAGATAGCGTCACATAGTAGCAAACACATGGAATCAGATAATTTGGGTTTGAATCTTGGGTCTGCCACTTACCAATTGTGTGACCTTGGCCAAGTTTCTTAACTTCTCAATATGTTTTCTTATCTTAAAAATTAGAATCATACAAAATTTAAAATGTACATGCCTTGGTCCGGAAGTCATCATATCAAAGTACTTCAGGAATTGATCGTATAAAAATACTCCCACATGTGTCCAACAATATATGTATGAAGATACTTGTTGCAGTATTATGTGTAATAGCCTAAAGTAGGTCTATCAGTGAGGGAGAAGCTAGATAATTTTGTGGTTTATCCATACTTTGGAATACCTAAAACTTTTTTTAAAGAAATGAGATTAGCATCATATATGCTGATCCCTAAATGCAAAAGCAAAATTCACAAAAATAGTATAATTCCGTTTATGTTCTTTAAATAGCTCTATATGTGTAAATATAGAAGTCTATTAGCACAAAGAAAAAGCTCTAGAAAGGCATAAGACTCTAGTGGTACATCTACAAAGATGTAGCATACCAGTAGGCACTTCTGAAATGGGGAGAATAATTGAGTTAGGTAAGAGAATAAAGGGGAATCTTTATTTTCACTCTCACATGTCTACTTTTTTAAATTTTTTACAATGAAACTTGTTTATGATAAAAGATAAAAAGAGAACATGGTGATAAAAATGGTAAATGTCTCACAAAGTTATAAAGTTAAATTGAGATAACATAAATGAAAGTTTTGGGAACACGGTAATCCTTGAGAAAAACAAGTTACTTTTGCACTGTTTTATTCTTCTTAGGGATTCAAACCTATAGGTTAGACTTTTAAACAATGTATTATATAACTTACAGACCCTTCTCATGTGGGCATCTGGCTCTCTCTGCTCTTTTCTCTCATTCCACTATTGTGTACCCTTTTCTTAGGAGGCTCTTCCTCTGCCATATGACCCTACTTTCTTCATTTTTTTTTTTTTGAAATGGAATCTTGCTCTGTTGCCCAGGTTGGAATGCAGTGTCACAATCTTGGCTCACTGCAACCTCCACCTCTTGGGTTCAAGCAATTCTTGTGCCTCAGCCTCCTGAGTAGCTGGGATTACAGGTTCACACCACCACACCCAGCTGATTTTTATATTTTTAGTAGAGACGGTGGTCTCTCCATGTTGGCCAGGCTGGTCTCGAACTCCTGACCTCAAGTGATCCACTCACCTCAGCCTCCCAAAGTGCTAGGATTACAGGCATGAGCCACTGCGCCTGGCCACTCTTTTTTTTTTTTTTTTTTTTTGAGACAGGATTTCATTCCTGTCCCCCAGGCTGGAGTGCAGTGGTGTGATTTCACTGCAGCTTCTGAGACTTCTGAGGCTCAGGTGATCCTCCCACCTCAACCTCCCAAGTAGCTGGGACTACAGGTGGACAAAACCACACCAAGCTAAATTTTTTTGTTTTATATTTTTTGTAGAGATGGGATTTTGCCATGTTGCCCCAGCTAGTTTCAAACTCCTAGGCCCAAGCAATCCTCCTGCCTCAGCCTCCGAGAGTGCTGGGATTACAGGCATGAGCCACCATGCCTGGCCATGACCCTACTTTGTGCTACCATGGCACTCTTGACTTTCCCCGTTTATGCCCCTTAAGCACTTTCTAGTTCTAAAGGGGCAAAAACTTACTCACTCAAAGCATGGCCTCAATCTTCTTCCAGCCTGAGCTAACTCTTCTGGTCATTTTATTCATACATTGCTGAGGCCAATACAATTGTGATCAGACACCAGCAGAGGAGTATCAGGACACTACTGCTTTTGGTCCTTGAGATTTTTGAGATTCGGAGTCTGAGTTTACATACTAACTCTGCTTTGTTGTAGATTCAATGGGTTGGGAATTTGGACAGGGCACAGAAGGGGTAACTTGCTCTATGCCAGGATGTCTGGGGCCTCAGCTGGGAGACTCACATGTTGGGAGCTGGAATCATCTGAAGGCTTCTTCACTCTCATGCCTGGTTATTGATGCTGGCTATTGGCTAGAGGCCTCAGTTTCTCTTCACATGGGCCTCACCAAATGGTCTCTCCACATGGACTTGATTGGGCTTTCTCATATGGTGACTGGGTTCCAAGGACAAGCATCTTGAGAAAGGTAGCCTTTTATGAATTAGCCTCAGAATCCATAGAGTGCCATTTTCACTGTATTGCATTCATCATCAGTCACAAGGTTTTGCCCAGTTTCAAGAGGAGGAGAAATAGATCCCACCTCTTGATAGGGAGTTACAAAGTTCTGGAAAAGTATACGGGACCAGAAATATTGCTGTAGCCATTTTTGGAATTATAACTTGCCACAGTTTACAAGCGCTGAAGTTCCTGGAATGGAAGAGACCATTCCATACTTGGAACTTCTGGATTGATGGCTAATTGAAGTGGTCTGGAACTTCTTGGGTTGATGGTTTGAGTTTATGGGCTGTGCTAAGGGCTGAGTGTGGGCCTGGATTTTAGGGTTTCTCCCAACTGTTTTTCTCTGGCAGGAAAGTGAAGACCTACAGCAGATAATCTTATTATATGTTCCCCACCATACTCTAGGCTGCAAACCTTCCAAAAATAAATTCAGCTCATAAAAGTTAAAAGAGTCAACTGAGCACATCTTCTACCTTTTTGATGAACATGTTTTTGGTACTTAACCTCCCAATATTTGGATTCCAAGGTCCTCCTAGTTGATGGCATGGACCTACATGCTTCCTTAGGACTTCTTGTGGGGAAGAGCCCAGAGTGGAGACCTGAACAAATATACCAAATTAGAAAAGCAGTCTTTCTTCTTGTAGAAAAGCTGCTAGTAAGAAATATCTGTCTCTTCCTCTTTACACATTCAGGTCTCTGCCTGGAAACATTCCACATAAAGATTTTAACCTGGTGATGGTGATAACAAACTCTATTTTTCTCTGCCCTAAGAGGAAAGGATTCAGTCCTAGGGGCCAATTGATGTATTTTTCTGTCTTTGGTACTCAAGCCACTGAAGATTGGCAACTGAAATTAATCTATAATGGAGTTGAATGAGATATGTCATTCTTTCTTATTCTGTTGGTTTCATTATATCTGCAGAAAACTCAGGAAATATAAATTTAGTTGTGACTGTAGTGGGGATAGTGGTGGTGGCAGATTACTGGGTGTGTACTAGGCTGGGGAGGAAGCTCTCCCTTTCTTAGGGCTGTATGTTGTCTTAATCAATTTGGGCTGCTATACCAGAACACCATAGACTAGGGGGCTTAAACAACAAACATTTATTTCTCACAGTTCTGGAGGCTGGGAAGTCCAAGATCAAGGTGCTAGCAGATCCAGTGTTTGGTGAGAGCCCTCTTCTTGGTTTGTGGACAGCTGCATTCTCATTGCGTCCTCATGTATCAGAAAGCAGAGAGGAGAAAAAAGCAAGCACTCTTGTGTGTGTCTTCTTGGGTTGATGGTTTGAGTTTATGAGCTCATAAGCTTATAAGGACATTTATCCCATTCAAGAAGGATTGCTCCACCTTCATGAACTAATCCCCTCCCAAAGGTTCTGCCTCCTAACATCATCATACCTGGGCTTAGGATCTCAAAATATGACTAAACGGGGAACATGTTCAATTTACAGCATGTGTCTTGTCTAGAATATCGAGTTGTGGCTGCTTGTTTTCAATCCATTTTTATTGTCATTGAGATACTCACTGTCCAGGCTGAAGACTCAACAGCTATCTAAAGGAAGCTCTTCTCAAGACAAGAGCAGGAGCACAAGATGGCCTGAGCTCAGAGCTTGTGCACTGCCACTTCCACTGCATCCAATTACTCAGGCAAATATCATTGCCAAGCCCAGAGTCAAAGGGAGGGAAGTATACTCCTCCCACAATGAGGCTGTGGCATAGGTATGGGTGCAGGAAGGGATGAAGAATGGGGGCCAATAATTCACTTTATCACAGTCCCTCTTTCTTTGTTTTCTCCCTCCTAATTATTTACTTGTTGAGGAAACCAAATCATTTGTCCTATGGTATTACTCACATTCAGAATTTTTCTGACTGCATTCCTGTAGTGTCATTTGACATATTTCTCTGTTCTTTGTGTTTTCTTTTCTTTCTTTTTTTCTTTTGAGTTGGAGCCTCACTCTGTAGCCCAAGCTGGAGTGCAGTGGCATGATCTCGGCTCACTGCAACCTCCGCTTCCTGGGCTCAAGTGATTCTCATGCCTCAGCCTCCAGAGTAGCTGGGACTACAGGCATGCTCCACCATGCCCAGCTAATTTTTTTTTGTATTTTAGTAGAGACTGGGTTTCACCATGTTGGCCAGGATGGTCTCGAACTCCTGAGCTCAGGCGATCTGCCCACCTTGGCCTCCCAAAGTCCTGGGATAACAGGCGTGAGCCACCATGCTTGGCCTGTTCTTTGCATTTTCTATACATTGGTAGTTAAATCTAGAGGCTTGATCTGATGTGACAAGGATCCTTTACAGGTAAAGTGAATGGCACTTTTATCAAGAGAAACATAATGTCTCATTGTCTCTCTTTTTGTGTTGTTAGTGGCAATCACTGATCCTTGCCTATATCTCTTATTTAGTTCGGGGTTTGCAAAAGGGTAATATAATTTCTTCTTCATTTATTTTAGAGAAGTCTTCCATCACCTGTTTAGTATCTGCGGTGCAGTTCTACAGGAAAGAGGTCTGGATGCTTGGTTCTTCCCTTTATTTACCAGTTTCCAGGGTAACGTATTGGTCCCCCAGAAGCTCCAAGGAGGACAATGAATATTGGTTTTAGTATCTTTATGAACGCATGGATTTTTGACATATTTGAAGTGTTTTAATCTCTTGGTTTGATATGATTTATATCAATGTTCAGTTCATCCCACTTTAGTCAGTAGAAGCCTCATTGAGTTGACTCCTGACTTTCTAACATGACTCTCAAGCTCTGACGGTGTTCTTGCCGTCAGTGTGACAAGACATTCCAGGATCTTGTCATAACATTTTCTTCTATGTTATTTTTGTTGTTGTTCTGAAGGTTCTTGGTTAACTCAGAAGAGCAGCTACATTAGCGTGCCAGATTGAAGATGCGTCAGACTGTCTGACACGTCTACCCTGTCTGGGGTAAGGCAGGGAAATTCAATGAGGAAATGGGCATTGAAGATGGATAAGATCATGTTTTTTGACTAGGCTACGAAGAAGAAAGTGGGAGTAACAAACTGAGGAGGAACCCTGGGATTTCAGGACTCTGACATTCTTATTTATCCCTTTTGGTCTGACTCCTGTAGACCCTGGGCCCAATGTTCTCGAGGGGCTTGTGGCTAGAACAAGAAATGCATGTAACAACTATTAATGAGTATAATGGATTCGTCCCAGGGCAAGGCTGTTTCTGGACAATAAAGCATAGCCTTCAGGCCCTGAGGCACAGCTTCATTTTGAGCTGTCTCCCTGGTTGTTCAGATAACCGTTTACAGATCAGCGCTTCATTCTTGGGTTATGAACAGCTGGTAGCAATTTTCCTGCACTAAAGAACTGCTAATTATCCTATACACCACACTTAATTCATTCCTTGTTGGCTGAGTTGCTAGTTCACCTACTCATTGTAATTACTCCTTACTTTCATCCCTTTTTTCACCGTCCCCTTCTCTCCCACCTTGCATCTTCAGCACCACAATACAGCCAAGTTTGATCCAATTGAACAGAAGTCCCTTAGCACTGGTGAGTCTCCATGGATCAGGAGTTGAACCTCTAGTTCTCTGCAGCAGACCACCTAATGATGAGAAAATGAAGGCTCCAGGGAGAAATTGTCATCTCAGCATTATGATGGAATCAAAAGGGTCACAAATGGGAGGCTGACACCATGGGATCTAGTACCAATTCTTCTGCTGTCATTCTGTTTATCTTTGACTGTGTCATTTAATTTTGTATCTCAGTCTTTTTTTTTTCTTTTTTTTTTTTGTTTTGTTTTTTTAATCTCTAAAAGAGATAATAGTTCTTGCCCTGCCCACTTTGCAGGCTAAAGAGGGATAATGTATATTAATAGAATTATGAAGTCCTATTAAGTATCCAAGTTGACAATTTAAGTTTTATGACATATTACTATATCCTAACAGTAAATGGTATGGAGAAGAAATTCCTCTAGGCATGTGAATAATAATCTGTTATTTCTAAAGAGTTTTTCCATGTGTTATCTTAATAGGTCCTTGTAATAAATGATGAGATGGATTGACAACTGGAATTATCCCTATTATGGGTTGAATGATGCACTCCCAAAAGCTATACTGAAGTCCTAATCCTCAATATCTCAGAATGAGAAGTTACTTGGAAATAGAGTGGTTGCAGATGTAATTAGTCAAGATGAGGTTACACTGGAGTAAGGTGAACCCTTAATTCAATATGAGTGGCGCCCTTTTAAGAAGAGGACACAGAGACACACAGGAGAATGCCATGTGATGACAGACAGAGCTTGGCATGATGCAGCTACAAGCCAAGGAACACGAAGGGTTGACAGCCAACACTAAAAGCTAGGAAGAGGCAAGGAAGGATTCTTCTCTACAGATTTTAGAGGGAGCATGGCCCTCTTGACACTTTTGTATTGGACTTCCATCTTCTAAAACTGAAAGAATGAATTTCTATCGTTTTAAGCCACCTAGTTGGTAGTATATTGTTCTGGATGCCTCAGAAAACTAATAAAATCCCCTATTTCTGGTCAGTATGCTGAGGTTTGAAAAAGTTTAATTGGCAAATGTTAATTGCCAAGAGCCTACTATGTGCTGGGTGGTCTTCTAGGCCTTGGGTATTCAGTTCTAAACCAAACAAAGTTAAAATTGTACTCCGGGGCACATGGCTTTTTAGAGACAAGTAATATGAAACCCCAGTCTCTAGGCTTCCAGATCAGCATTTCAGTTTTGGTTTATTTCAATTATGTCCTCTCTAAGTAAGGAGTGACTCTAATATTGACAGTGCTTATACTGACCATGAATGTGCCTGAGTCACAGACATCTCAGTGAACTCCTTACTAATGAACTTATATTTCCCCACAGATACCTTACATGTATCATTACAGCCTTTCTAGGCCTAAGAATGGACACCCTTTCTCTTTTCCTTGACCCAGAATTTGGGTTACAAATAATCCAATGGGAGAGCAGCTATTGATGATGGGGCATTTCGGAACAGAGGGAGGAAAAGGGGAATTCCAGATTGCTACAAGATTTCTAATTGTGGGATGGGTATTTAAAGCCCTGTGAAAGGTTGGAAGTCACTGGCTAAGGAACTTCTGCAGAATAGTCTCTTTGGAGCACCTGAACTTACTCTTCCAGGTATGGGGAAGAACAGATAAGGGCAGAGTGTGACCTGACTGCACCCCTCCACTACCCTGTCCCCTGAAAAACTACAGAGATCAAAATTTGGCCCCTCAGTTCCCTGGCGATAAGGGCTAAAGGACTTGGTTCTTTCATCACTTAAGGTAAAGAAAAAGTAAAATAAGTGTGTACAGGAACCCTACTCCATAAATAAAACCATCTATAACAATAGCCTTGAAAGACTTATTTCAAGACCTTCTCCCTCCCTCCCACCTTGACATTTTAATGGGGCCGGCAGTTTGAGCTTCATTGTAATGGAAACCAGAAGACAATCTTCAAAAGTGAAAGGCTACAATGGAGGTCCCAGCAGCCTTTGTGTCTGAATTTATCAGCTTTGTCCTCAGCAAATGGCAATGTTGCCTGACAGGCAATTACTGCTGTTCCTAATTGTTTCCATCAAACTCGGCTGTTTGAAATACCTAGCGCCCCATACCAAGCCATGTTTCAGCCAACACTGTTTTCTTGGCTTTGATTAATGCTTTATTTTTGGCACGCTGGTTTCTCTCTGGCAATTGAGTCGTTCAGAGCTGTTAAACTTTCCAAAGACCCTCTCTGATCAAAGCCAGAAGACAATCTAATTAGGTCCTGTCTTAAGTGGAAGATTAGCAAAGCAGAGTGTCTCCTGTGCAGCTTGTCAGTACTTGGGGAGAAGATGAAAGCTCTACTTAGAACTCTGCTCATAGATATACAGTCCACAATAGAGCTGCTTGACAGTGGCATTTTCTTGAGTGCATGTAGAAATGGGTATTCGTGTGGGGAACTCTGAGTCCCATGAGAAAAGATAAATGGTCTTATATTTTAAAGTATGTAAGTTTTGATAGCTTGCTATAGGAAGCATAATTTTTTTTCTTGACCTGAAAGGTTTCCAATGTGATTAAATTAGAACTCTTATTTCCCTCTACCCCACTTCAGTAGAGTTCACAACCATCTTCTGTTACCAATATATCTTAGTTCCCACCAGCTTGCACTTGGACTAGGATCATAGCTTTCTAACTGTTCTCACTGCTTCCTCCCTTGGCTCTCTCCAATTCATTCCCCGCAAGGCGGAGGAATGTACTTTAAAAAAATGTATATCCCAGAAAGAGCTACCTACTATATGGTCCTGTGTATACGACATTATAGAAAAGGCCAAACTAGAAGGAAACAATGTTTTCCAGGACTTTGGTCTAGGGGAGGGCATTAACTGCAAAGCAGAAAAAGGGATTTTTTTTTTTTTTTTTTTTTTTGAGACAGAGTCTCGCTCTGTTGCCCAGGCTGGAGTGCAGTGGTGCGATCTCGGCTCACTGCAAGCTCCGCCTCGAAAAAGGGAACTTTTTAGGGCTGATGGAAATATTCTATATCTTGATTGTGGCATTGGTTATATGAGTGTAGGTATTGTCAAAACTTATTAATCTGTACACTTAAAATAGTAAATTTTATTATATATGAATATGCTACAATAAACCTGACTTTAAAAAAATATAAAAAGATCCAATCTTAGGGCTTGTTTTATTTGTCTAATGCAGAGCTCTGCTCTGTATGGACAGCCTTATCTTTGGGGAATTTGTCAAAAACAAGCAGTAGCAATTGATTAACATCACAGCTGCCTGAGGTGTCCATACCATTTGGGGCTAACAAGAGACTACAGAAAACAAAAAACAAACAAACAAAAATCAAAAACAGAAACAAAAAAACCTTAAAAGGGAAAATTGGGGAATGAGATGTTTATAGGAAAATTTAAGAGACCTGACGTATTCTTGGCCATTCATAGGCAGGGCAGTGCACATGTCCAGGAAAGACATGAGAAGGCACTAATCTCACACCTCTGGCTCACAATCAAGAATCTAAGACTAAAGCAGAGTTGTAAGCTAACTACTAGGGTGTTGAAACCATGTCCCAACACAGATACAGAACCTCTTGACGACACCTGAGGGACATATTGGGTCAAGGCATTTGAGGAAATTTCTGTTGAATCATTGGTTGAATACTAAGCTAACCAAGTAGAGACCTCAGGAGCTGCACACAATAAAGAATACAGATTTTACAGAATTAGTCCTGAAAAGTCATTAAACAAAAACATAGAAACTGTCACAAACTCTGGGAAGGGACTGGAATCCAATTTCCAGAGTTGTTATATTATTTTAAATATCTAGTTTTCAAAAAAAATTATGACATATGCAAAGAAACAGGAAAGTGTGGCTCATACATAAGAATAAAAGCAGTAAATACAAACTGTTCCTGAGAGATCCCAGACATTAGACTTACTAGACAAAAAATTTAAATCAGCTGTTATAAAATGGTTCAAAGAAATAAAAGAATCCATGTAAAAAGTAAAGTATGAAAATGATATCTCCCAACTGGAGAATATCAATCAAGAGATAGAAATTATTTGTCAAAAAATAGAAATCCTGGAATTGAGTACAGTAACTGAAATGAAAAGTTTACTAGAGTAGCAGAAAAGTAAATTTTAACTGGGGAAAGAAAGAATCAGCAAGCTTGAAGATAAGTCAAAGTTTGCTTAAGAAAAGAAAGAAAAAAGAATAAAAAATATGAACAAAGCCTCAGAAATCTGTGGGAAACATCAAGCCTATCAACATACCCATTATGGGAGTCCTAGAAAGAAGAGAGAAAGAGAAAGAAGCAGAAAGAACATTTGAAGAAATAATAGCCCAAGCTCTTCAAGCTTAGTGAAAAACATTTAAATCTGCACTTCAAATATGCTCAACAAATCTGAAGTAGAAAAAACTCAAAGGGTTTCATATCTAAACACATAATAGTCAAGCTGTTGAAAGACAAAGAGAAAATCTTGAAAAAAGCAGGAGAAAAACAATAAGGGATATTCAATAATAATTAAAACTGATTACTCTTCAGAATATATAGAGGCCTGAAAGCATTGAGATGACACATTCCAAGTGCTAAAAGAGAAAGACTGCCAACCAAGATTTTACAACCAGAAAATTATTCTTCAGAAACAAAGGAGAAATTAAGACATTCTCAGATAAACAAAACCTGAGAGATTTTGTCACTAGCAGACTGCCCTACAAGAAATATTAAAGAAAGTCATTCAGGCTGAAATTTAAAAACATTAAACAGTAACTTGAATTCACACACACACAAAATATAAAGAACACCAGTAACGATAACTACATAGCTACCACTTACCTTGGTAAATATAAAAGAGAGTATAAATGTATTTTTTGTTGTAACTCTTTTTTCCTATTTGACTTAAAACACAAGTGCATAAAGTGATCATTGTCGATGGACTTTTAATATATAAATATGTAATTGATATGATGATAGCAGCATGAAGGGGAAAAATGAAGCTTTATTAGAGAAAAGTTTTCTTACATTATTGAAAATAAGTTGATATTAATCTGAACTAAATTATTTTAAGTTTAGATGTCAGAGCAACCACCAAGACTAACTTAAAAATATGCATAGTAAAGAAAATGAAGAGAATTAAAATGGTATAGCAGCAAATATCTATTTGTCACAAAAGAAGGCAGTAATGGTAAATAGATAAACAAGAAAGACATAAAACATATAGAAAACAAGTAGCAAAATGACAGATGTAAATTGTGCCTTATCAGTAATTACATCAAACGTAAATTAACTAAACACTTTAATCAAAAGACAAAGATTGGCAAAATAGATTTAAAAACATGTTTCAACTGTACATTATCCAAAAGAGACACACTTTAGAGTCAAATACATAACTAGGTTGAAAATAAAGTTATAGCAAATAGATATTTCACAAACAATAACCCAGGAGAACTGAGGTAGGGGGACTACACTAAAATCAGACAACATAGGATTTAAGACAACAAGTGTTACTAGAGACAAAGAAAAACATTTTGTAATTATGAAAGTGTCAATACACGAGGAAGATTTAACAATTATAAACATATATGCACCTAACAGCACAACCTAAAACACATGAAGCAAAAACTGATAGAACTGAAAGGAGAAATAGGTAATTCGTCAATAATAGTTGGAGATTTCAATACCCTACACTAGCTAGAACAACTATACAGAAAATCAAAAGGAAACAGAAGACTTAAAAAACAGGATAAATTAAGTAGACATAATATATAATTATAGAAGTGTTCTACCCAATAGTAGTAGAATAGATATTCTTCTCAAGTGCACATGGGACATTCCCCAAAGTAGACCATATTTTAGGCCATAAAATCCCCCAAATTTAGAAGGATTAAAACCACACAAAATACGTTCTCTGGCCCTTATGGAATTAAATTTGAAATCAGTAACAGAAGGGAATTTGGAAAATTTGCAAATATGTGGAAATTCAACAACACACTCCTAAATAACCAATGAGCCAAAGAGAACTCACAAAGGAAATTAAAAAATACTTTGAGGCCATGCACGGTGGCTCATGCCTGTAATCCCAGCACTCTGGGAGGCCGAGGCGGGTGGATCACTGGAGGTCAGGAGTTCGAGGCCAGCCTGGCCAAAATGGTGAAACCCTGTCTCTACTAAAAATACAAAAAAAAAAAAAAAAATAGCCAGGTGTGTTGGTGCACACCTGTAATCCCAACTACTCAGGAGGCTGAGGCAGGAGAATTGCTTGAACCCAGGAGGTGGAAGTTGCAGTGAGCTGAGATTGCACCGCTGTGCTCCAGCCTGGGAGACAGAACAATAATCCATCTCAAAAGAAAAAAAGAAAAAACAACTTTGAGATGAATGAAAACAAAAACACAGATCCAAAAACTTATGGTATGTGAAAGCAATGCTTAGAGAGAAACTTTACCTGTTACTGTTGATATTAAAACAAATCTCAAATCAACAGCTTAAACTGCCACTTTACAATGCTGGAAAAAGAAGATTACACTACATGCAAAGCTAGCAGAAGGAAGAAAATAATGCAGATGAGAGTGGAAATTATTAGGAAAAAAGGGATTAGAAAAAGAAAAGAGCAAACCAATGAAATCAAAATTTGATTCTTTGAAAAGATCAATGAAACTGACAAACTTTTAGCTAAATAGAGCAAGAAAAAAGAGAGAAGACTCAAATTGCTAAACTTAGGAAAGAAAATGGGAACATCACTACTGAACTTAACAAAATTAAATGTGTCATAAAGGAATACTACAAACAATTGTCTATCAACAAATTAGATGACATAGATGAAATGGACAAACTTTTAGAAATAGACAATCTGAGTAGACTTACAATAACTAAATGGAGTGAATTAGTATTAATAGTATCTTCCCACAAGGAAAGGCCCAGGCCCAGTTGGATTCACTCTTTAATTCTACCATATGTCTAAAAATAATTAATATCAACCTTTTGCAAACTCCCAAAATTTAGAGGAGGGAGCACATTCTAACACATTCTGTAAAGCCACTATTACTTTGATACCAAAACCAGGCAGAAGTATCACCAGAAAACTACAGTCCAATATCCCTTATGAATATAAATGAAAAAATTCCCAACAAATACTAGCAAACTGAATCCAGGAACATATTTGAAAGATTATATACCATGACCAAGTAGGATTTATCCCAAGAATGCAAAGTTGGCTTAACATATGAAAATCAATCAATGTAATACATCATATTAATAGAATAAATAACATAAAACACATGGTAATGCCATTGACTCTGAAAAGGTGTTGACAAAATGCTAACACCCTTTCATGACAGAAACACCTAACAAACTAAAAATACAAAGAAACTTTCTCATTTGGATAAAGGACATCTAAAAAATACAGACTTTTTTTGACACAGGGTCTCAAAAGGAGTGCAGTGGCATGATCATGGCTTACTGCAGCCTCAATCTCTGGGGCTCAAGCAATCCTCCCACCTCAGCCTCCAGAGTAGATGGGACTACAGGTATGTACTACCACATCTGACTAATTTTTAAATTTTTTTAGATGGGGTTTTTCCATGTTGCCTAGGCTGGTCTCAAACTTCTGGGCTCAAGGAATCCTCCTGCCTCAGCCTCCCAAAGTTCTGGGATTACAAGTGTGAGCCACTGCACCTGGCCTGTACTTCTAACATCATACTTAATGGTGAAAGAATGAAAACTTTACCCCTAAGACCAAGCACAAGAATAGTGTATACTATTAAAACTATTAAATGAGTTCAGGAAGGTTGCAGCATATGCATATTTCTATACACTGGTAATGAACAATCCAAAATGAAATTTAAAACATTCCATTTGCAGTAGCATCAAGAATAATAAAATACCTAGAAAAAATCTCAACAAAGAAGACAAGATGTATACAGTGATAAGTATAAAACACTATTGAAAGAAATTAAAGAAGAAAATTGGGGACTTACACTTCTCAAAACTAATCTATGGTAATCTAGACTGTGTGGTACTGGCATACAATAGGTTAATTCAACAGAATTGAAAAATCATAAATAAACGCTCACATTTATGGTCAACTGACTTCTTTTTTGTTGTTATTGTTCTGTTTTTGAGACAGTCTTGCTCTTTCATCCAGGCTGGAGTGCAGTGGCATGATCTCAGCTCACTGCAACCTCTGCTTCCTGGGCTCAAGTGATCCTCCCGCCTCAGCCTCCTGAGTAGCTGGGACTACAGTAGTGTGCCACCACACCCAGCTAATTTTTGTCTTTTATGCAGAGACAGGGTTTTACCATATTGCCCAGGATGGTCTTGAACTCCTGGGCTCAAGTGATTCGCCTGGTTTAGCCTCCCAAAGTGCTGGGATTACAGGCATGAGCCAGCACGCACAGCTCAACTAACTTTTGACATAGAGGTCAAGGTCATTCAATGGGAAAAGAATAATCTTTTAAACAAATGATGCTGGAACAACTAGATATCTACATGCAAAAGATAAAGTTGGATCTCTTTCTCCCATCACATACAAAAATTAATTCAAATAGATTAAAGACCTAAACATAGAGTTAAAACCATAACATTTTTAGCAGAAAATATAGAAGTAAATCTTTGTGACCTTGAGTTAGGCAAAGCCTTATTAGATATAACACTGAAAGCATCATAGACCAAAGAAACAAATAGGAAATTTGAACTTCATAAAAATTTTAAAAAATTGTTCTTCAAAGAACACCATGAAGAAAGTGAAAAGACAACCTACAGAAAGGGAGAAAATATGTGCAAATTATAAATCTGATAAGGAACTTTTATCTAGAAAATATAAAGAACTTTTCCAACTCAAAAATAAAAAGACAACCCAATTAAAAATGAGCAAATGATTTGAATAAGCATTTCTTCTAAGAAGATGTAAAACCAGCAAGAGACACATGGAAAGATGCTCAATATCATTAGTCATTATGGAACTGAAAATCAATACTACAGTGAGATATCACTCTATACCCACTAAGAAGGCTAAAATAAAAAAAGACAGACATTAATAGGTGTTGGCAAGGATGTGAAGAAAGTGAAGCCATCATAGGTTGCTGGTGGGACTGTAAAATTGTACAGCCATTTTGGAAAATGGTTTGGCAATTCCCCAAAAAATTAAACATAGAATTACCACATGAGCCAATAATTCCATTTTTAAACCTATGCCCAGGAGAAATGAAAACGTATGTTCACAAAAATAACTTGTATACAAGTGTTTATAGCAGCATTTTTCATAATAGCCAAAAAGTGAAAACAACACAAATGTTAATCAACAGATGAATAAAATGATATATTCATACCATATAATATTATTCAGCCATAAAAAGGGATGAAGTACTGTACTGATTCATGCTATAACATAAATGAACCATGAAAATGTATGCTAAGTGAAAGAAACTAGACACAAAACGTCACATATTGTTGATTCCATTTATATGAAATATACAGAATAGGCAAATCCATAGGAAAAAAAAGTAGATTAGCAGTTGCCAGGATCTGGGAGTAGGAGAGAATGGGAGAGGCTGTGAACAGGTATGGGGTTTCTGTTTAAGATGACAAAATGTTGTAAATTAGATAGCGGTAATGGTTGCCCAAGTATGTAAACATACTGAAAACCACTGCATTATACTCTTTAAAAGGATGAATTGTATGGTAGGTGGATTATATCTCAATAAAGCTGTTATTTTAAAAATATGTAGCTTATATTATTTTACATCCATGGTTTAAGTTGTGCAATAGCTTCTCACTCTTTGAATAAAGCCCAGATCTGGACCACAGCCATGCTGTCCTGCCCATGCCTCTGACTTGTCATGCTCCACAGCCTCTTGCTCAGTGTGCTCTGCTCACCCCGACCCATAGGCCAGATATTCTGCACTTTGAACACAGATTGCTCTTTTCTACTGCAGAGACCTGGCATTTTCTCTTTCTTCTGTCTGGAATTCTCTTCCCTGCTTTGTCCATGGCTTTTCCCATCTCATTTTTTCAATCTGTCTAGTGTAGTTGCTTTCCCATTCATACTTTTAGCACATCATGTTGTCTATTTTCTTTATTCACTTATATCCCAAGTTGAGATTCTCTGGCTTATTTATGTATTTATTTCTGTATCTGTTTTTTGGCCCCTAGCAGTACTCTCTACTATTAGGATATACCCTCTGCAGGGGAGGACCTTCTCCAGCTTATTCTTCACTGTTATCTCTAGTTCTGAGAAAAGCATTTGTCCAATAGTTTGTGTCCAGTACATGTTTCTTGAATAAGTGAATAAATTCCCAAGTCTGATGGCAGATATGACTCTAATTTTCTTATCAAAAACAATACATTTTACTTAAGAGTCTTCTTATAGGCAAACTCCACAAATGATTACTGAGGAACTGGATGGGTGGTCCCGCTTTTCCACTTGATGGATCAGGGAACCCCTAGAGACTGTGGCTCTTAACTTTACTTGGCATTTAATCCATTGAGCCCACATTCAGGTGTTTTGCCGGGCAGTAGAATACATAGGTGTGGAAGCTACCCTTGAGGAACTTACATTCTAGAGAGGAAAACAGACTCAAGCAATTGTGAAATAATACAATAAATGCTCCTAGAGAGCAACACAGTGCTAGGGAAGTAGCACATTGAAGATATTTAATTTTGGGTTGTAGAAAGATAGTGTTAGGGAAGACGTCACTGAAGAGGTTCAATTTATGTTTGGCCCTAGTGAGATAATGGCTCTAGACAAAATGTATCTTAAATTGGGGGTAGGGAGATGGGTTGGAGGTGATTTTGCATATTTGACCATGTCTTAGAGACTTTTTTATTGTCCCATCTAGAGGCAAGGAAAAGTGTTGCTGGCATCTAGTAGATAGAGACCAGGGAAACTGCTAAACATCCTGTAATGAACAGAACAGCCTCCCATAACAAAGAATTCTCCTGCCCTAAATGTCCATAGTACTCAGGCCGAGAAACTTGTTTAAGACAGTAACTATGAATGGCTGCTAAGACTGTTATGTGACAGTCTGATACGTAGTTTTAGGATAAATGGATAAAGCTAACAACATGTGGACCCACTGATCAATCCTAACATTACACACACACACAAAGACAACAGTCATTCTCTGTCACCTGGTATAATATATTAGAGAGTACACACAAGATACTCTTGCCAAAGCATCAAATCTGAACCTGATTAAGGCTCTCACATAGTGCTGGCCAATAAAAATATGTGAGCCACATATATAATTTTAAAGTTTCTCATAGCCACATTAAAAATAAAAAGATATTGGCCAAGTGCGGTGGCTCATGCTTGTAGTTCCAGCACTTCAGGAGGGTGAGGCAGGCAGATCACTTGAGCCCAGGAGTTCAAGAACAGCCTGGGCAACATGGCAAAACCCTGTGTCTACAAAAAATACAAAAAAGTTAGCCAGGTGTGGTGGCGCATGACTGTAGTCCCAGCTACTTGGGGAGCTGAGGCGGGAGAACCGCTTGAGCCCCAGAGGCCTAGGCTGCAGTGAGCCATGATCGCATCACTGCGCTCCAGCCCAGGTGATAGAGCAAGAATTTGTCTCCAAAAATAAATAAATAAATAAATAGATAGATACAAGTATAAATTAATTTTAATAATTTTATTCAACCCAACACAAAATGTTATTGTTTCAACATATAATCTATATAAACATTATTAGTGGATATTTTACTTTTTTTAAAACTAAGTCTTTGGAATCTGGTATGTATCTTACACTGACAGAACATCCCTGTTTAGACTAACCATATTTCAAGTGCTTAATAGGTACCTGTGCCTACATATTGGACAGAACAGCTCCGGAGTTAAACAAGTAGAGAACAGAGGAATATGTTTAATGCACACTGCAAAGATGCAATTGAAAAAGACCCACAATGTGGGTAAGTATTTAGGACAAAGAAAGGGCAAGTTTCTTTCACAAATAAATTAAAAGAAAAAGTTGAGGGGGGGAACAATGGATTACAAATTACTTATGAAGATACTAATCAAATAGGTTATGTGAATCTTATTTGGATCCTGATTTGAACAAAACAATGGTAAAAAATTATGTTTTGAACACTAATTATTTTATGATACTAAAGCATTTTTAGTTTTGTTGTGACCTACTGGTACTATGATCATAGTCAAAATAAAACTCCTTCTAAAGACACGTACTGAAATCCTTACAGGTGAAATGAAACCGTGTTTGTGATTTTGCCTCTCAGTAACACACTGGGGAGGGAGAAGTGGGTGTGAGTATAGATGAAACAACATTGGCCAAAAGCAGGTGATGGGTCCATGAGATACTGTTCTCTTTACCTTTGTAAATGTTTGAATTTTCACACTAAAGATTTTTTTAAATGTGCTTGGTTTTGTTGAATGTTGGCTATTGTTGCTCAGTGGCACATGCATGCCTCTGCCATTTGGTGATGGCTGTCCAGAGAGAATTCTGTCTGCTCTTCTCCCATGCTACTTACAGTAGTCACTTACAGGTGGCACTTTCCAGGGAAGTTGAAGAGTTCATGGTTACTTACGCTTTTCAGAAATTAGATGTTCTGGTGATTTTGCATATTCCTTTTTTTATATTATTTTTTAGACAGAGTATCATTCTGTCGCTCAGGCTGGAGTACAGTGGCACAATCATGGCTCACTGCAGCCTTGACCTCCTTGGGCTCAGGTGATCCTCCTATCTCAGTCTCCCCTCCTGAGTAGCTGGGACTACAGGTGTGCCACCATGCCCAGCTAGTTTTCTTATTTTTTGTAGAGATGCGGTTTCACCATGTTGCCCAGGCTGGATTTTGTACATTCTATACTTGAAATAAGAGCAGCAATTGGAAGTTGGCTTAAATGTTTACAATAGAAGCAAAAAATAAAAGAGAGAAGCAGAAAGGGAATCTTACTTCCCTACCTTCTTAGAGAGCATGCCCTCTATTAGGTATAAGAAGTGGGGTTTTCCCCTGAAAACTATGCCCCTGGGGTATGATGTTAGGTGGTACAAAGGTCAAAACTTTTAAACTATAATATTGTGTTTACTTTACAATGCAATAAAATAAAAACAATCTGGTTAGCATATCAAACATAATTTTATGAGTGCTGTCAATTGGGGCAGGTAGAAATAATTTTAAAATAATAAGTCAGTTTAAATAAAAATATTCAGTAAAAAAGGACCCAGTGCAGTGGATCGCACCTGTACTCCCATCACTTTGGGAGGATGAGGGAGGAGGATTGCTTGAGGCCAGGAGTTTGAGACCAGCCTGGGCAACATAGTGAGACTCCATCTCTACAAAGAAATACAAAATTAGCTGGGCATGATGGCATGTGCCTGTAGTCTCAGCTACTTGGGAGGCTAAGACAAGGGTATTGCTTGAGCTCAGGAGTTTGAGGCTGCATTGAGCTATGATCATGCCATTGCACTCCAGCCTGGGCAACAGAATGAGGCCTTGTCTCTTACAAAAAACAAAAGGTGAAAAAATAGTAAATATGAGCCACAGATATGGCAAAATCTCTAAAGTTAATCAAGAAATTAGTGAAGTTTGGGAAATGCTGGATATGGGAATTTTCTTCTCCTATTAACCTGGATCAGAGAGAATGGGAAATGCTGAAAAGCACATGGAGAAACAACAACACTGTATGAGTCAGGGTTCCCTAAAGGGTCAGAACTAGTAGGACAGATGTATATATGAAGGAGAGTTTACTAAGGAGTTTTGACTTTGATGATCACAAGGTGAACTCCCTCAATAGGCCATCTGCAACCTGAGGAGCAGAGAAGCTGGTCCAAGTTCCAAGACCTCAAAAGTAGGGAAGCCAACAGTGCAGCCTTCAGTCTGTGGCCGAAGGCCTGAAGGCCCCTGGCAAACCACTGGTGTAAGTCCAAGTGTCCAAAAGCTGAAGAACTTGGAGTCTGGTGTTTGTGGGCAGGAAGCACCCAGCATGAGAGAAAAGATGAAGGCTGGAAAACCCAGCAAGTCTTCATTCCACTTTCTTCTGCCTGCTTTATCTTGGATTTACTGGCAGCTGATTAGATGGTACCCACCGAGATTGAGGTGGGTCTGCCTCTCCCAGTCCACTGACTCAAATGTTAATCTCCTTTGGCAACACCCTCACAGATACACCCAGGAACAATACTTTGCATCCTTTGATCCAATCAAGTTGAAAATCAATATTAACCATCACAAGTCCACCCTTTGTCAACCTGAACACATTACACATCCCCTGAAATCACACATAATTGTCAAATAAAGACAATAATAAGGTCGCAATTATGCACAACATAATGCAGCTATCCTTCCTACAACTGGAAGTGCACTAATCCTTAATCTGAATAGTGTTACATAAAGTTAACAACTCTTAAATGCTGATATAAAGTCGATAAATCTTATGTCCCATGATACAGGAAAAATAAAGGAAATAAAATGAAAATATTTTCTTAGTACAAGTGTATACATGCACAGATGTTCTTAACAAAATAAGGAAATACTCATGACAATTTCAGTCCTCGTTTTTGCAACTGGTCACGTGGTTGTAGCTGGTATTGATAACTGCCTTCTTCTACTACACATTCTGTATTTCCTTTCCCTTCAGCAAGCACCTCAGTGGGTCATGGTTTTTTACCTGGTGGAGTGACCCAAACCTTCATTCCTGAAGGGTCTGGGCCATTTGTAGTCCTCCCTGAATTGGGTTGTTGTAGTTTCCTATTGACCTTAATCAAAGGCCTGGTAATACTGAGATGCCCTAAGGGATCTCCTGTATTCCACATGTACTCTTCCTTACCTCCATTGTGGAGTAATGGACTGATTTCACCTTGATAGTCTGGGTCAATCAGCCACCAAGTAGCTGGCTGATCACCCCAAGAAATGGTATCATATCGAGGGCTCAGTGTTGGTCTCTGGCGCTGGCAAATTGGGCAGTCAGTGGTGGCTGTAGCCAGGTCAGCCTTGGTGAATGGATGCCCATGTTGCTGAGCCTATGCATAACCTCCATCCCTGCCACCAGGGCCACTTTATTCATGGGCCTATTGGGCAATGACCGGGGTGGCTGGGGAAAGAGGCTGAGTGCTGTTTACAGAATGGGTCATCCTATCCATTTGATCATTAAAATCCTCCTCTGCTGAGGTCATCCTTTGCTGAGCACTCACATGGGATACAAATATCTTTACAACTTTTGACCACTCAGAGAGGTCACATACCTCTTCCCCAAATTTCATTGTCACCTATTTTCCTATCATGCTTCTTGCAAGTCCCTGACCATCCAGCCAAACCATTGGCTATAGCCCATGAATCAGTATATAATTGCACATCTGGCCATTTCTCCTTCCTTGCAAAGTGCACAACCAGGTGCACTGCTCAAAGTTCTGCCCACTGGGAAGATTTCCCTTCACCACTGTCCTTCAGGGATGTCCTAGAAAGGGGCTGTAGTGCTGCAGCTGTCCACTTGCAGGTGGCGCCTGCATATCGTTCAGAACCATCTGTGAACCAAGGCCTGGTCTCCTCTTCGTCTGTCAGCTGATCATAGGGAACTCCCCACAGGCCACTGGTGCAGGCTGGGGGAGAGAAGGCAGGGTGGCAGGAGTGGAAACCATGGGCATTTGAGCCACTTCCTCATGTAACTTACTTGTGCCTTCAGGTCCTGCTTGAGCCCGATCACGTATATACCACTTCCATTTGATGATGGAATGCTGCTGTCATGACCCACTTTATGGCTAGATGGGTCAGAAAGCACCCAGTTCATGATAGGCAGTCCAGGTCGCATGGTGGCTTAATGACCCATAGTCAAATGTTCAGTTTTTCTACCAAAGCCCAGTAACAGGCCAAGAGCTGTCTTTCAAAAGGAGAGTAGTTATCTGCAGAAGATGGCAGGGCCTTGCTCCAAAATCCTAGAGGCCTCCACTGTGATTCACCTGTGGGGGCCTGTAAAAGGCTCCAAACAGCATCCCTATCTGCCACTGACACCTCAAGCACCATTGGATCTGCTGGGTCATATGGCCCAAGGGGCAGAGCAGGTTGCACAGAAGCCCGGACCTGTTTCAGAGCCCTCTCGTTTTCTGGACCCCACTCAAAACTGGCAGCCTTTTGGGTCACTCAACAAATGGGCTGGAATAACACACCCAAATGAGGAATGTGTTGCCTCCAAAATCCAAATAGGCCCACTAGACATTGAGCCTCTTTCTTGGTTGTAGGAGGGGCCAAATGCAGCAACTTATCCTTCTCCTTAGAAGGCATATCTCGGCATGCCCCACACCATTGGACCACTAGAAATTTGACTGAGGTAGAAGGTCCCTGAATTTTAGTTGGATTTATCTCCCATCCCCTGGCACACAAATGTCTCACCAATAAGTCCAATCTGTTTGCTACTTGTTGATCACTGGATCCAATCAAGTTGACACTCAATATTAACCATCACAAACATAAAACAACTCAGGCTCAGAGATCATTTTAATCAAGAGTAATTTTCATTATGAGAGTGACATATTCATAGATTAATTCCTCTGTGTTGTGCCAAACCCGATTTTCCTATATGCAGTGCCTCCTGGAAGCAAAAATCTGGTGAGAAAATATGAGAGAAAGGATAGCAGCTTTTGTTTTAGGGACAACATGTGCTGGTTGAAAAGTCCCAAATAGGGGTGGAGAGACCTGTGCTTGCATCTGCTGTGTGACAGCCACTGAGTCCTGTTACTGTTCATGCTTCTATTTGGATTAGATAAAACCCCTCACCCTGGGCTCCAGGGTGAGCCCTGGACATACCTGGTCCCTGCTCCTCTTCAACCTCACCCTATAAGCTCGAGTTTTCTGCTCTCTGGCATACCAAGCTTGCTCTATCTCAGTTGAACTTGCTGTTTTTTCTGTCTACCTTCTCAGAGATCTTTGCTTGACTAGTTTCTTATCATTTATTCCCAGGACAAACATTGCCTCCTCTCAGCATCTTCTTATCTAAAGAACCACTTCTTCAATCACTCTTTAGCACAGTACGCTGTTTTGTCTTCTTCAAAGAAGTTTGCACTCCCTGAGATGATGGTATTTGTTTACTTGCTGCATGAAAGTAGAGCCTTGTCTGTCTGTTCGGTTTGTGGTATTTCTCCATCGTGCTGAATGGTGCCTGGCATGTGGAAGCAGCTTGGCAAATATCTGTTGAATGAATACATGAATTAAGATAAGCTGGGGTTTGGACTAGATCATCTCTGAGGGTCTCCTTCCAGCTATGAAGTACTGTGATTTTCAAAATCCATCACAAAAAGCATTCGTCTTTCCAACTGAGAGCTTTTCTCCACATATCGGCCAAGATAGGATTTCCCAGGGCTTAACTGCAATGGTGGGTAAGCAAGCAGAGTGAAACAGATGCCTCCGGGTGCCGACACAGCTTCCTCTGAGTTTTGAAGCAGAGCAAAGGGCAATCATCATAATCAGTACAGAGGTGGATGAGAGTTGCTAGGTCTTCTGCCAAATTGCCTTTGTGGATATCAGAGCCAGCTTCTCTGAAAACAGCCCTTTATTTAAAACATTACTCCAAGTGGAGCTTGCCCTCCACCCCCTACCCGCTTTTCTCTTACTTGGGCTCTCCACCTTTTCACATATGTGTTCAATTGCTTTCTTAACTTCAGTTTGGGTAACCCTGATTCAAGGGAGGTGTGAGAGACGGCCATTGGGTCTGTGAAGGTCTGATGAAAGCAACTTTAACACATAACCCTTTGCTTTGGCAGGAGCTTGGGCCAAGAGCAAAAGTCCTCTTGATGTGTCAAATTATAGATAAACACAAGTTTCAAAAACATTAGTGATATAACTGCAAATAAATGCTGGTAACTGGCAGGGTGCTCCGTTTACAAATAGTTCCTGTCATCCAAACAGTAAGAGGATAAACTTAAACACCACTGACTTCCCAAACATTTGAAAGCACTTTAATAGCAAGGCTCCAAGACTGCAAACATGAAAGAATAATAATTAAGGCTTAAAATACAACCCAGCCAACAGCAGAGCTGCTCAGAGCTGTGCTGTGGGATCTGGGGTTTATCATGATGACTCAGCTTCTGATTCCCTTGAGATGTTTCCTTGAGTTCCACCCTATCTTTTGAAACCCCTCTGAGTTGCCCACACCCCTGCTTTTGGCTTGAGTTGCCCTGTCCTCTTCAGGTCCAGAGTCCGAGAAGCATGACCTTGGGAACTGGCTGGAACAGTTGATACTTAAGAAGAGGTGGTACATTTCTTCTTTAGATGGAAAGCTTCAGGCCTCAATAGAATAGTGTATCTTGCAGATTCTCTTTAAAGGAACAAAGTCAGAAAGGACCCTTGTCCTGTCTATGAAGCTCCTTGGTGATGGTGGTGTGAGGAAGGTGAGAAGGGGATATATCTCCTTTTGCTCCTTGGCCACTGTGAGCTTTCATCCACCTATTTATCTTTGTGTCAAGAAATATGTACTGAGTTCTTCTGGCGTGCCAAGTGCTATACTAGGCACTGGAATACTTTAGTTAAAAAAAATTGGTTCTGGGATCTGATCACTATGATACAGAAAAACTCTGAACAAGGAAGCCAGAAATTTAGGTGCAAGTCTGAGTTGGCACTAACTCTGTCATCTGTGTGTTATAGCAGGGGCTTCAAATTCTACCCCTGATCGGGTAGTAAATAACTACAGCTGGTAGAGTGGAGACCCGGCTACTCTGGAAATTTCATGCCTCCCTCTGCAAAGGTGGTGCTGTGACCCACCTTTGGTGAAGTGTTTTTCTGCTGGAAAACAGCACTGGTGTCCAGATTTTCAAGACAAACAAGAAAGCTGACCTTTAAAATACAAAATTCGCTGATTTTTAAATATTAGTAATTATAGTAAAAGTTTTTTTTTTCTTTCTAAATCACTGATCAACACAAAATTAAGCCAGTTTACAGCCTCTTAGGGTAAAAATGAAGTCCTTCCTTCCTCTCAGCTTGATCATGGGTAAAATAAAGAGCTCTAAGTCAGTGGAGCCTGGCATCTGCATAGTAACCTTAGGGCTGCCATTGGGGCAGGAGGGAGGCCATCCTGATAGGGCACTGCCCCACCCATTTCAACCAGAGGAGCTCGGCTTCCATCAAGGTTCCCAGATGTCATTTGGGTTTTCCTTGCCTCCTGAGATCTTGTTTAAATTGCTTAAAATCCACCAATTCCAAAGTTCAAAATTCTGTGCAAGACTCTCAGAGTTCCCGGAATTGGAGCACATTTTTCATGGCCCCTCCTATCTCTCAGGCCACTGGATCACCCTGTGACATTGCACTGGGCCCAGACATGGGTCCTTTCTTTGGATTCCATAAAAATGAACTCGATTACCCAAAATATGTGTAGATTTTACAAAAGGCATTTTTTGATAGGGGTGAGAGGGAAGAAGTAAAAACAGTTTTACTTTACAGCAAAGCAAATTAACTTCAATAGCTGACATTTGTGGTTTTAAGATGCCATTTCCCCTACTCCTTGACTCCTCCATATTTGCTAGTTGTGGGATTTGGGCAAGTTACTTAGCCTTTCTGTGCCTCAGTTTCTCATATTTAAAATGAGGACCATAGTATTATAGTATCTACTTAGATTCATATGAAGATTGAATGAGTTAATGTAAGTAAAACAATTAGAACAGAGCCAGATATTATAGCTTATATATGCAAATAGATAGATACATGATGGATGATAGATATATAGATGATAGATAGATAGATAGATAGATAGATAGATAGATAGATAGATAGATAGATAGATCTCATATACGTGTACATGTTAGGCTATTACTACTATTATTTTAATTTCTGGTTCTTCTCAGTCCTGTCTCCATTCTTTCCCCCTCACTCACCAGTCCTCCTCCCATTCAGGAACAAAAACAAAAATTTGCCCATGTCCCTCCTCTGTTCTCATCCAGAATAGTTTGTCTTCTTTCTCCTCTGAAGTCTTGGCTCCCACTGATGTCATATCCCAGGCATGTTTACCAAGGTATTTTTTAAACAATGATAGCTTCCTCTCTTAGAGGGATTAAGATGTCAAATGTCAAGATAATATTTTTCAACTTGTTATATTTACACACACACACAAAGGGTTCCATATCCTTAAAAAAATATTAAAAACACCGGCCAGGTCTTCAGGGTGTTTACTCTCTCTAACTATCCTGTGATTCTGGGGAAATAAAGCTTCCTGGTGGTATGAGATGCCTCAATACATGTCTTATGTTAATGAACTCAGGAGCAGCATAGGTTGAGTGCCCAGTCTGACTGAGCTTCCTCCGGCTTGCTCGCAGGAGCTTCAAAATACTGTTGGCCCCTTTTTAAAGAGTCAAGGAGGCTGCAGTAATGGAAGGCCAAAACCTAGAAAAATATTCAGATAACATGCTTTTCCCCTCAAAACAATATTTGGTCTCCTAACTGTCAGAGTATTTCTAGTCTTTTTAATCCACCCCACTTCCAAAAAAAGTCAGTCACACAGATGACACAGATGGGCAGAGACTTCTCTCAGTAAAAATAGAATATTATTATAGAGTTTCTCAATCTTGCTTTATGTATTGATGTTGGCTTGTAGCTAGAATAAGCAAATACCGAATCCCCAAAGATCCATTCTTTTCTCATGCTCCAATAAAGCTGATAATCTCATATATATATATATATATATATATATATATGCTTTATAATTTTATGAGGCATATTTATATCTACTAGTATACTGGTAGAAAACAACATTAAAAAGAGAAACCTCCAAACCCTATCTCAGTTTCAAATCTGCCCTGTAAGTTCTTTCCTCCTTATTGCCATAGCCCAAATAAGAGGATGGGCATCTGATTTCTTCAGCCATTCAGTTGCTGTCCTTGGCATTTGTCAGAGGGAGAAGTTGACTTTGGAAGCGTAATAATAGAAACATAGTCTATTGTAAGTTTGGGAAGTAAACATTGACAAGATTAGAGGAACAGAAAAGGCGTGTTCTGCAATCCATCTCACACAGGTGTGTCATGGCCAGAGCATAGGAAACTTGGCTTTGAGTCTCAGCCTGATGCTAACCAGCTTTATGCTCTTGGGCAAACCACATTAATCTGTCTGAGCCTAGATTCTTCACCTGCAACACGGGAGGGACAGCACTGGCCTCTTGGTGCTGTGAAAGCTTAATAACGCTTGTAGCAGTGTTTGGTGCTCCTGTGTGAAACGTGTTCGTCTCTCAGAGTTTTCAACACCATCCTCTCTTGCATTTTGTTCCCACCTTTCTGGCTCCTCCTCTTCAGTCTCCTTTGCTGCCTCCCCAGCCAGCTTGAGTTGAAGCTCCTTAAGGCTCAGATCTAGAAACAATGGTCTTCACCCTTGATATTCTTTTCATGGGCAATTCTGCCCATACTATACCCATTCTTACTCCACTGGAAGGAGTGGGGAGATGGTTTTCCCATTACTTCATCGAATGGCACCAAGGGAAAGAAAATATATAGCAATATTTTGGCATATGGTTTGCATGTTTGGGATTTTTGTTCAGAAGACTTCATTCTACGTAGGTCAGAGCCTACCAGAGGAGCAGTGAGGGTTGACTGGATGGGAACATGCCCAGCTGACAAAACCTGTATTCATGACAGCAACATCCCAAGAACATGGAATTCTCATGAGACACTGCTATTGACTCCCAGGAATAATCAAGAGAGACTCTGAAGCTCTGTTTCTTTGCAAGGGGTGGTGGGGACACTGAGTTGCAGATGTGGCTGCGAATGTTAACATGGCCACATCTGTACTCCCAGGCTGGTGAGCTTAAGAACACTAGAGTGGTAGAGCGCTTAGCCTATTTAGGTTCTTAATGCATTTTAAATCTCTTCATCTCTCCTCCACTTATTGGAATCAGAGGCTATAAGTTCCATTTAGAGCTAATCATCTTGCTCTAATGATTGTTACTGAAGACTTCATAGAATTTTGTAGTTGAAAGAGACATTAAAAGGTCAGGTGACCCAACTCTTCCAGAGAGACTGAAGAAACTTACAGCTTCAATCACCATAGAATAAACCATTCAAGGGTAAAAGAAAACTGGGACTGTCTGAAGGATGCAAAAGAAGCTGATGGCTTTAGGCACCTGATTGGGGCTAATTATAACACTTGGGTAATACATCTTGGCACAAGCTTTCTGGCAGCAAAGAAGAAGTGGAAACATGTTGGGTTACTTAGTTTTGGTTGTATGACAATGGACAACATAAAAATTTTTCTGTAGAGACAAACTCTTTCCTGGAACCAGACTTAGGCATTTATCATATGAGTCATTGTATAAAGGACACTGAGAGACAGAATGGACAGTATCTTCTTCCATGGCTTCCTACAGAATTGTGCAGTTTTCTTCTGGAGGTTCTCATCTTGGCCACTCATGAAAGTATACATTTCCTAGTAACCAGGAACTCTCTTTCTGAGGCATTGAAAAAGTCTGAAATAAACCAAAAAAGGAAGCATTGATGCTGCCTGCCCTCCTCACCACTACCCTATGGAGACAAGCTGCAGAGGCAATTCTTTTTTGGTATAATCTGAAGGCAATCATGATAATAATAATTCCAATCATAACTACCTTTTATCAAGTGCAAGTACATTTTTAAGTACAAGCAAGTTAACTAGGGCTTCATAAGATTTAATAACTTTTCCACGCTCACACAGCTCATCCAGGTCTCCAACTCCGTTTGATTGGTGATGGGTCCCAAAAGCATGGTGTTGAGGAAGATTTAGAGGTCACATCTGATCACAGTAGAAATGAGAACCATTATATTTGCATATGAGAGGGGAGCGAGACATGCCTGTTATGAATTTGCCATCATTGTGTGATTCCATTTTCCTGCTAGCAAAGCAAATTTCATATGACAGTAATTAGCAGATAAACATGTTGCCTATAATTCCTCTACATTTGTTAGTGGAAATATCCCAAGATGTAAGCTACTTGACTACTTTTTATTACACACCACTTGGAACTTCAGAGCTCCCAGAAGCTGATTATGTGCATAGGAGGCAAATCAAACCAAACAAAAATCCCAACTTCCCCTTCCACCAAAAAACAACCCCTCAAACCCACAATGCAAATTGGAATTATTAATATGCTTCTGTAAGTCAGTTTACAAAAAATAGTAACTTTAAAAAAATCTTACGTTATAGCTAGTGACTATTTTGTTGTTGTCGTATTTAACTAAGTAATAGAATTTGTTAAGAGTGCAAGGGTCTCTGTGTGACATTTTGAATGATCCAGCAATTGCAGGCTGCATCCAGCAGCTGAAATATAGTGAGTCTGTATCGGGAAGGACCATGGCCCCTCAAGACAAAAGCTTGATTCCAAAGCTGCAAGAGGAAACTGAACAAAGTGGGCGTCAACTGCTTTTGTATGCCTAGCCTCTCTTAATCTGGTAACAGAGCCATCTCTTCCCCTATTCTTAGAGCATAAGGTTTTGGTGGAGCTGACTCCATCTCCTGGGGTGAGCATGTGACTCATGCTGGTACCACATTCTCTTGACTAACAAATGAATGATGCAGAGATAGGTGACATTACCAGGTCAGACCAATGAAGCCCTACTTTGGAGCTTTGCTGGATCTTGAGAACTAAGGCCTTCAGTATTCATTGGGTTGCTAAGCTGGTGGAATCAATGAGGCAGGTAGACATTCTCAGGGAGTACCCTGAGAATAAATCCAGCACCAAAGAAGGTAGTGTTGCATAGAGAAAAGGAGATTCAATGGCTTTGAGTATATTCACAGAGTTATCTATCCATCACCACAATCCCTTTTAGAATATTTTCATTAACCCAAAAAGAACTGTTGCTCCCCTTAACCATCATTCCCAACCCCTCCAGTCTCTCTCCTCAGTGCTAAGCAAGCATCAATCTATTTTTCTGTTTGTTCAGATTTGCCTACTCTGGACATTTTTAATAAATGGAATCATATAATACATGGTCTTTAGTTCCCTTTTTATGAACTTTCATAGCTCCCTTTAATTCTCCTTGCATCTCTTATTAGAATTAAAATTTAACATATATATATATATATATATATATATATATATATATATATATATATATATAATCATTCACTTAATGTTTGTTTCTCCCATTAGACCATACAGTTTCACCAAGGCAGGGACTTCATGTATTTAATTGCCATTACTTAACCCAATGCCTGTGCCTCACAGAATAGGCACTTAATAATATTTACACAATAAATAAATGAATAAATGGATTAATGAATGGATGGTTGAATGAATAAACTTGATACTCATCCTACTGCCACCACTAGGATAGATCCAGAAATACCAGTATATTTAGTGCAGTGAAAGGATTAACTTACTTCAAAACTAGTTCCCCATGTTAGGAGAAAGAGAAATAAATATCTATTTAACAAGAGAGAGTGTGGTTTCACATGCAGATGTGTAATATTTGTAAATAAAAAGTAGACTGTTTGTGTATAGGAGTAGAAGAGAGAGACTCAGTAGGCTGGAGCTAAGTTAAAGTAAACTATTTATTGCACTAACTAAGCCATAGTGGGGCTGCTGCCAACTGGTCACAACTGCATTTTTTTGGTTTTGTTTTTTTCTTAAAGGCCTCAGTCTCTGTAAGATGCACGTTGAGTAGTTGGAAAAGAAAGGGTCCTAATGCTCGGAATTTTCTTGGGCATCCTCAACTCTTTAAGGCCTTACCTATCAGTGTTTAGGTTGGATTGTTCTCTGCCTGTCCCTGTAACCAGACAGAAAAGAATGAGAAGGGAGATAAGTCAAACGTATGCCTTGTTACTTGAGCAAGCAGCTTGTAGAGTGGGACACACGCACTCCCTGCTTGGATGACTTCTCGATTCTGGGGTTTGGCAAAGCTGTTGCTGAAAACATTGAACAAAATAAACTGCAAAATATAGAAGGAATGCAGAAAAAGTCATGAAAAACAAATTGGTGATTCATACCGATTATGGTCTAATGGCTACAAGATTTTCCCAGCTTTTATTTGAACTTTTTAAAAAAATCAGCTGCAGTAGCGGCTCTGCTGGTGGTTTGACAAAAAGGGGATTTTCTATAAATAATGAGTTTATGTTTGGGGTGTTGATTCTATTTTTAATAAAGCAAATATCATTTTTATTTCTTTGCTCCTCTGTTGAAGACATAAATTCCCAAAGTAATCCCAGCTCTTAGATGGAGAAAGCATAAAGAATACATACAAACAAAGAGATTATTTCAGAGATGGGTCATTTTTTCTCTTTTGGTCATTCATAAAGACCTCAACAATTATATACAGAGTTATAAATGCCTTATGTGGCACCAGGAGGTGCATAGATATGTTCCTTTTCTTGGGCTCAGCAAATCCTTAATTAGAAATGCAGTGAAATTGATTTCTTGAATGAAGATCTCTATGATGATCCAAAGGTTATAATTTATTTCTTTTGAGACTCAAGATTCAAATGAAGAAGTCATCAGGACCACTTTAGAGAAATCCTGACCAGTGGGGTACTTCACAATATAGTATCGGAAGTGTGTACTCCCAGAATTACTGCACAAAGTTCAAATATCCAACCAAGCTCTAGCCGATGAAGGGATATACACACACCTACCCGGTGTAATCAGTAAAAGGAGACCTGTAGTGTGTGGCTTTACTTCCTTCCTCCCACCCCCCCCGTCAACTATCTCCCACTTGTCTGTAGCTTTTGCTATCAGAATCACCATTTATTTCTAATTTCTTTCAGATAATTCAGTGCCTTCTAAATTCTTCTGATTTAACAACCTGGCAAGCTTGTTAAAATTACAAATTCTAGGTCCCAGTCATGGAAACAGATTCCTCAGAGACATCTCTCTTTTTAGTAAGTGCCCCAGGTGATTCTTATGATAAAACAAATTTAGGAAAAATGAGGCAAATGATAATTTTTCAGTTTCACTTTATGATAGCAGAGTACTTTCATGAAACCCTTTCATGAGTTCTTCACAATGGATCTGTGACAAAAATATTATGTATTCCATTTTAGATAAGAGGAAACTGAGCCTCTAGAAGGTAAAGTAGCATGACCAAGGTCACGTGGGGCTGGCCTTTGACTCCAAATCGCTGGCTTCTTGTCCAGGCCACCTCCACCCCCTACCCCGCCAAGCTCTGCTGCCTTCCCAAAGCTTATGGTGATGATGGTGGCATTGGCACAGAGAAAGTCTTGTGGAAGCAAAGAAAGAAGAGAAGAGAATTATGATGGGGGCTTTGAGAACACCTAAAGGATCTCGAAGAAAGACAAATCATTTGATAGTTGAAGATGAGAGAAGAGAGTAGGTGAATAAAGTCATGGAGATCTGAATGGTAAATTGATCACTGATTAATGGAAAGCTATTGAAAATAGTTAGAGCCTAAGTAGCATTTTATAAATCTCTTCTTTAGAACACTAGTTCTACAAGATACTCCATGAAAGAGGGATTCTGCACTGAAATAAATTTAGGAAACTTGGTGAGCTTCCCTCCAGTGAATAGATTCCCAAAGCTCATCTGCATATCGAAGTCTCTGAGAAGTCCTGCGGCAAACACATCTAATTAAAAATTTAACAGGAAATATTCCAAACGTATTTGACTGTGGAACTGTCCCTCCATTTTTCTGTAAAATATGCATAAACAGCTATCTGAACACACTTTGGGAAATGCTGGCCTAGGATAGAGATTTAGAGTTGGGAATATATCCATGGGAGTGTTTAATACTATGTGCAATATTATAATTACACCCAAATAAGAAGTTTAATGTCCTACATTTAGGGTCAAGCTTCTACTAATTTCTTTTCCCTACTTAAAACTTGAGATTCTGTTCTTATGTGTTTTTCTATTGTGTCTTTGCTCATTCTGAAGACAGAGAGGGGAGGGGAGAGAAAGACAGAGAGAGCGAGCATAAAATAAGCAACAGAGTGTGCATTGCTCAAAAGTTTGTGGATTCTTTCTTGTTGCTAACACAAAGCAAGTGTATGGCATGAGAATCAAGTGGGAGTGGAGCTAAGCCCTGGAATGTGGAAACCCAGCCTGTCTGGAGCCCCTGGCTCTTTCCAGGCATCTGGATTGGAGGCCCAGCCTGTCTTCCTTTCTGCCCTTGCCAATCTGTCTCTCTGGGGATGGGACGACCTAAAGGTGTGCCTCACTGATGTGCTTCCTGCTCTTCGTGCATTTAACCGTAATTGAGAAGAGCTCTTGCATTCCGTGGACCTCTTGGGCCCCATGGCTGCCCTAATCACGGTCCATGTGGCCTTTAGTCATAGTCAGAAAGAATAGTAGCAGAAGCATAACTGGGCAGTCTTGCAACTGCATCAGTCTTTCCAAGATGTAGCACTACTCTGGCAAGAATGCGGATGCTATCTGCTCATGGTTATGAGTCCCATATGTCAGAGCCTGGTGGCACCCAGAGATGCCTCTCAGCTTGGGTGGGTAATTGGGTGGAGATGGGAGTGAATGTTTAATAGTTCAGATGATGGAATTAGGCTCACAAAGGGGGTGGGTAGGGGGTTAGGGAGGAATTATCCTCTTCCTCCCTTTATTATTTTTAAACTTAGCCTTTAAGCAGAGAGAAAACTTATTTCAGTTGTTTGTGCTCAGATACTTTGGAGATGATTGATTTCTCAACAGTGTGAGCTTGGTCATTATTACTTAATGGGGCCCTGACTTTGACCTGTCCTAGGTCTGATACAGCAAAAGAACAGTTGGAAGGCAATAGGTGAGAAAGTTTGATTTGGAAGAACAGTGTTTAGAAAAGTGAATTTGTATGCATTCTGAAGGGGTGGTGTACCACTCTCTCACTGTCTCCAGTGGTTTGCCGATAAATATTTAATGACCAACTCTCCAAAAATGAAAAAGTGTGTATATATACACATATGCATACACATGTAAGTTTATTATACATTTTACTGATATAAATGATATGTTGCAAGAAATTTATAAATGATACCATATAAAATACTCTTTATTGCAAATCTCATATAGTCAGTTGATTCTTATGGAATTATTTTGATGATTGCTATCAAACTTTTATATCCACAGATGATCTTTGGTTACAACTGATGAACAAGCATAGTTCCACTATGACTGCTGATGCTTTTGCTTATGTTAACAAATAAGATGAAAATGAAACAATAAAGATATATGTCTAGGATTGCCAGATTTAGCAAATAAATATAAAGGAAACTCCACGTTTGAATTGCAGAGAACAACAACTAAATTTTTAGTATGAGTGTGCTCTGAACAATATTTGGGATATACTTATACTAAAAATATTGGTTATTTGAAATTCAGATTTAACTGGGCATCCTGTCTTGTATCCAGCATCGAAGAACTTCACTTGTTCTTCAGTGACATAACTTCTATGCTGAATCACATGATGGTTTCTGAATGCTAGAAGAACATCTCTCAATTTTTTTGTGTTGTTTGGAATGTAACAACTGTACACATAAGACAATTTTAAGTTTTATCTTCATTCATGACATTTTCTTCATCACTCTCTTGAGCCTAGAGAATCAACAAAACTATAAACCACACCCTGATTCGTGGCATTTACCAGTTTCCATAATGTGTGTACTCCCACCATAGCCAGCTTTAATCTACCAAAGTGACATCCCTGAATGAGGAACTGGGAAGACACATGAAGGATTATATAGCATCCTACAGCATTTCCATTATACAGATACAATAGACACAAATGACCTTCAGAGCAACATTTAGTAAAATAATTAGAAAGTGATGACTTTTGAGTATTTATTATCTTTGTTTTTAATGTAATTTATTTATAATTTATTTAATATATATAATTTATTTATAATGTAATTTATTTAATGGTAAGTTAATAAAAGGTTTGTTTAAACTGCTCACAAAGTTCTTGACAATGACCAGCTAATAATGACCTGATAATGACCAGCTCTTGCAAGCGATGAACAATCATTCCAGCACATTACTGAATCTGTCCATATCGCCTTACTGTTTGATTCATTTCTAAAATATGCTTGGCTCCTAGAGGTGATTGAGTCAGTGACCTTTGTAAAGTTTCTGGGGAGATTTGAAAGAAAAGAAAAAACTACTCAAGGGAGCACTGAACATTTATTGGGCATTATCTCCATTTGAGTTATTGCTTTTTACTAAGGATTTAAGATTATAACCTTATAAGGCCCTATGCGATGTAAAAGCCAAAAACATAGAGGGATATGCACTCTAGACATAGACATAAAAAGTCACTAACATTGTAACGCAGAAGGTTAGGAGATGAAATCAAAATTTCTACTGCGATTATGATATTACTGATCATCTAGATATATCTACAGTAAAGGATTGGAAGGGATGGTTGTAAATAATTGTTTTTTTAGTAGTCTTAATGGGTGATGCATTTTCCTCTATGTTTTCCTTTGATCTTATGAAGATTTTTGGAAGATAAGTACTAAGTCCATGATACAGAGACAAATGCATTAGATTCATCAAAGAGGCAGGTTTCACAGAGCCCATGGGGAGCCTGAACTAGGCCTTAAAGAATGGGAGGGATTTATGTAAGTAGGGAAAACATTCCAGGTAGGGCACACTACATCAGTAAAGGGTTAGAGATAGGTATTTCTCTAACCTATCTCTAAAGGAACAATTAATAAAATTGTATGGCTAGAGAAGGTTCAGATTTATTTATAGAAGTGAAAGCTATTTAAAACCAGCCTCTGCAAAGTCCACTCTTGGCATGGAATCAAATTCAAAGAACAGTTGGAAATGTTGAAACTAATTTGAATCTTTACTACAACTTTTTACTTTTTATTTATTTTATTTTATTTTAATTTTTATTATTTATTTACAGACAGAGTCTCATGCTGTGGCCCCGGCTGGGGTACAGTGGCAAGATCATAGCTTGCTACAGCAATGAACTCCTGGGCTCAAATGATCCTCCAACCTCAGCCTCCCAAGTAGCTGGGACTACAGGCACAAGGAAGTATGCCTGGCCAATTAAAAAACAAAATTCTTTTGGAGACAGAGTCTCGCTATGTTGCCCAGACTGGTCTTGAACTCCTGGGCTCAGGCTATCCTCCTGCCTCAGCCTCCCAAAGCACTGGGATTATAGGTATTAGCCACCATGCCCACCCATATAACTTCTTAAAAAAATGCAAGAGCTGGACTACTTTTGCCCCTTACCACTGATCTTTCTCTCCCCTTAGGTTCTTATCCTTCTGGTGAATTACCCTTCCTCTTTCAGCGTGTCTCTGCTTCACTGATTACCTCAATCTTACTATTAAGTCTCAGGAAGCAAAGGCAAGGGACAGGGTTGAGTGGCAACCAGAATTTTCTTTGGTGGATAAAGGAGGAAATTATACTATGCATATTGTAAAGATGTGTTTTGTCTGACACATCTAATAATAATAGTCATACCCATACCTAACAATTACATCAATGGGTACCTATTTTATTCTTTCTTCTCTATCAACACTGCAATATTAAATTATGTTCGTTTCTTGATTTCTTTCTAGTATTCTCCCTAGACTTAGGGCTTTGTACTTGCTGTTTCCTCTGCATATACTATTTACTTCTTCTGTCTTTCACCCACTCAATCCCTGTTAATCCTGAAAGATTCAGTTTAGAAGTGACTTCACCCAAACTTCACTTGAACTGGATTTACTTGCCTTTCCTCTCGGAAGCCATAATACTGGTAGTTTCTCCTGTCTGAGCACTCACTACATTATCTTATAATTGCCTGTTTTACCCATCTTGTCCCCATTGGACTGTGAAAAATTTAAATATAAGCCCTAGATTTTATGTCTCATTTCATATATATATATATATATATATATATATATATATATATATATCTCCATATTTTCTATTTATGATATTTATATATAACAATATAGATATATTTTATGTAATATATATTTCTTGCTTGTGTATACACATACTATTTGTTTAGTACTCCTTTTATATTCTTGGGTAAATGAATCCATTTACTGGCACCATCTATATGACAGGCACTATATTAAGCAGGCAGCAAATTTATCTGTTTTCATGCTCTGACCAACCATACAAAGGAGTTACCCTTAATTCTCAAGAGGGAAATTCAGGACAGAAAGAGGTGCAATGATTGCCCAAGGTCACATAACCAAGTAATGACAGCACCAAAACCTGAACCCAGGGCTAGGTGATTGGCCCATGTATGTGCTGAAGCTTAAGAAAGCCATTACAGAGGCCATCTCTGGTTGGGTGAGGGGAGAAGATGTGTGTCTCGGAGGGAAAGGTGGAGGCTGGGGCTGTGAGCCAGGCCCTTTGTTGGCCACAGGGAGAGAAGCTTGTGCCAGCTGCTACTGCTGATTCAGTGACATGGTGAGAAATGGAAGGCAGAGAGCAGAGGCCAAGCACACATTCATCGTCTGTGATTAAGAGACTCTTGTTTATCTGTTCCTTTGCTTCTCTTATTCTGAGACATTTGAATACAAACAGCATTTCTCTTCAATAATTATTTCCTGCTCTCCTTCATGAAGGCTTTGTTCTGGGCAGAGTAGTCATGAAGCAGGCAGGCAAAGCCTGTCATAAGCTCACTGAGGGCCTGGATAACCATAGAGGACCATAAATAAAGATGTGTAGCAGGCCTCCTAGGTGACAAGCACATATTCTCTTTTGAAACTTATAACAATCTTATAAAGTTGTATGAGTCTTCTATTGCTGCTGTAACAAATTACCACTAACTCAGTGGCTTAAAACAACACAAATTTATCTTTAGGTCAGGAGTCCAACACAGGTCTCACTGGGCTAAAATCAAGGTTATCAGCAGGGATGCACTGGAGACTCTAGGGGAGAACTAATTTCCTTCTCTTTTACAGCTTCTAGAGACAGACTGAATTCCTAGTCTTGTGGCCCCTTGATCTTCAAAGCCAGCCACAGTGGGTCAAGTCCTCCTCATGCTGCTGTCTCTCTGCAATTGCTTTCATGGCCACATTCTAGGACTACAGCTGGGAAATGTTCTCAGCTCTTAAGGTTCATATAACTAGATTGGCCCTCCTGGATGTGACGCAAGATAATATCTTCACCTCAAAGTGCTAACACAGCTGCAACATCCCTTTTGCCATGTGAGATAACATATTCACAAGTTCTGGGGATTAGGGTGTAGACATATTTAGGGAGCAATTATTCTTCTTTCCACAAGTCTTTTTTTTTTTTTGAGATGGAATTTCGCTCTTGTTGCCCAGGGTTCAGTGCAATGGCATGATCTCAGTTCACTGCAACCTCCACCTCCCAGGTTCAAGTGATTCTCCTGCCTCAGCCTCCCAAGTAGCTAAGATTACAGGCATGTGCCACCATGCCCAGCTAATTTTTTGTATTTTTAGTAGAGATGGGGTTTCACCATTTTGGTTAGGCTGCTCTGGAACTCCTGACCTCAGGTGATTCACCCACCTTGGCCTCCCAAAATGCTGGAATTACAAGCTTGAGCCACTGCGCCTGGCCTGCTTTCCACAAATCTATGCCAAATAGCCCCATGCTACAGATGAGGAAACCATGACCCAGAGAGGCAAAGTGACTTTCCCGCAGTCACAGAAGTACTAACTGATTGACCTAAGATTCAGATCCAGGTCTGCATGACTCAGGGGTGCCTGCTCTTTCTGGGACAGCAAGCTGCCCCCCTCACATTTCTGTGCCAGCTGTAGGTGGCAGCTGGTAGAATGTAATGAATGGCTAGCTTTTCAGCTTGGAGCAGGGAAGCATCCTCCATTAATGAGAAAACACAGACTCCACAATCATCAAAAGGATATTGCTCCATTTCATCTCAGTTGTCTTTTTATCATTTCCCAGAACAGGTTACACCAGATGTGAGCACTATCACATGTTAGCTGTTGGACCATGGCACATAAGAGACACTCAGTAAATATTAGCTAAACAGACAATTGAATGAATGAATGAATGAATCCCATTGGTTGAGCAAATATTACATATCAGATATTTACAGGGACTTAAAATTCTTTGTTTTTTAAGTTCTTACACCACCACTATGGTATAATTATTACTATCTGTAGTTCTCTAGGTCTTGGTATACTAAGCTGTAATCCAAGGTAGTCTCTTAGTTTCCTTTCCACGTTAAGAATCTGTGATCTCATTAATGGCCTGCTGTGGGCCATTCAGGGCCCTTTTCTCCTGGCATCTCTGATCAGGAGTCAAGATTGTTAAGAGTCTTGGCTTCTGCTAAACTAGACTTTAGGTTATTTTCCTCAATCTTGCAGGTAGGTCAGCCTTCTGTGAGAGATGAAATAATATTTATTCCTGGACCAGCATTCTCAGTGGCTCAGAGGTCATTGGAAGGACAGACAGCATTGCCCCAGAGCACATTACCCAGAGTGGTTATGACGGAGGCGATTCACACAAGCAGAGCTGTGTACTATATGCACTCCTACCTGGTGCCAGCCCACACACATGCTTGCTTTGCACTTACTCCAACAATCCATTGAGCATCTGCTATAGTTTGGATGTTTGACATCTCCGAACCTCATGTTGAAATCTGATCCCCAGGGTGGCGATGTTGGGAGGTGGGGCCTAGTGGGAGGTGTTTGGTTAATGGGGGCGGATCCCTCATGAATAACTTGGTGCCATTCTCATGGGAGTGAGTTCTCACCCTATTAGCTCCCATGACAGCTGTTTGTTAAAAAGATCCTGGCACCTCCCCCACCCTCTTGCTTCTTCTTTCGCCATGTGATCTCTGCGGTCTCTGCACATAATGGTTCCCCTTCTCCTTCTGCTATGAGTGGAAGCAGCCAGAAGCTTTCATCAGAAGCAGACGCTGGTGCCATACCTGCAGAACTGTCAGCCAAGTAAGTCTCTTGTCTTTATAAATTAACTAGCCTTGGGTATTCCTTTATAGCAACACAAATGGACTTAGCATCCATTTTGCACCAGGTGCCAGGACTATAGAGATTATTCTACCCTTATGGTGTTTCTAGTCCAACCAGGTAGACGTATATGTAAGTCAGCAAGTGCAACATAGCATGCTAAATGCAACGTAAGAGGGAAGGGCAAGAGCTGCAGGAGTATAGACAAAGGGACACATAAACGAGTCTGGAAAGATAGGGTAAGGCAGGCTGAGTATGGAAGTATGAGAAGGATTTAACCAAGGCAAGAAAATAGAGGTAGGAAGAAAGGGTGTTTGAATTATGACTGTACCATACCTGTGTGTGCACATTCATAGTAAGAAACAGGGCAATATATATCAAGGTCCTTCAAAATGAGTATAACTCTTGATCCAGTAATTCCACTTCTAGGAATTTATCCTGAGGAAGTTATCAGATGTGCACATAAAGATTTATGTACATAGATGCTCAATGCTGTACGATTTGCAATAATAAAAAATTAGAAACAGCCTAAATGTTTACAGTGAATTGGATAAATGAATCCATATGATGAAATATAATATAGCACTTAGAAGCCATCTTTAATGAGGGAAAAGTGCTCAAGCTGTATTAAGTGGGAAAAACTAGTTTAAAATATGACTCCAATATGGTTAAAATTGGATATAAAGTGGGACAAAATGAATATTATAAGTTATGCATGGCAGAAAAGACTGGAATGAAATACATCAAAATGATCAGTGGATAGTAGAAGTATTGATTTACAAAACTTTTATTTGCATTCTTCCAAATTTTTAATAGCAGCATTCATTATGTTCATAATGTTAATGTACATTGAACCCCTTAAAGCTGCAGAGCATTGTTTAGGCCACTCATGCTTTCCCTGGCACCTTGCCAGTGCTCTATCCTCCACTGGTACCTGTGTCCTTATCACTACCTGGGCCTGTGCACTTGTCGGCAGCTGATCCCAGGGGCACCATTTGAAGATGGCCTTTCAATTTCAGTATCCGCAGCTTTTCTTTTTTTTTAATGTATCCTTTTCTACCTTCTTCTTCATTGCTTTTCCCCAGAAGGATCCTGTTCTGCCTAAGTACAGTTCCTGATCAGATCCTACTTTTAAGGAATAGAATAAGTACATTTACCTACAACACCCTATAAGATAGATATTACTATCTTCCATTTTACTGATGGAGAAACTGAGGGCCAAGGAAGTTAGGTGAACATTCCTGACTTCCCCTAATTCATAAGTGCTGGAACCTGGATTTGAATGCAGACAATCTGCATACACAGTACAGATTCCCAGAGATGCTGATACCGAACCAGGAACAGAACCTTTCCCAGGAAGGCATATATTTTAGTAGAAAGCCAAGTTCTCAACTGGCTTGAGCCAATGCAGTGGGCCTGGGGAAGTTAATGTCTAGGATATGTTAGGCCTCCCATTCCAATGAGATTCCCAGGGGCTTCTATGGACTTGTTGATATGTGGATCTTTATGATCTTATTTCTTTAAAGTTCACTTCTTGGCAAAAAGCCCTGGGAACAATGAAGAATTGGGCTCCTTCATGGAGCTGAGAGGGTGTGCCTGTAGAAAGGGTACAGAGAATTGTGTTCCATGATTTTGCAATTTCATGAGCCTCTCTGTTATTGTTTTTCTTTGTATCAAGGAGGGAAAGACTCAAATCTGTAAATGGTTATATGCAGAAAAAGGCTAGCTTGCAAAAAGGCCTGGCCAGAGCTTTTGTTATGTTGAGAACTCTGGATGGATAGGTTGCCATGTGAGCAATTCAGAAGGGGTCTCTCAGTGGGACAAGCTGGGTCAGCGTGGGCTGCAGAGGTGGGGGCCTAGGCCTGATGGTGAGGTGCACTGCCCGACATGCAGAAGCTGAAGTTGCAAGGAGCTCCAGCTTATTGACATTTACTAGCTTGGCCAAGTCCAACGGTGACCTTTTGCATTTGCACCAGCGTGTTCCATCCAGCTCAGACTGCCTGGTAGTTTTATCCTTCCAAGGGAATTCTTTGGCTTGCCTGAAAAGGAAATCAATTGTTGGAGGGGCAGGCTTCTGGACAGATTTATTTTAAGCTTTATTGTAATAGACTACGGTAGATAATAGTTGCAATAATATTGATAATACTCAGTTTTCTTTCACATATATCACCCAGGGGTAAAAAGAAGCATTCTAAAAACTACCTTGAGGTTCTTGGTCTGTTGCCTTTGTCACAGGGAGGTATTGCTTTGCCAGTCATCTTGGTTTCCTCTTTACATTTGAGTCAATAAGACAAGAGGAGTATAACTCTGAAGGCTCCTCCATCCTCCTCCTTGTTTCTGTCACAAGGCCTGAGTCACCCACTGCAGAAACAAGAAGCAAAGGCCACACAAATCCATACTATATGTTTCCAAAAGGTGAGATGGAAGGAAGTTTCTAGCGGATACCTTTAGATCAGTTTTCCTACCTTAAGACTAAAGGCGGTTGGGTTGAGGAAAAACGAGGGAGACCCCACAGTTAGAGAATGATGAACTAGGAGCTTCCAGCACAGCAGAAACTACTCATTACCAGAGTTAAATAGCAGCCAAGGTAGCACACATTTATCTTTGTCACTGTCACCCAGTGAGAATGACCAATCATCAGCCAGATAGTCCCCATAATCAAGTAATACTTGTGCTTAAGATGTTGCCTGGCCTCCATTCAAGCACCCCATGCAGACAACCCTTGTTTAATGGGCTTCCAGGATTCTCATGTATCCTGAAGAGAAGGGTGGACACTGCACTCTTAGAGGCCAGCTTCTGGCATGAGAGGGAAGCCTCTGCATTCTCACTAAGGTGGGACTAGATGGAGCCAAACCTGGAATTCTGACTGAGCTTGGTCAGAGGTGAAACTCCCTGTCAGAGTTGTGAGTGTTTTTTTGGCATCTGCTCTCCCTGTCTCAACAGCACGAGGTGTCTGAAAAGAATCCCAAACAGTGTGCAGGAACTTCAGGTTCAGTGCTGATTCACCAGTGACCAGTCTGTACCTTGGGGAAGTCCTCCCAGAGCTTTCCTTGGGTATCAGCTGTTTCAAGTAAAAATAACAGGCTAAGTGAGTTCCATAAGGTTTGGGGCTAGATCACCTGCTATCTCACTGCCTACCTTATGGCCTTGGGCAAGCTGACCCTCACCTCTTTGAACTTCAGTTCCTTATCTATGCATGGAGGATTTAAATATATACCTCAGATAATAAAATCGGACATGCGTGAGACAGTCATTTCCAACCCTGGCTTCATATTGGAATCATCTGGGAAGCTTTAAAATACACCAATGAAAATTATCAAGAATTCCATCACTGCGGGCCAACCACTGTTGATAATTTGATGCATTTTCTTCAAGTTATTTTTCCACCATGCTTATGCTCAGCAATTAACTTAATCAACAGCTATTTATCACTATTGATTGCATATCCACTATGTACCAACCACTGTTCTGGGTGCCACACTAGGTTACTACAGTGAGCATGACAAATGTGATGATAATTTTGCATTCTGCCTTTCCCACTCAACGTTTTACTTTGAGTGTATTATCCTACCTTGTTGAATATTCTTGCAAATCCAGGGTTGTTAGTGACTAGATTATAGTCTACTTCATGCTTATACCATGATATAACTGCTGCTGAACATTTATATTATTTCTCATAACTATTCAGATCTTTTAAAATTTTAAAACATTTTATTGCAGAAATATTGAAACATTATTTCTGCTCCTCCACTGGCTGACTACTTCTACCTTCTGCCAAACTAGGGGTAAAACTCAGCCACTTCTCCCAAAACACGCATCCCCCATATCCACACAGGCCCTCTCTGCTGCCCTCGGATTTTTACCAGAGCTTCAGCTTTGGAGTGAGGCCTCTTTCTGCACCTTCTGTCCACATCCCTGCTTAATTTTTCTCCATAGCACTTGTGTCATCCTATATATTTAAATTTTATTTATAATTTGTAAGCAGAGTTGTTTCCTACTTGGATCTCTTTACTATTGTATCCCCAGTGCCTGGACCAGGGATTTGCTGCATGAATAAGTAACACTTATCACAGCCCATTCCCAGTGGAGATGGGAAGGAGGGAACTACAGAGCCTAATTTCAGAACAAAGTTAAGGTGCAAAATCTCTTCTACTCTTGACTGTCCTGTCACCAGATTTGTCCTGGGACATGGAACTACAAGAAGCCATTCTCTAATGCCTTGCTCCAGGGAGCTGGGAGCTGGATTTCCTGTATCAGTATTGGTGCCGCTCTTTCTTCAGAAAGTTTGACCCTGAAGTTATCCACAGTGATTGGTCCAGTTCAATATCTATGAATATAAGCAACTCCCAAGAATTAAATGGTTCTGAGCAGACACAAAGGCATGGGCTCACAATGTCAGCTATTTGCAGGAGATGTTGACTCTCAGCCGTGTGGAGGCCTTTGTGTTTTTAGCTCATGGGTCCATGGGAAAAGTGTCAGCTGCCTGTAGCCCAGGTGAAAAGATGACTGGTATTCCCTATACCTGAGTCAGACAGCTTTGGGGGACCCTTTGTTATTTGTGTTCAGAATGGCAGACAGATCAATGAAATTCATTTTCAATCCCTAAGCCTTGTTAAACTGTAGCTACGGTCCAGCCTAGGGCTGAGGCATTGAGTGAAATAGCCTAAAGACAGGAAAAGGGCAGGGAAGGAAACCAGCAGTTATGACATATCTGCCAGAGCCGGCATCTGATTTATTTATTTGTTTATAATTTTTTTCTAAAATAGAACTCAAGATAAATAATACACACACAGGGTTAAAAAAATCAAATAATGTAAAGGACTTAAAATTGAAAGTCATCCTTCCACAGACAGCTATGAGTCATTTCTTCAGTCTCTTAGTTTTCCCCACCCAAAGGCACCACTTTTAGCAGTATTTGTGCATTCTCTTCAAAAATGTGTGTATGCATACACGTTTAAATACATGGCAGTATACTATACCCACTTTTCTGCACCATGTTTTTTCACTTAATATATCTTAGCAAATGTTCCATAGCAGATCAAATAGATCTTAATTTTTAAATGCTTCATCATATCTATTATTTGACTGAACTATAATTTTTTACCAACTCCCTCCTGTAGATTTTAGATGTTTACAATTTTTGCTATTAAAAAATTGCTGTGATAAACATCCATATATTTCTATGTTAAATAATCTTCTTAAATTGATTATTTAAAAATTTACTCATCTGCATAAAGAACTAAAGAAATATAGAAAAGCACAAAGAAAACAATAACATTAATGTAGAGATAGCCATCATTAATATTTTAGTATGTTTCCTTTGTTTTCTTGGTAGTTTACTTTTATATTAATATTAATAAAACAGTGCAATTCTTTATTCTTTACTTCACTTAAACGTATTGTGAGAATTTTCCTGTATCATTAAACAGTCTTCAAAAGCAACACTTTAGAACACGAGAAAATTATCTATCCTATGGCTAGACTGATTTATTTAAGAATAAATATTTTAGGACCTACTGTTGGATGTTCTGATAGTTTCTGTTTTTATTTTTTGTTTGTATATGCAGTGCTTCAATATACATGTTTGTACATAAATAATTTTCTGAGTTTCTACTTCCTGAGGGTTTGACATAAGAAGCATATAAACTTCCCGTTAGTTCCTTAATATGAACTACTAACTTGCTTTCTCCTCCTTTTAGGCATAATGTAAAATTACACTGCTCTACTGCCTTGAAGTTAGAAGAGCCTGTGTGACTTGCTTTGGTCACTAAAATTCCACTGATTGAAATTGACATATGTCACTTTCAGATGGAAGCTTACGTGGCCAGGTGAAAATTAGTTTTTGCCCTCCTGCCAGGACAACCAGGGACATTCTGGATGGTGGAAGCTCTATGTGCCTGGGTCTCTAGGGGAGGAGACTTGGGGCAAAGAAAACTCCCCGTCATCCCTCACTGGACACTTTGCATAAATGAGAAATAAACCTTTGCTTTTAAAAAGGACTGAAATTTGATTATCGTTTTTGATGGGGTTCCTCAAGAGCATTAAGTCTAAATGCCCCCAGACATCCATTGTAGGTAATGAATTATTTTCTCTCCTATATATCTAAATAGTGCTAATTATGTACCAGCCACGAGAGAATTGAGAGAATTGTCACTCTATCAGAGAAATCACACCCACCCTTGTTGCTATAGAAATTGTTTATTGTAACCAGACGTAAGGCAATCATCACGTGGTATTTCCTTAAAGGAATTGATTCAAGGATGCATCTGAAAAAGAGTGTGATTTTCTGAGCTATCATAAGCTAAATTTTTTCTTCCCTCTAGATACTGTCATGTCTGAATGGTAGTCCTGAGATTGCGGCAGCCCTCACATGATGAGCCAGAGGAGGAAGCCTCATGTGAAAGAAAGCAGGACCCACAGCCATAGTTGCACAGATCTATTCAAGCCACGCTGATCACTGCGCTAACCTCTGGATTTGTTTGGTTACAGCAGTGAGTTTTCAGTTACTTGCAGCCTAACACATATGTTGCTTGAGGTTTAGCTTTTCTGGATCGCCCTTTTTCTTAGCCCTCCACTCCCAGCCCAAGGTGGCAATAGAGAAGGTCAGCCTACCTCCCATCACTCCCTTGCCTTCCGCTCCTCACTCTGAGTGGGCTCTTTCCCTCACTCAATTCTTTTTTGGCCTCCTATCCTGGTGACCTGTAATGAAGAGGAGTCCTCATAATTAATCATTTGGACCAACCATGACTTTAGCTCTGAGGTTTGTGTAGAGCCCAGCCCTTCCATGGGGAACCTAGTGTGGATGCCCTAGCCTTTCCCAGAAAATCACCCTTTGAGCACTTCTCAGTTTGCTTGACAAGTTCAAAGTCATGAGCATTTTTGAGGTAGAGTGGAGAGGACTCCACCAGACTATTTCCCCCTAGGATGCTGAGAGAGTGAGAAAGAGGGTTGGTGCATACTCAACTGAAAGGAGATGTAAAGGACAACCGTGTGCTCTTCCAGATCCATTGACCCATGCTCTGCTCTTTTTCACCCTGGCCTGTGCCCTGTGAGACTGAGCTCTGCAGACTACACCACCCAAGCTCTCTTGCCTTCTGGCTTCTAGATTGGTAGGGCCAATAGGAGGCAGCAGCAGGAGATTAGAAGGAGAGACTGTCAGGTAGGGATATTATTCCCTCAACACTGGGAGGATTGGCATCCCTTTAGGACCACAGCTCCTGCCGAGTGCCCTTCATCCACAGCTGTGTCTCTCCCCAGAATCTGGGATCTTTGTCTCTCTTTACTCCTTTAGGCTAGGGGTAGTAATGGCTCCCTGGTATTTCTAGTCCCAGGGTGTTTCATCAGCTCTTAGGCATTCCCCACTGACCTCTGTGTATGCCTCTGTCAATAGAACAATTAAACTCCTTCACTTGAAACCTTTAAATGTGCATCTGCTTCCTGCCAGAACCCTGTAATGAATAACAGTTCTATGATTTTATTCCTGTTTTACAGATAAAAAAATGGGGACTCAGGAGTCCAAATGACCTGCCTTTAAAAAGTCACTGGTAGCAAAGGGTGAAGCTGCTTTGAGACCATGTTTTCCTGATCCAGGTTTTGTAATTGATCAACTCAATCCCTTGATGCCCACCAATCCCTACTGGACATCAAGAGTGAGAGTCACAAGCAGATGTCTCTCAAATGGGAACTGGCTGTCACATATGGTTAGTTTGATTTGTTCCAGGTTTTAAAAATCAGAGAATTTCACAGAATTCTAGATTTTTTACTTCTACTGAAAAACCAGAAAATCTGGAAGCAATGACATTATATTCTTTTGTGGAGTCAATGGCCTGGAACCAAACAGCAGCTTCCTCCTTTAGATGAGGTATGAGATTTCTGGTCCCCACAGTCCACACCTTTCCCTATTGCCTTGCAACTGGATCACTCTGCCCATGGCTGTTCCCTATCCAGACCCTGGATGCATTGGGTTTATGAATCCTGGCCTTGAATCTCAATGATGTGTTCCGCATTAGCCAGACAAGAATGCCTCGCTAGAATGTAAACTCCATGAGGGCAGGAACTGTCATCTGTTTTCTTGACTGTGTCTAAATGTGCCTTAGAGCAGTGTCTGGAGTGTACTCGACCTGCAATACAGATTTGTGAGTGAATGAATGAATGAATGAATGAATGATATCTTTGTGTGGTCTATGTGTTTTGGGGCTGATAGTCTGCTGAAAATGCGGGATCCCCTAGGGAGCCATGAGAAGTAGCAGAAGCCAAGAAAATTCTTCTGACTGAGACATATTTGCAGGGCCGTCTTGTTTTAAATCTCTATCAGACTATTTTGGTCTCTTCTTTCGCTTTTTTGTAGTTTAATACCATGGAGATTCCATCTCTTCCCCTTGCTGGGCTTGGGTTTGGGGACAGACACCCTGAATGTTGCAGACTCCACTTCTCTTACTGTCTACATCCTGCCCACTGGAACATTCTACTCCATCACCCTGAGGCCCCACAAGTATAAGCCCATCAGGCTTCTGGATCACAGCCAGTGTTGAGGCTATCTTTAAGGGTTCTTTTTTTCTCCTTCCTTAATTAGATTCTAGCATTCAATATACCTGCTTTACATTCAGAGCTCCAGATGTTTTGGGTGGATTCTTGGCAAAGAAAGGACATTTGGGCCTAGATGAAAGGTGTCAGAAATAACTGGGCTTGAAAATCATTGGGCTGCTGGAGATGAGATGGTTGGATTCAGAGATAGTGAAAAAGGAGACCTTCAGCGACTTTCTCTTCCTGTTTGGATCCACATAGAACCTCAAAGAGGCAAATTTCATCCTCCTGGCTCCACTGTGACTCCTTAGGCGGGAGTCAGGCACGCTGGGGCAGCAGATGGTCTATCTCCCCTAAACAGTGTGACAGAAGTGGGGCATGCTCATTTCTTGGCATCTGCTGGTGGAAGTCAGTTTTGCTGCAATGCGATGGCAACTTTCTATCAACCATGCAGAGACTGGCTTGGGAAGAAGTGAGCCCCCAGTCACTGGTGATTCTCAGGGCTTGTTTCCCCAGAGCTAGCTCCATGTTGAAGCATGGTGTTGGAGTTTGCCAGGCAAATGGCAACTCTTCACGAGCACATGCTCTTGCTGGGCACAGAGGTAGCTGCATATCGGTTGTCTCTTTTCATCCTGACTTTATTTTATATATACAGAAGCTGAGGCTCAGAGAATTTCAATGACCTTCCCAAAGTCACATAACCAGTAAATCCTAGAGCCGGAATTTGAACCCAGAATCCCAAATCCCCTGTTGTTGATGGCAGTACTTTGCTTTAAAAAAGATGGAAAGACCATCTGTGAAGAGGATGATGTGGATATACAGGATAAAGGATGAAGCACCCTTCATTTAGGGCCTGACATGGCTGGGGACCAGTAAGAAGTTCACGGTAGCTGAGGCAAGTTGAATTCAGTTGGAAACCAGATTGACCAGATTGCAAATGGCACCAGGGTAACTGTCCTGGGGAGAGAGGCCAGTTTTTTTTAAAGACAAACTTAATCATATTTTAAGAAATATGGTGAACAAACACATAAACGGTCCTGCTTGGGTATTGGAGTAAAGCTGAAAGATGTTAAAATCTAGACAATGAATAAGGAGCCCGTGCTCACTTAACATTTTCACCACTTAATCCTTAAATCCTCCGTTGCCCGCCCACACTCCGCAGCCAGGGCCAAAAGGGCTTTGGCTCCTCTTACACAGAAACTGTAGCTGCTTCTGTGGTGAGCCACAGCTCCCCAGGGCCCGGCCTCTGATGAGGGTCAGTGACGTCATCTTCGGCAGGAGTTTCAGACGGAGAATTCCCCCAAGACCTCGAAATCAATATGTCTCTGCCCCGCTTTGCCTTTCCAGCCAGAAAATATGCCCATTACTTGACTTTTGTCTGCTGCTTTAAGATCTCAGCTTGTTACCAAGCTTGACATGCCTTCTTATTCTCATCTCCGCCCACCTTCAACCCATTCATTGAAGCCCAGCTCGAGTATGGTAAACTTCAGAGCACTTCAGCAATAGAAATTCTCAAAGTTAGCAAAGTCATTTTCCGTTTGTCCTCTGTGGCTTCTTCAGTTACTAGAGAAGAAGCATCGGGGGCTCTAGAGTACCCTTCCCCCATGTCTTTTTGAGCAGATGCTCTTTTATCTGTTTTAGATTTTGAGTTTCTGCATGTAATTATTTTTGAACTGGGACTGAAACAGTTCAGAACACACCTCCTTATGGCATACTTGCACCAAGGTGGTGGAGGTGCTTGGGAAACCATCTGATTGCATGGCCTCTCTCAGTCTTTTCCCTCCTGTTTTTCTTTTTCTGGGAAAGACTGCATGAGACCCATATGGCAGGGCAAGTGGGAGCCATAATGTGGGTTCATGAAAGGAGCACGGATAATGGTCACTTCACAGCCTCACTTTCATTACTGAGAAGGTGGATGGAGGAGAATTACCATGCATCTCATTAAATCAATATTTTATTTCCTCCCTGCTCCCAGCTGCCCTCCCAGCTTTGATCTCTTTGCCTCTGGGGCAGTGCTGGACAGGTGACTTTCATGATGCAAATCAGGGTCGGCGGGCTGTCTGCCCAGGCTTTGATCTCCTACCTAAGAGAAGGCTGGCAAGGAACGCCATGGGCCCCAGCCCCAGGTTCTCTGTAACCTTAGGCGAGGTGGAGCCTGTGGAAGGACTGTTCTTTTGTCTTTGTGAACAGCAGGAGCCGTTAAACTACCTGAGTTCCAGTAATGTACACCATGTGAAGTGTTGGAGGAGCTAGACAGGAGAGGGCATCTTGTTTAACAGATATCTATTTATCTTATTCAAATATAGGTTAACTAGCTAAGTTTAGAACAAGGCCAAGGCATTGAGAAATAATAGATTCTCCACCTGTCATACTGGGGGCTTCTTTTCTTGACTCTGATAAAAGCTATGCATACTCTCCCTTTCCCCAATATTTGTTTTTCCTTCTTTTGCCATCGCTATTGATGCCTAGCCATGGTTCTGGGGTAGAGAGGAAGAAGGACATGACATAGCGGAAGTGAGAGTTCTTCCCTAAGCACAGTACAGGCTGACCAGGAAGGGGAGGTAAAAGCAATTCTCAGACGTTGCATTTCTGGAGCTTACAGGGAGAAAAAGGAAGATAGAGGGAGGAGAGGCAGGGAGAGACATAAATGTCTTCATCTCCTGATGACCAGGAATCTGATGAGTAACGCTTGGTGCTGGGGATCTGATGCTCTTCTGCTTCATATTTCAGACTCTCAGAGTAGATAATTTTACAGGCTGCCTTTATTAGTGTGAATAGAGTTAGGTTCATGAACATAAATTCTTACATTGTTTTTATATTTCTTATTACATTACAGAATTGTAAAAACCTTGTTAGTGCAAGTAATTATTCATAGACTAGCTTCCGGAAACCTCTGTCCTAGACTCTCTACTCACTAGGTTTCTATTTCTGTCTTGTTCCAGTTGGACTTTAGTTGGTTTGTTTATGTAATAAGGAAAGGAGATCCCCTCAAATTGCTTCAAATAAAAGAATGCTGTTTTAAAGATAGATATGGCTCTGTTGAGGGCTAGAAATCTTGGGCACCAATATCTGTCTTGGAGAGTGTCTTCTCTCCATCTATCCAATATCGTCTCTTTTTAAAAAAAAAAAAAAACCGTTTTTTTGGCCGGGCGCAGTGAATCACACCTGTAATCCCAGCACTTTGGAAGGCCGAGGCAGGTGGATCACAAGGTCAGGAGTTCAAGACCAGTCTGGCAAAGATGGTGAAACCCCGTCTCTACCAAAAATACAAAAATTAGCTGGGTGTGGTGGCGGGCGCCTGTAATCCCAGCTACTTGGGAGGCTGAGGCAGGAGAATCACTTGAACCCAGGAGGTGGAGGTTGCAGTGAGCCGAGATCATGCCACTGCACTCCAGCCTGGGTGACAGAGTGAGACTCTGTCTCAAAAAATTTTTTTTTAATTTTCTGAGTATATAGTAGGTATATATATTAGGTTGGTGCAAAAATAAGCGTAGTTTTTACCATGAAAAGTAATTGCAAAAACCACAGTTACTTTTGCACCAACCTAATATTTATGGTGATTCCTTCTCTATGGTCCTGTTGCTATGCCACAAACCACTCCCAGATGGAGTGGCTCAAAAGAACAGTGATCACTATTTCTCATGCCTCTGTGGGTTGACTGCACTCTCTAGTTCTTTCTCAAGGTGTTTCTTGTAGTTGCAGTCAGGTGGCAGCTGGGGCTAGATTGATCTGAAGGCTGAACCTAGCTAGACTTGCAAGGTGGCCCACTCACATGGCTGCTGGCTAGGAGTTTAGCTGAGGCTGCCAATTCCAGTAACTGTGTCCTCTCCATGTGGCTTGGATTTCTCTTGGCGTGGCAGCTGGGTTCGAAGGGAACATCCCAAGATACCCAGGTGGAAGCTGCAAGGCTTTTTACGGCCTATTTTTGAAAACCATGCTCTGTTATTTCCACCATGTTCGACCAGTTGTAGGGTCAGTCCCAATTCAAAGTGAGAAGACTATGAAAGGGCATGAATGCCAAGAGGACTGGTGGACTGGGAGGGCCATCTCTGGTACCACAGGACCACTCCTTTTCTCACCCATAGTTTATGCTCCCTCATAGCTTTAATTTACTCATGATCCACCCTGACAATTGCCCCTGGACTCTCTAGACACTTTTCCAGGATACTGTTTCAGTTCCTGTCCCTACTCTTACTGGCTTAATCATCCAGTTCTCAAATTTTAAATTCTTGATGGAGGACTCCGCTTGGTCTGAGATTCACTGGACAGCACGTGGATTGCTCTCAGACCCCGTCCCATCAGTTATGGCTAGATCTGGGTGGGGCCCAACAGCATTCAACATAGCGACCCAGATTTGCCTTCTCAATACAACCATGGGTAGGGAGGTCCCTCTAGGAGACATGTCTCATATAAATTATTTTTTCCTTTGCTCTTTCCCATAGGATTTGATAATAAAGTAGTGCAACTCTAAAGGGACCAGGAGTCCAGAGAGGTACGTTTGAGTCCCTCTGTCTTATTATGTCTGATGTCCAGTTTGCAGCTTTTTAAATTCTGCCACATATGAGTTCTATTAGAATAGACTCTATGAATCCTGGAATTTAACCTTGGCCTTTGTTGTCCATGACTCAGAGAATACACTCATGTATCTCAGTGCTTGAAAGGAGAATGGGTTATAAATTCTGGACCCCTTACTTTAGAGATGAGGAAACAGAGACTTTAGAAATGGATTGATTAAAAATTTTGTAAGTATGTAAAGGCAGAGACCTACGAAACTCACCTCTCAGTACTCCAAATACAGCACTCCTCACTTCACTGCACTGCTTCCCTGGGAGGAAGAGGCAACTTAGGAGCCAGTGAAGGTGGACACGCGGAGCTCAAAAGATAGCAGGTGGGCTCATGTTGACACCACCAACCCCCATGCTCACCACCTGAGAATTCAACAGCCAGATTTCTGCTGCCAGGTTGGCTGCTGGCATCTGCATCCAGCTGACCTGCTTCTAAGATTGAATGCAAGTTTCACTCAGCCCAACTCTCTACCCATCCCAGTGACCAGCATTGGCTCAGAATCTTCCATTCCAGCCCTTGTTTCTCAAAGGGAAAGAGGTCAGCATCTTGGCACATCTCTTTAAAGTCATGTTCACATGCTGCAGTAGGCTCTCTGGGGAGCTGGATAATATTCTGAGCTTAGTGACTTCAGCCTGTATAAACTCATGGAGTATTTACTTATATGGGATTTTTCAACCCAACTTTCCAATGTGGGCTGAAGAATTAGGCAAAATGCCGTGCATTTATCCTGGGAGTCATAAAATGGATTCTGCAGAGTGGTATTGGTTGAAAAATAGTTCTCCATATGGAACGTTGAAGAGTGCTGAAGAACCACCTCCCTGGAAGTTTTTTTTTTTAAGATAAAAACAATAATGCTTATGGCTTACAGATAAGTTGGGTGACAGGAAGAGCAAGATTTCTCAAGGTTTTGTTCAGGTGCAGCTCTTAGGAAGTAGTATTTTTCTTAAGTATAGTAAAGAAGAAGATATATTTCCCAATGTCAGATTTTTAAAAAATTACATCCTTGAAGCAGAACTGAGTCATTAAGGTCAACCAGCTTTGGGTCTACTTAGAAAAAAATTGTAAATTCAAGCAATCTTGCTTTCCCTAATCTATCATTTCTTTTGATATCTTTTCATTCCCATTATGGAAGCCCCTTTCTTTCCCTTGAAGTGGAATGCCATTCCTTTACTTCATTACTAAGATCTGCTAGAATGATGCATAATCTAACGTATATTGAGTGATGTTCATCAGCCAATATATTAATTAATTTAGGAGAGGAACTTCTCTGACATTTCTGAAATTGTTGCAGGCAGGAAGGCTCCTCTTTTACTTTATTCATGTATTGACCCTAGAAGAGTCTCTTGGCCTAGAGTAGTATCTTGGAAATAGCACTGTCTGTGGAGCCAGAAAGACCCATAATGTATTTCTGACTCAGCCACTTACTAGCTGGGTGGCCCTGAGCAGTTACCAACTTCATGAGCCTCAGTATTCTCCTTTATAAAACAATAGCTATTAGGGTGAACTCTATGAAATTGTCATTCCAATATCTCACCCTAATATCTCCCAGGGTTGTCATGAGATTTAAAGGAGGTAATGTGTGCAAATGGCAAAGTGTGGGCACATGGCTTATCACATATCAGATGCTCCCTTCGGGTTAGTTTTCCTGTTTGTTCAGTCTCCTCTAAGGCAATGACAATGGTATTATTTACTCTTTCTTTCTAAATATGAAAAACAGATCACCACCCATTTTCCATGGAAAGTCCCTTCATCATTTATTTCTGTTTCTGGTTCATGTGTTGAAATAACAGAGAGCTACTGAACTGGTAGGATTTCTTTACATTCAGAGCTTTCTTATCATAACTAATAATGGCCTCTTCCCCTCCAATCTTTTTTTTTAAATATTTTCCTCCAAAATATGCTTTGCCCCAGAAACTGGTTATTTACACTACGTATGTTCCAGAAATCCCTTGTAATGAACCATACAAATCTATTTGTCCTGCTGCTACTATAATTGCCTATATCTTATTATAACTTAATATGTAACAGATTTTTTTTGGCGAGACCAAAAGCAACTGAGCATTCACTGAAAACGCAGACGCTAAAGGTTGTTGAGGAGCCAGTGAACCCACTAATTGGATAAAGGGGGGATGGTGTGGAAATGTAATTAAACTGGCATTTGCTCTAGCTGCTGAAAATATTAATCAGAAAATGAGTTGTATAAAAAAGGTAAAAGGCAGGAGATGACATTAAAAATACCATCAGTGCTGTTCTTCCTGGCATTGATGAGAACAGGCTCTGCTTTCTTTCAGGAGGTGTTGGTCATCTGTCCATTGAGCTCTGCCGACAGCTTGCTTGGGCAGAGATCACAAAGAAAGACACTTGGAAAGCTGTGAGTTGGGAGGAGGAGTGTGAGATTCTTGATTTGGGGACCAGATGCATCTCTTGGCAGCCCTTGATACAAACATAAAGATAAAATATGTGTCTGAAAAAAAAGAAGAAAAAAGCCAATTTTCCCACTTCTTCTAAAGAAGTACTCCTCCCAACAAAAGATGAGCCGAACATCTGCATCCAGTCAAGCAATAATACTTAAACAATTGTCAAATTTGAGAGAGGTGGATGAGGTTTTGAACCAGGCATTTAAATACAGCCATAACCCAGGAGCCTCTGGACAGATACCACCCTCCCTAGGCCTGAAAACAAGAGTGGAGGAAGGCAAACACAGATGGGAACGCTTGTGTTTGGTCCAGGAGCTGCTCTGATAGGGCTGTTTAAGTGCTCTGAATGGCCTGCACAGTGGTCCCCCTAGAGACATTGCCCCCATCACCACTGGGGACACTTCCTGGTCCATGGGATGTTTCAGTTCAAGGGTGCCTTGCTTTAAGAAAATCTACTATGTGAAAATGGGAACTTGCACAGTGTGTTCTTGCTATTTTGTCAGGATTGCTTGTTTTGTTTTGTTTTGTTTTGTTTACCATTTGGGAAAACTCTGATGACCAATGCTGATCTGGGATGAAATTTATTGCAATCCTTTTATGTAAATTTCTACTTCTTGAGAGTGACCAGAGCCCTGCATACCTCTGTCCCCACATGTGACTCTGCTGAATGGGCACACTTTCCTGCAACCCCTGTTGCTGAGACCCCTGGTTACCTTCCCTGCTCTTCTTTTTTTGACCATGTAGCAAGAAGAGCGAGCAAGGAACTAGAAAGTGAGGGGCTATTTTTTCCTGGCTTCTTTAGTTTGCCCAGGATAGTCTTGGCATTAGTTTCCTAGGGCTGTTGTGACAAATTTACTATAAACTGGATGGCTTAAAAAAAAAAAAAAACAGAAATTTATCGTGTCACAGTTTTGAACAGCAGAAATCTAAAATCAGTGCTGATAGGGCCATGCCCCCTCTGAAGCTTCTAGGGAAAACTATTTTCTCGCCTCTTTGTAGTTTTTCGTGGTTGCTAGCAGTCCTTGGTGTTCCTTGGCTTGTAGACCCATCGCTCCAGTTTCTGCCTCCGTCTTCACATGGCTGTTTTTCCTCTGTGTGTGTCTCTGTGTCTCCCTCCCTTCTCTTATAATGACCCCCGTCACTGGACCAGGGCCCACACGAATCCAGTATAACCCCATTTTAACTTGATAACTCTGTAAAGATTCTATTTCCAAACAAGGTCACATTCACAGGTACTGGGGATTGGGACTTTGCCATATCTCTTTGGGAGATGGAATTCAACCCACAACAATGTTTATTGAGAGAAATGGTATTATTAGGTATACTTCTTCCACTTAGGTCCACATGCTTGTGTCAACCTGGATTTTATTTTATTTTTATTTTTTATTTTTCGAGACGGAGTCTCCCTCTGTCGCCCAGGCTGGAGTGCAGCGGCATGATCTCAGCTCACTGCAACCTCCGCCTCCCAGGTTCAAGCGATTCTCCTGCCTCAGCCTCCCAAGTAGCTGGGACTACAGGCACGTGCCACCACACCTGACTAATTTTTGTATTTTTAGTAGAGATGGGGTTTCACTGTGTTAGCCAGGATTGTCTCCATCTCCTGACCCTGTGATCCGCCCACCTCGGCCTCCCAAAGTGCTGAGATTACAGGCATGAGCCACTGCGCCTGGTCCAACCTGGATTTTAAATAAGGTCTATGATAGAAACAAAAATTGAATGTTCGAGCTTCTATTTATGTACTTCTGGTGAATGTGTGTTCCTAACATGATCAAACTTGTACCAAAAAATAAGTTACATTCAAAATAACACCACGAATTAAATGTATCTTGCCATTTTTCAACATTTAAAAGCTTTTAAAATCTCTATTTAAAAACCAGTGCACTAATGCCAACTGTCGTCTCTTAATTCATTTTGAGATTATAGCCTTTTTGCATTTTGGTGTTAAGATATCCCATCTATTATTATGAAATAAGGATAATTGCAAATGGTATTTATTTGTTTTTAACATTTATTTTATAATATCCTAACTTGGCAAAATAAAATATTGGCAGTCCTCTGTCAGTCCTAAAATATTTGAGGCCATTTTACTACTCAATAAAATCTAAAAGTGTGGGAATCATTGTAATAGGAGATATCTATTTTCATCCCTTATGCCTAAAGAGTTTCCTTTATGAAAATAATCTGCTCTTTAATAGAGACCACCACTAGTTTCACAAAGTTTGGGTTTTTATTGTTGTTTTTCATAAAATTAACTATTCATCTAGGAATGGGATGGAGTAAGAATTTGGAGAGAAACCTAAAACTGACCACAATGAATCACAAATTCAGGAACTTTGAAATGTGGTTGCCAATCCATATGGCAAGTTAATTCTGGTTTCCAAAAATTTTGCATGTTCCCAGCTTTGCAGGGGCCCATCTCCTACATCAAATTCACGATGTCATTTTCAAATTGTGATGCTGATGCCTGAATGCATGGAAATGATTCAATATTTTGTTTGCAAAACCCAAAATGCCACCAGTCTCCATCAAAGTGGCCTGAACATCTCTCTGTCTCCTGACTGTGATTTTGGAAGGCCCAGCTTGGCACCAGTCATCCTACAAGTTAGCAGGTCACAGATAGGATAGTAGAATGAATGAGTAGTTGAAAACACAGATTTCTAGATTTCCTAATGAGAAAAACTAGTTCATATCTACACATTTCAGCAGTAATGGCCTCTCATAGTGCAAGGGAAGTGAGGCGAGTCTTAGACCTGACAGTCAGACAAGATTGACTCTGGATATTGTCACTTAAGCTTATCAAAGCTCTCAGAGCTCTCAAGAGAGGTTGATTAATTATTGACAGGCGGGATATGAGGAAATGCTGACTGGATCATGATTACCTAGTGACAGGAGTCAACGCTGACAAATGGCTTAATAAAGTCCACCCACGCTTTCCAGCAAGGACCTAGGGAAAGGACATGGATTCCTATTGCAAGTAGACAACTGGAAGAACTTCCTCTCAGGACACTGAGGAGAGTTTTCAAATGAAATTGTGATGTCATTTTCCCAGAAATATTTTAGGTTTAAATGAAAGGACACGTGCCTGAAATGGGTAGACAAGTTATTTCCTCATGGGGTAGGAGAGAATCACTGAGCTGCATCCCATTGTAATGGCTGGGATTGAAGTTCCTCTTTGGAGGTAGAGGAGAACCAAGTGCTGAGAAGAGGCAACACAGCTTCAAAGACCTGCCCCAAATCCATCAAAAACAGTTCTTGCTCTGTCCCCTAGGCTGGAGTGCAGTGGCAGGATTATAGCTCACTGCAGCCTCGACTTCCCAGGCTCAAGCAATCCTCCCTTGGGCGGGGCCCCAAGTAGCCTCCTGAGTAGCAGGGACCAGAGTTGGTAAAATATGCAGATGTGGAACCTCAGGTTATGGAGGGCCTACTGTACGTGTGTGTGTGTGTGTGTGTGTGTGTATATATAGTTAACATTTGCAGTGCACAGATATTTTCATCCCCTTCCCTGAAGATGAGGAGGTGAAGATGGCTACACAACAGTCTCATGGCAGGTTAGCTGGTCTAAGGAGAAGGTGCTAGAAGGAAGAGGCCTTCTGAAGCTTGTGACTCAAGCACTCCCCACTGCTCTGCTTGTATGGTGTTAATAAATGCTATATTTCGCTCACAAAATATATACAGAATAAGAGCTATGTTTCATATAAAAATGACTCTTCTTCTACAGTCTCACTATGTGTTCCTGTGAGTACAAGGAGTGAGGGCTTGGCTCTCTTTACCAAGGCACTGTCTGTCTCCAGCTGTATTCACAGCACACATGTAGGTGCACTTATGTACAGATACGCCCTGTCTCACTGACACAGGACCCAGGGTCAGTTTTCATTTTGGTGAATGATAATTTCTAGATTAGGTCATTTTCATATGGAGTTTGCCTATTGGGGCATCCTAATCTGAGGAAAGGCCTTTGTGCAGAGAAGAAGAATTTCACCCCTCTTCTTCAAAATTCTGCCTAAGTCTAGAGGGAAGGAAGTTCTATACTCCCACTCCCACCCCTACATATATACATATTTACTTTAACAAAGCACTGCTAAGTCAAGGGGTTGAGCAAGGGGCATTTGCTGGGCCTCTAATGCTAGTGGGAGTTACCTGCATCAAGCCTCAGATTTGGTCTTTCTCCTCCTTGGGCCTCCTGATGCTACTTACAGGGGGATATTCTCACACTCACTCACAAAGAGATGAAAGATCTCTACAATAATTGGATATCATCCAATAGGGTATTAATATCTGGAATATATAGGGAACTCAAACAACTCAACAGCAAAATAATAATAACAACCTGATTTTAAAAATGGGCAAATGGTCTCAAAAGACATTTCTCAAAAGAAGACATATAAATGGCCGAGAAATATATGAAAAATGTTCAATATTGCTAATAATCAGGGAAATGCAAATCAAAACCACACTGATTTTTGGTAGGAATATAATTAGTACAGCCACTACAGAAAAAAGTGTAAAAGTTCTTCAACAAACTGAAAATAGAAATACCATATGATCCAGCAATTCCACTACTGTCTGTATATCCAAAGGAAAGGATGTCAGCATGTTGAAGAAACATCCGCACTCCCATGTTTATTGCTGCACTGCTCACAATAGACAAGATATGGAATCAACCTAAGTATCCATCAGCAGATACGTGGATAAGGAATGTGTGGTATATATACTCAGTGGAATGTTATTCAGCCATAAAAATAATGAAATTCTGTCATTTGCAGCAACTTGGGTGAGGCTGGGGACATTATGTTGAGTGAAATAAAACAGACACAGAAAGACAAATATTAGATATTCTCACTCATATGTGGGAACTAAAAAAGTTGAGCTCATAAAAGCAGAGAGTAGAATTGTGGTTACCAGAGTCTGGGAAGGGTACTGGGGGATAGGGAAAGGTTGGTTAACAAGGACAAAATTACTGTTAGAGCAATAAGTTCTAGTGTTCTATAGCACAGCAGGGTGACTATAGTTAACAATAATTTATTGTTTACTTCATAGTAATTAGAAGGGAGAATTTTGAATGTGCCCAACACAAAGAAATGATAAAATTGATTTCATCATTACACGTCATATACATGTATCAAATATCACATGTGCCCCATAAATATGTACAGTTATTGTTTGTCAGTTAAACACAAATTTTTAAAAGGTGTTTATAAATGTCCTAAATTAAAGACACAGCCTTATCCTACGGGATTTTCTGAAGCTGGCTTCCCCATTTTCTGTTCTCCATAGTTATAGGACAGGCTGGCAGGGGCAAGACTCGCTGGGGCCAAAGTAGACGTGTATGTTCTTGATGCGAGCTTTATATCCCAAACATATTGATTTTTATTCGGGAGTTTACCTAAACCATTTTTAGAGTTATTTCTATGTGCACAAGCTAATGAATCCAAGGATTCCTGCCTGCTTTGTAAAATAGCATTTTTAGCTACTGCTGATCTGACCCCTGGAGGTCTAGTTTTCTGGGACTGTCTGAACCTATCTCTGTTCACTCTATCAACGCCCAGCATGCTATTACACACCTCTCTTTAGTTCTTTCCTACAAGAAAGAATTTCTTCACAAGTACAGATACGTGTTTAAAGAGCCACTCACACATCTCCCTTCTCATCTCTTTGGTGTTCTAGGAGAAATGGAAAGGCTCTAAATATTGGATTATCTTCCTTTTTGAATCTTAACTCTACTCTTTGTTAGGGTGCCTATACCCCCAAAGGCAGTGTAACCTAGTGCCCAAATACATGCCTTAATATCTCACTATCAAGGTTCCCTCAAGTACCAAGAGTATGACTCCTCCAAATATAGGTCCTTATCTAAATGGGGATGATACTAATAATTTCTATACCATATGGGCTTTACAGGATTTAAATAAAACAAGTAATGTAAAGAGATTGGTATAGCATCCCAACTCACAATAATCCTCAGTAAATTAGAATTAGCATGAGCATTACCAATTGGAATTGAAATTAGAATTAGGACAAATATCAAATTAGTACCCATGTCTTTGCACATTTTTTGCCTCTATCTGTATTGGCCCTTCCCCTTGTGAAACTGGTATAAACCAAATCATCCTTCAACATCCAGTTCAAATGCCATCTCTTCCAGGATACCTTCCATGCTCTCCCAGGTAGAATGTATCCACTCCCCTAGTACCTTCTAATCTTTCTCCATGATAATACCAGTCCCTTTAAAAGGCATTCATGTGTTAATGTGGCAACTCACCTGTCCTCAGACTGTCCTTCTGAGAATGGGCATGAGTCTAGGTCATGTCTACACCACCTGTCAGAGAACTTGACAGAGCCGGTCCTTCTTAAATGTTCTGTAATTTGAAAAGAACTGCAAAAACTGCCTATGAGACAAGCAGATCCAGAAGTGTCCAGAGGTCTGATTACTGGGAAAAAAAAATCAAGATGGACCCCTCCAACCCAGATGCACTATATGAATTACAAACAGTGTTTCTTTTCATAGGAGATGGGCCAACTGTGCCGGTTTTGGGGGGCATTGAAAAAGTCTCTGCAAATTACACCATGTCTCTGCCAGAATGATAGGAACTGGTGAGTGTTTCTGCCTTGCCATGTTGTCAGATGCAGTGAAGACACTTGGGCATGTGACAGGGAACGTAGATAGGAGGCACATCACTTCTAGGTTGTTGGTATTGCTTTATTTATCTGTTTCATAGAAAGGAGAGTTGGGTGCTTTATGCTGGTCCTGATCCTTCCCTTGTATTCATGGAAGGCTTCTTTTTCTTCTTGGTATTTATTGCTGTGAGTCACTTCTCTGTGAACCAGAAGGAAGATTCAGAAGCTCCTGGCTGCCTGTGAAGAAACATGAAGACTGGGGTGGAGGTTCAGGCTGAGAGTGGGGAGAAGAAGAGGGCCTGGGTGGCGGACATCTAGATTTGTTTTTAGCTGGCTTTAAGCTCCCAGTCTCCTCCCTCTAGTCCCACGAGGTTTGATTGGCTCTGTAGAGATGGTTACTCTCATGTGTTTTCCCTCTTGCTCATTGAGGCCATCTGTAAATTTGCAGAAGAAACTTAATCACTGTGGGTCATTCATTCGACTCATTAAGCTATTGTTAGATTTGGTAGAAACCAAATCATCCTTCAACATCCAGTTCAAATGCCATCTCTTCTAGGATACCTTCCATGCTCTCCCAGGTAGAATGTATCCACTCCCCTAGTACCTTCTAATCTTTCTCCGTGATAATACTAGTCCCTTTAAAAGACATTCATGTGTTAATGTGGCAACTCACCTGCTAGACTGTCCTTCTGAGAATGGGCATGAGTTTAGGTCATGTCTACCCCACCTGTCGGAGAACTTGACAGAGCTGGTCCTTCTTAAATGTTCTGTAATTCGAAAAGAACTGCAATTTTTTGGCAAAGTTTATTCATGGCAGGCATGAAGGCATGATTTCCTGTGTGAAAAACGTGGGTGCTCAGGTCTGAGATGGTTGTTCTCCAGGCTGCTTACTCTGAAAATAAGTCTTACCTTTGTTTCAGAGAGTGCTGAAGAGGCTGTGTCTCCAGGCTACCAGATGCAACACTGGCATCGTATTTACTCTTCGAGGTTAGGATGACCACATCCATACAACCTGTAGCTTTGAGAACCTAAAGCTGTGGCCCTTTGGACTTGTACATGCTACATCCCTTCCAATAGCTGGGTTGACACGATCTCTTCCTTTGTTTTGTTCTCCTTCTACCTCTCTGATATCACTGTCTCTTTTCTTTCTTGTATTATAGATATAAGCAATATCCTTTACTAGATGATGACCAACTTGTAGGTAGTGCTTGAGAGTGCAGGCCTCAGGGGTTAGGAAAACCAGGGCAGCCTTGAGTTGATGGGTATATCTCCTTGGAAAACTCAAAATCTCTGAGCATTGATTTTCTATCTTCTTTTAAAACCCCTTAAAACTGTATAACGTGAAATAGACGTACAAAAGACATATAAAACATACATATACATAAGTATACAACTTAGTGAGTTCATATAAAGTGAATGCACCCAGGTCACTACCAATCAGGGCATGATATTCAATTTTACCAGGACCTTAAAAGCCCTCTCTGTGCCATTTGTCTATTACGCTCTGTCCCTTTTGCCTAAATAGACACACAATTCTGAATTATATGGTGGAATTCCTTGCATTTCTTTAGTTTTACCACCTAAATATTCCCAAATACTGTAGTTTGTTTTGCCTGTTTAGAATGTAGGTAAGTGAAACTCTGCAGCATGTATTCTTTTGTGCATGACTTATTTTCCTCTATGTTTGTGATTCAGCTTCCTTTTTGTATGTAGCTATAATTCATTTGTTCTTGTTATTTATAGTACTCCATTGTATGAATATACCACAATTTGTGTAGACCTTCTACTTGTGATGGGTATTTGGGTTATTTTCAGTTGGGGCCATCATAAGTAATGCTGCTGTGAATTTTGTCCTGGTCTCCTGGGGCACATGGGCATGGATTTCCGAATTGCTGGGTTGCAGGCATGCAGTATGTCCAAATTTTGTTGATAATGCAGAAGTGTTTCCAATGTGTGCTAATTTATAATTCTACCAACAGTGTATAAGAATTTCTGTTGCTTTCCATTCTCATCAGCATTTGATATTGCCCATCTTTTACCTTTTAGCATCATCTTTTCTTTTTTCTTTTCTTTTCCTTTTTTTGAGACAGAGTCTCCCTCTGTTGCCCAGGCTGGAGTGCAGTGGCTGCCATCTTGGCTCACTGCAACCTCCACCTCCTGAGTACAAGTGATTCTTGTGCCTCAGCCTCCCAGGTAGCTGGGATTACAGGTGCACACCACCACACCTAGCTAATTTTTGTATTTTTAGTAAAGGCAGGGTTTCACCCTGTAGGCAAGGCTGGTCTCAAACTCCTGGCCTAAAGGGATCTGCCTGCCTCGGCCTCCCAAAGTGTTGGGATTACAGGTGTGAGCCACCGCGCCTGGCCCAAAACATTATCTTAATTACTGTAACGTTACAATAAGTCTTAATGTCCAATAGAGCAAGTCTTTCCATTTTATTTTCCTTCTGTAAGTTGTCTTACTCTTCTTGTCCCTTTGAAATTCTATTTATATTTTAAAATCATATTTAAAATTTCCACAGCAAACAGTTTGGATTTTTTTTAATGCAAAATCAATCTGGGGAGAATTGAACATTTTTGCAATAATGAATCTTCTAATTCACAATCAAGGTATATCTCCATCTGTTTAGGATTTTTTAAAAAATTCTCTCATATAATTTTCCGTGAGGAGGTTTTGCAGATATTTGTCAGATTCATTGTTACAAACTTGATATTTTAAAATCTATTATAAATGGCATCTTTTTATAAAGTTGATTTTCAAACTGCTGTTTGAATTTAGAAATGCAGTTGTTTTTTTATATTGATCTTGTTAATTTTTTTAGTCATTTCATTTAGATTATCTTCATTATGCATTGACCCTTGCTGCCCATTATTTTCCTTCTGTTTGAACAGCATCCTTTACTGTTTCCTTTAGTGCAGACCCACTAGTGGCAAATTCTCTCCATTGTCTCTTTGGTCTGAAAATGTCTATATTTCATCTTCATCTTTTTCCAGTTTGTTTGTTTGAATAAAGATCCTAATGAAGTCTATACATCATAATTGCTTAATAAAAATTTTAGTTTTTTTAACCTGTAGTTTTATCTCCATAGATCTTTTCTTTTCTTGCAATTTATTTTTTGAAGCTACTGTTACTTATCCTGTGTAGTTTCCCCTTAACTTCCTGTAGTTTTATCTCCATAGATCTTTTCTTTTCTTGCAATTTATTTTTTGAAGCTACCGTTACTTATCATGTGTAGTTTCCCATTAACTTAGCTTTTGCTGATGGCCTTTCTGGAGTGTCACTTAACATGCTCCTCTCTCTCTTGTATTTTCCACAAATTGATAGTTAGATCTAAAGAATTTATTGGATTCAGATTCAATGATTGGGCATAACAGAAGCAGAGCTACACAGTACATGGCTATTTGATTTATGTCCAAGTGTCACTGCAGAGCAGTGAGGAAAGGATGGCATTTTCAATGAACAGTGCTGGGATAATTAGATATGTGCATGGGGAAAAAGGAATTTGACTCCTATCTTAACACAATACACACACACAAAAATAATTCTAGGTGGATTGTAGACCTAAATATGAAAACAAGCCTTCCCAGTTAGGCATAATATTGAGTGATAATGATAATATGCATCAAGAGGTGCATAAAATCAGATTGCCCTTTTTTGATGACAGAAGTTACTGATGATCAATTCCATCCATATTATGCCAATAACTCTCTCTTAATTTTGGTTATTGCCTTTCATCTAGTGCCTTCTTCAAAAGTACCAATGAGAATAATATTCTTACATGCTCATTGTTTGTTTGGGGCCTTTATCATTGAAAGAGAGTTTAACTGAATACATAACCATCCACATTCTCCTACGTGAGAATTTTAAATATATTACACCATTGTCTTCTGGCATAAAATATAGCTATTGAAATATCAGATGACAGTATAATTTTTTAAATAAGTGACTTCATAATTTTGTCTGGATGTTCAAAGGAATTTTTCTATTTCTATGAGGTTCTATTGTTTTTCTAGAATACATTTGGTATTAGTTGTTCAGGTTTGATTTTCCCAGCTAAGTAGTGTATCATTTCAATATGTATTTTTCATGTCTCTTCATTTCAATTCCCACAAAGTTTTCTTGAATTATAGTTTATTTTTATATTTTTCTGTTTATTTAGAGATGGAGTTTCGCTATGTTGCCCAGGCTGTTCTCACACTCCTGGACGCAAGTGATTCTCCTGCCTCAGCCTCCCAAGGTGCTAGGATTACAGGCATGAGCCACTGAGCCTGGTAAATTGTAGTTTAATATGGTTCCTCACTTGCATTCTCTTATTTTCTCTCAAATAATTTTAGTCTTTTCACTTCAGTTATTTTTTTTCTCCCTTTCACCTTCTAGTTCTCTTGAACCATTATCTATTTTGTTTGCTCATGTGTTCCCTCTAGTTTAATCATTATTTCTGAAATACATTTGTTTTCATTTTTTATTCTTTCTGGAATTCTACCACTTTGTTTCTGAGTTTTAAATTTCTATTATTTGCTCTTCTTTCATGTCTTTTATGGTTTTCTTAATCTCTTGTAGTTTGGTTTGATATATTAGGTTACAATCTTTGTGGACATGTCTTTGTGGTGTATCTTCAGTGTCTGTAGAAATGTTATTATATTCTTCATTTTATTTCTTTCATCATAACTTCATAAGGATAATGATTAATGTTATCTCCTGTTTTTCTTCTTTTTATATGAAATTTTTGTTATTGAACATTTAGGAAGAAGAGTGAATCAGTATAGTTTTTCTAACCTTGCTACTCAAGAGTTCCTCCTTCTGTTGTTTTGTAGAGTGTTAAAAAAAAATGACCTCATATTTCCTGAGACCTCCTGGCTTTTTTACCCTTCCCCTACTTTTATCTGGCTCTTCACTTTCCTGTGCCCTTTTTGATCCTGTTGTATTCAATTTGAAATATTTTATGGAAGTTTTTCTCTAGTGTGGGGTTTCATCCTGAAAGAAACTTTGAGCTGGTTAGTTTTGAGAATCTCTAGGGGTCTGGTTGTTCCAGCTATTGAAATCTTACCACAGGTCCCTTGCCTGCAACTGACAATTGTAATGTGAAAATTCTTCCCAGTTAAAGCTCCTAAATCTCAATTTGGACTCACGCTTTTCAGAGAATAACTACTGGGGATTCTGTGGTTTTCTTTTCAGGATAATCAAATGCCCTGTTGCTTCCCTCTGATTTCTTTTGCATACATGCTACACCACACATGTCCAGTAGCTACCTATCCAAATCACTTGTGTCTTGGGTAGGTGAAGATACCTTATACTTTATTTTTGTTTTATATATTGTTCTTGGTCTCTTAGTTTTGCAATCTCACTTGCTCTAATTTTTATATAATGATTTAGAAAGACTGAAAAACACCCTCTGCCATCACTATAGCTATCTTCCCAGAATTATTCTCTCACCTTTATTCTTGAAAATAATTTTTGCTGAAAATAGATTTCTATAATGGCATTATTTTCTTAAAGCAAATAAAAAGCTGTCACTCCACTCTGCTGGCTTTCCTGATTGCTATTGAAACTTATCTGTCACTCTTATTGCTATTGTTTTAAAGGTTATCTGTGTTTTCCTTTAGTTGTTTTAAAAAATATTTCTTTTCTAAAAAGTTCAATATAATGTGTTTCGGTGTGGGCTTATTTTTATATTTTGCTTAGGACTTATTAGTATATCTCAAATCTGTAGATTAATATTTTTATCAATTTTAAACCATTCTCAGTCGTTATCTCTTTTTCCCTATTTCTTCTGGGTCTTCAGTTACAGGTATGTTGGATCTCCTAACTATATCCTTGAGGATCCTACTTGCTCTTCTCTGTGTTATATACTCATTTCTCCTCAGGCTATTTTCTGAATAGTTTCTTCTGACCTTTCTTCCAGTTTATAAAATCTCTCTTCAGCTGTATTTAACAGACTGTTGAGTACAACCAATGAGTCCCTTTTTCAGCTCTATAGGTTTAGTTATTTTCCAAATCTGCTAAGCCAGCTTTCATAATTTCCAGTTCTTTGCTAAATACCTTAAATTCAACTTTCATATCTATGGAAATAGTAAGCTAATTGTTTTTACACTCTATGCCTAAAAATTGCACTATTTGAAGTATTTGGGGTACATTTCTGTTGTTCTGCTTTTCTTTTTTAATGTTTTCTTATCTCTTCCTGGCTTGTTATCGATTGTGGTCTGGCTATTGTATATAATAATTAATTTATAAAAATAATTTGATGACTGTCATGCTGTTGTCTTTGTCCAGAGAGGATTCTCACTTGTTTTTTTCCAGGTGCTTGTAGGGGTGGGGAATAATAGCAATATAAAATCATCTGAATTCAATTTTAGGGCTTGAAATTTTCTAGGCCACCCAAATGACTTACAACCAGGGTGCACTCCATATGAATGTGATTTTGTGATCATTTCTAGGATCAAGTCCTTCCAGGTCCTAATCCTAGGTATAGAGTGTTTTATAAGGACTCCTAACTTTGGCAAGCCCTGGATTTCGACTTTTGTTTCCCTAACTCTATATGACACTGTGAAAAGTACTGCTCAGCCTCTCATCTACTTCTCCCACATTAGTAAATATCCTCTGGGCTAAAAGAGGACCAAATGTAGGCTCACTTTTCAGATGTCTGTTTTCTCCCATATCTTTGCCTAATATTTCTAATCTAACTTGATTGCTCTTTGATGTTCTTAGAGGAGTATGTTTTACATTTTCTTCTAGAATTTTAAAAAATTTTCTTTGGCACGAAGATTGCTTAATCTACCATTACCCAACAAGATTTTATTTCTTCATTTATAAAATAAGGTCCATAAATATTGATCTGTGAGAACCCAAATGATATATAAACAAAATATTTAGCAAAATATGTGGCACATAATGAACTCTTAACTAAAAATAGCTATTGTTATCATCAAGTTATTAGCAAG